>NC_000004.12:103296381-103921381 GCF_000001405.40 Homo sapiens | reverse complement strand
AAGGATGTGGAGAAAAGAGAACCCTTGTCTACTGTTCTTGGGAATGTAAATTAGTACAACCACTATGGAAAACAGTTTGGACAGTCCTCAAAAACCTAAAAATAGAGCTACCATACAATTCAGCATTCTCACTACTAGGTATATACCCAAAAGAAAGGAAATCAGTATATCGAAGAGAGACCTGTGCTCCCATGTTTGCTGCAGCACTATTCACAATAGGCAAGATTTATAAGCAACTTAAGTGTTCATCATCAGATGAGTGAATAAAGAAAATGTGGTACATACACACAATGGAGTACTTGTTCAGCCACAATAAAGAATGGGAGCCTGTCATTTTCAAGAAGAGATGGGTGATACTTGAGGTAATTATGTTAAGTGAAATAAGCCAGGTACAAAAAGGCAAACATAACACGTTTTCAATTATTTGTGGGAACTAAAAATAATAGAAATAATAGATATGGAGAGTAGAAAGATGATTACCAATGGCTGGAAAGGGTAGTGGTTGGGTGTGGAAGAAAGTGGGTATGGCTAATAAGTACAAAAAATAGAAAGAATGAATAATACTTAGTATTTGCTAGCACAATAGGGTGATTACGGTAAAAAAAATAATTTAATTGTACATTTAAAAATAGCTAAAAGAGTATAACTAGATTGTTTATAACACAAAGGATAAATGCTTGAGGGGAATAGATACCCCATTTACCCTAATGTGATTATTATGCACTGCATGTCTGTATCAAAATATCTCATGTAACCCATAAATATATACACCTACTATATACCCACATTAATAAAACATTCCTTGGCTAAATAACATGATAAATATAGTAAACCTGGAAAATATCTAAAGAAAATCAAATAATAGACACAAGAGTATATATTTCATTTATAAGAACATATATGTCAATTACAAAACTCAATTATACTCATTAAATATGAAAAGGCAAACACTTATAACAAGTTCTCATTTTATACTGAGAAAAAGAAATAGCAAAAGCTAAATGATAATCTGTCCAACCAAATGGAAATTTTAAAATTATATTAATGTATCAGGAATTTAATTGAAAATATATTAATTTAAGCAATATGAACTGACTCCAATAATGTGCTCTAACCTTTATCTATTAATAGAAGATAGAGATGGGTATTGTTGATAAGGAAATCACACAAAAATAATATAAGGCAGTGACTAAACACAGAAAGTGGGACTGGGAAAATGTGAATTACAAAGTACAAATGAGACTCTTGGGCACCTGGCTTCAAGAATGGAGCAATGGTCTTCTGGTGCAACTATTTAAATTGCTATATCAATACATGACAAATCATATAAGAATCTGATTCTACAATGTGGAAGAGGTCTGATTGTGGTACTTGTAAGTCACAAATACATGACAACACCTAAAAAGTAAGATATTTATATGTTCCTCATATGTTTTCTCATCTTGAAATCTGCTCCGCCTTCAACATCAACTCTGATGTCAACTCTGACTCGTCTATTTCTTTCACACTGTGTCTTTGTCTGGGCTGCTATAACAAACTCCATAGGCTGAATAGCTTATAAATAACAGAAATTTATTTTTCACACTTCTGTGGTTTGGGAAGTTCAAGATCAAGTTACCAGCAGATTTAACATCTGGTGAGAGCCTGCTTCCTGGTTCATAGATGGACATCTTTTTGTTCTGTCCTCACAAGGCAGAGAGGAAAGGATCTCTCTGGGGCCTCTTTCATAAGAGAACTATTCCATTCATGAGGGGATGGCCCACATGACCTAATCACATTCAAAATGACCTGCCTGCAAATACCCTCACACAGGGGATTAGGTTTTAGTATATGAATTTGGAATGGGCACGTTTAGTCTATAGAACACTGCATACTAAATTTTAAAATTATGGAACTTAGTTTCAAGATAAATACTGAAAACAAGCAACTCACTATTCTACTTCTACCCTCACAGTTCAAGCCACCTTTTCTCATCTGGACTTCTACAAGAACCTCTTGACAGGCCTCTCAATCTTGCTACTTCTACTTTTGCCTTCTATAGTCTACTGTCCCTCAGTATGTAAAGTGCGATGCTTTTATAATGTATTTCAGACTATATTGCTTACTTTTGCACTGGTTCACTTTCTCACTTAGAGTAAAACCTACATGGTTTATCATGCCACATGAGGTTCAATAATATACACGTGGCTCATTTTCTCACTTAAGTGTCTGCTCACTTGTTACTTTGAGAGGCATCCACCTGACTGATTTATTTTCTTCCTAGTACTCAGTATGATGTCAATTTTCAAAACTATGTTATGTTTGTTTTTCTCTAGAAAATAAACTTCACTAAACCAAGGACCTTAGTTGTTCACAATTGGATTCTGCAGGCCTAGAATACTAGTAATTGAGGTTTTAAAAGTAACGGTAAAAACCGCAATTACTTTTGTACCAACCTCTAGTACTTGGTTCTCAGCACATATTAAATATTTATGTCTGGTTGCTGGAATTATGAGTGAATTTTTAGGCATAAATATTTAAAATATTTTAAAAGATAGCAAATTAACAAACCAAAGTAAATCATGGAAAGAGAATCAAATGAAGATAAAAATATGTTTTATTAAAAATTTATTTAACAATATTACATATTTATTTTGGAGAACTAATGCACATACATGGTAAAATAATCTAAACTACAAACGCAGTACAAAAGATAACAGTGGCAGCCAGGTTACATGAAAGACTAAAAGGCAGGCATCAAATTAAATATTAATATACATTGAAAGTGACTGAAATGTTCTCCAACTCATAGCTATTATATTTTTTTCTATTTACAGTGCAAAAATTGTGACCCTACAGCTTTCAAATTTTCATGTTACTGTAAGTGAACAGTAAATACTGACTATCATCCTTGTACCATGAATCTAAACACTTGCCAAAGATAGTTACAAAATGGCTTAATGTGATTGTCTGTTCCTTCTGCAATCAAATATGTCTCAGAGGAGAATTATTTAGTGAAAACACAGCTCTTGAATCTTTCAAGCTGAATGCATGGGAGACATAAAAGAAAAATGGGCTGGAAACTCCAGTAGAAAATTGTTTGTTATTAATACCCCGTCACAATTGATAGTTCTATTGAATAAATTTACTTCTGAATCAAATTTCAGCTTTTTGTGTGTTTATAAACTGTAGGTATACATATTTAAGTTTTAAACAAATGGTATTTCAATAGCTTACTAAAGTCCCTATAGTAATATTAACCTTACTTATACCTATACTCAGACATTATTAAAAAAAATATGGTGGCTAGATCAAAAGAGAGCCCCAGTGAATATTATCTCCAGCTAATAAAAGGCATAAATATTCTACCATTGTCCAATACCATAGACTTTTTAAAAATCATAAATTATGATTATTTTCTTTAGACATCTTTTCTCTAAAATCTAATAATTATAGTATTTAAGAAAATAAAATGAGTACTATCTGTTTTGGATGAGCAAAATAATTAATATTTGGTCATCTGAAGCTGAAATTATGACCAGATGCTTTGCTTTCTTTATTGAGAGAATAAATAAACACTTTGCCTGTGGATCATTAGAGTGAGACCACCATCCCTAAACTATTCGCTTTTGTATTTGCTATCACAAACAAGTAAAACTTGTGAAACTTTCCTGGGTTAAATAACTAATACTGTTTATATTGAAGTTTTTGAAGATATATATTACTGCTTAACAGATTATGGTACTTTGTATTTATTAAATTTATTTTCTTCATTGTGAACGTAGTGCGTATTTGTTTTACAAAGTGGAGATAGCACTATACAGAAACTGGCGAACAAATCACTCACAATTCCAGCAACCAGAGGTAAATACATTTAACATTTTAGCATATGATGATAATTGCTAGCAGAAAGGACATGCAGGGAGGAGAGAGACAGAGGGAAATAGATAGATATTAGATAGGTAGATGATGACATGATAGATAGATGATTGAGAGAGAGAGAGAATGAATGAATGGGATAGTGAGTTGAATCATGGCCTCCAAAAAGATATGTTTACGTCCAAGACCTAATTACCAGAACCTGTGAATGTAGCTTTATTTGGAAAAAGGGTCTTTGCAAACGTAATCAAGTTAAGGGTCTCAAGATGAGATCATCATGAAATGTCAAGATGAGCCCTAAATACAATGACAAATGTCTTTATAGGTGACATACAGAGGTGATTCACATGGGGAATAGAGAAGGTCATGGGAAGATCAAGTTAGATTACAGTTAAGCAGCCACAAGTCAAGCAAAGCCTGGAAGCACCGAAGCTGGAAGAAGGTTTTCCTCTAAAGCCTTCTGAGGGAGTGCTGACACCTTGACTTTGAACTTCTGGCCTTAGAACTGTGAGAAAATAAATTTCTGCTATTTTCAGCCACCATGTTTGTAATCATTTTTCAACAGTAGTCCTAAAAAATTAACACAGATGCAATTAGCATTATTTTTTTCACACATTGTGGTAGATACTTTACATATATGGTATTGTAGGAATCCTTCTCTTTGCCCAGACCAACTTAAATATGCCTGGTAAGATCATCAGTTATTTCAAAGAGAGGTACATCTCGTGTATACTTTTGCTTTGAGATAAAGTTTAGTACCTAGATGCCTGGTCTAGGGGAGAAGACAAAGATTACAAGCCATAGAAACAAGAAGCTGGTCTCTGGCTGGGCCTATTGATGGATCCCAGTAGAGAGAGACTGTAATCAGAAGCATCAGGGTTATGTTAGGTACAGGTTCAATTACCCTTTATTTAGTGACAAAATATGGCATATAATATGGAGATATGCATTATTTTCACTTATTGAAGTTCTGATGTCACTGTGAAATCTGATAGATCAGTTATGGTGTCTAGTTATTGGCAAAAGACATGAATCCTGGTGAGAAATGGTGGACAGTTACTCTAGAAATGGCATGGTGACACTCATAGCAGGATCAGACTTGTTTGTGAATGCACATGAAGAGCCTCTTGGGTTTCATAAAAAACTTTCAAATAAATTATAGAGGAAAATAGGGAAAAGGGAATAAGAAAAGTAAAATGTGAGTGACTGTTAATGTGACAGTATCAAAAACCTAAAAGGCCTAGATAATTTGGGTTTATAATTATCTTATTTAATTATTATAACATCTCTTCTGGGAGACATACACATATGACAAACCAGTCTCTGAATGCAAATTGCAATTCGGTGAGAAAATAATTAGGTGTGGGCTTAATTACTATTCACATACACTTTTATTTAAATATAGTCATCCCTTTCCCTTGGTATTCATGAATGGGACTGGTTCCAAGACCCCTTGCATGCTCAATTCCCTTATGTAAAATGGTATAATATTTGCATATAACCTATGCACATCCTCACATATACTTTAAATCATCTCTAGATTACCTATAATTAATACAGGCCGGGTGCAGTGGCTTATGCCTATAATCCCAGCACTTTGTGAGGCTGAAGGCAGGAGGATTGCTTGAACCCAGGAGTTCAAGAACTGTCTGAGCAACATAGCAAGATCTCATCTCTACAAAAATTAAAAAACAAAAATAGCCAGGCACACTGTTTTCTGTCTGTAATCCCAGCTACTCAGTCGGCTAAGGTGGGAGGATCACTTGAGCCTGGGAGATGGAGGCTACAGTGAGCCCTGATTGCACCAATGCACTCCAGCTTGGGCTATAAAGTGAGAACCTGTCTTCAAAGCAAAAACCAAAGACAACATAAATACTATGTAAATAGTTGTTATTCTGTATTTTTTATTTGCATTATTTTTATTATTGCATTGTTTTAATTTTTAATTTTTTACTTTTTAAATACTTTTGATTCACAGTTAGTTGAATCCCCAGATGAGGAACTCACAGTTACGGAGGGCAAACTGTAGTTTTGTTTTGTTTTGTTTTAGTTTTGTTTGGTTTGGTTTTGTTTTTTGTTTGTTTTTACTGTCTTCTGTCCACTAGAGGGCACATGCCACTTGTGTTCATTTCTGACTTCCAGTTCTATTGCCTGTTAGTTCTCAATAGTAAAAAATAAGCCATTTGAAATTCCATCATGATATTCATTATTGAGATAATTTTTATTGTGTAAAACACCACATAGTAATAGCACTAGTGAGAAAAAGAAAGAACGAAGCCAGATGTAGATATTTGATATGCCTGCATACAATCAGAAGCTTGTGGATACATTAAAGATGAACTTTGGCCTGGCGCTGTAGCTCACGCTTGTAATTCCAGCACTTTGGAAGCCTGAGGCAGGCAGATCACGAGGTCAGGAGTTCGAGACCACCTTGACCAACATGGTGAAACCCTGTCTCTACTAAAAATACAAAAATTAGCCGGGCATGGTGGCACATGCCTGTAATCACAGCTACTCAGGAGGCTGAGGGAGGAGAATCACTTCAACCTGGAAGGCAGAGGTTGCAGTGAGCCAAGATCACGCCACTGCACTCCAGCCTGGGTGACAGAGCGAGACTCCATCAAAAAAATAAATAAATAAATAACTTAATAAACATCATGAATCTCCTAGATTTCTGAAATTACATGAGCTCCCAGAGCATCTACTTCTTTGTAGTGGAAGAATATGTCTAAGTATACAACTTGTAAAGGCACTATCACACTTTTAAAAAAACATAAATATCACTCCTGCCTTCTCTGATTCATTACTCCGAAAAAGCTGTTTTTATTAAGAGGTATTCCCTAGGACAACAGAGTGATATTCATGGACCCAAAAGTCTAGGAAAAACATAATTTCAAAACTTTTTTTAAAGTTTTATTTTAAGTTCCAGGATGCATGTGCAGGATGTGCAGGTTTATTATGTAGGTAAACATGTGCCATGGTGGCTTGCTGCACCTATCAACCCATCACCTAGGTATTAAGCCTTGCATGCATTAGCTATTCATCCTGATGCTTTCCCTCCCCCTACCCCCACCAGGCCACAGTGTGTGTTGTTCCCCTCCCTGTGTCCATGTGTTCTCATTGTTCAGCATGGAATGAACCCAAATGACCATCAATGATAAAGTGGATAAAGAAAATGTGGTACATATACACCAAGGAATACTATGCAGCCATAAAAAGGAACAAGATCATGTCTTTTGCAGGGACATGGATGGAGCTGGAAGTCATTATCCTTGGCAAACTAACACAGGAACAGAAAACGAAACTCTTTTTTCAGTGTGTTTTTAGTCTTTAAAAAATGATGCTTAATAACATTTGCCTTATAAAACTGAAGAGTAATAGCACAATACCTGTAATCACTATCTTCTGAGTGATTAATGAAGGTGACAATAAATAGAAACATAGGCATGATAAAAATAACTTGATTGGCATTCACAAAGTTCTTAGTGGAAAACTACAGGGATTTAAATAATTAGTTATAAATCTTCTGGTATATTTAATATTTAATGTAAACATGCCTATTTGTTTATAAACCAGAAATTTTGTGTTGAAAAATTCTACCTTAGATTAATTCTACCTCAAATACAAGAAACTCTGCTTTCAAACAACAGCATCCCATTCTTTTTTGCTATACATATATAATAAATTTCTTGTTCTATAAGTTGTGTTAACATCTATATAAATTATTCAGACATAGAGTATTTTGAAGCATGGTGGAGTCTCAGTAAATTTACAGTTAGAAGCTTATATTTGAACCACCTCTTCTCACTAGCCACATAATTAGGCCTAAAACGTCATCTATTAATTTTCAAGAGTTTTTGCTGAAAAATATGATTTTAAGATTTGTCATTTATGAGCAACAATGAATTCACCAAATTTACTTTACAATTCTTCTTGCTACTAACTGATAAAAGTACTATTGATAATGTTAGAGGAATCAGAATCACATTAATCAAGGATGAATTTCAAATAAAATACCAAAATAGAAATGCACAGTTATTGCAGAAACCATTTATTAATGATGAAGGAAGGAACACTAGGAATATTTATAGATGAAGCAGTTCTTAGACATATGAAATGAAAGAAGGAGGCTGCTGGGTTAGGGGAGAGTCAAACTGTACTGTAGCTAGGAAAAAAATATCTTTGGTAACTCACTAAAAAGCCCCAAACCAAAGATTATTCATTATTGGAACTTCTTTCTGGGCAGAAATGCCCCATTTAGTCTATCCATAATGAGAGTAAAACCCAAAATCCATGCAAAAATAGCCAAAAGCAAGCAAATGTAGTTTTCTAACATTAACATTAGAAAAAGCGGACATCTAGGCAATATGCTTTATTAAAGATAAAAGGTATATTTCATAAAGTTTGAGGGGACTTCCATTAGGAAGATACCACAATTATATATCTTAAATGTACACCTAATAGCATAGGTTAATGAGTATTTAAAAACTGAAGGAATAAAGATGAAACAGAAAACTGACAATCATAGTGACATACTTCAACATACCTCTTTTCAATAGCTGATAGATCAACAAAAATTAGTAGGATATGGAAAAGCTAAAAATGTTTAATAAACTTGAACCAACCAATATTTAAATATCAATTTACCCAATTTTGACAGAATGCACAATTTTCAAGCGCACTTGAAGCATTTACCCAAACTTAGAATATGGTGGCATAGACATAGCTTCAAAAGAATTACATCCCTGCATATAATTATTCACCGCAATGGTAGAAATAAGCTACAAATCAAAATAACAAAAGCTAATGAGATATGAAGAATTAAACCTTCGACCAACACAGAGTAACAGAGACCAGATTTAATACTGCACCTGTAACAACCCAAAAAACTAGACAATATTTACAAAATAACAATTTTCAGGAATGAACATCAGGAAATGAATGACAGGGTCACTGAAAAAAAGGAAAAACAAATGAAGTGAGCCCTAAGATTGATAGGCTTACTGCATTAAGAGGATTTCAGGAGGGGCATAGGGGGTTCTCTGAGTTTAGGATGGAGCTAAGGGTCCTGGAAAGCTAAGGAGATGGAGTATCAGGGAGGAGAGAGATCCATACAGAAGGAACTTCAAAGACTTTCCACAGATTCCCCAGGAATATTCTTCAGGGTACCACTCACTGTGTGTGTGAGGAAACTAACCAAAGCTGGGGCAGAAACTACACAAAATACTTAGAGGAAACTGTGCCCAGCACTCACCTAAAGCTGGGAAATAGTGACTGTTCCCACCAGCCAGAGTGAAAATCTCATAATTCAAGAGGGACTCTGTAAAGTGCTAAGAAGGATCCTGCCTAAATTGTGGAGAATGAAAATATTCCTGGATCAAACACATTGAACACTGTGATTGTCTTATCTAACAAATCTTTAAAGCAAGTCTTGAAGGAATAAAGTGTTTCCAAATAACTGCATCTCAGAACAAGGCTGAAAAATACACACACACACACACACACACACACACACACACACATATTTTCCATTAAATAAGGTAAAATTAACAATGTCTGACATCCAGTAAAAAATTATAAGGTAGGCTAGGCGTGGTGACTCACGCTTGTAATCCCAGCACTTTGGGAGGCTGGGGTGGGCGGATCACCTGAAGTTGGAGTTCGAGACCAGCCTGACCAACATGGTGAAACCTTGTCTCTACTAAAAATACAAAATTAGCAGGGCGTGGTGGCTCATGCCTGTAATCCCAGCTACTCAGAAGGCTGAGGCGGGAGAATCGCTTGAACCCGGGAGGTGGAGGTTGTGGTGAGCCAAGATCGCGCCATTGCACTCCCGCCTGGGCAAGAGCAAAACCATCTCAAAAAAAAAAAGAAAGAAAGAAAAGTTACCAGGTATACGAAGAATCAGAGACACAACCCAAAAATGAGTTGAAAAAATCAACTATTTTGAACTAACTAGGCTTACATGGATTCAAAATTAGCAGGCAATATTAAATAACTGTATTCTATATGTTCAAAACCTTCAATGTCTAAGATAAGAAAATACACTAACTGCTATTAACAAGATAAGACATTTCAAATAACTATAACATACTGAATGATAAATGATTTCTCATGTGAAAAAAGCATTTGCCATATCTTTAATGAACTTCATCATTAATGATGAAGTAATTGAACACTGTGATTGTTCAATTATTCATCATTATTTTTCATTATTGATCATTAATGATGAATTATTGAAATGTGTCCTCCAGAGATAATAGGAAGATGATGCCTGAAATAATTTCTATTCAGCACTTTAGTAGAGGTTTTAGTGCAAAAAGCCAAAATAAAAAATTGAATGAATGAATGAGGAGACAGATACAGATAATGAATAGAATGGTATTTGAAAAAGAGAATAGTATAGATATAAGTATAGATGATACAGATATAGATGATACAGATTTAATCATCCACCTGAATGCAAAAATAAATTATGGTTCTATATGGAAGCAACAAATGAAAAACTCTAAACAGAGAAAAAAGGTAGTATTTATCTCACACATAAAAAATATTGGGCCGGGCATGGTGGTGGCTCACACCTCTAATACCAGCACTTTGGGAGGCCAAGGTGGGTGGATCACCCGAGATCAAGAGTTCAAGAGTGGCCTGGCCAACATGCTGAAACCCCATCTCTACTAAAAATACAAAAACTGGCCAGGTGTGGTGGTAGGCACCTGTAATCCCAGCTACTCGGGAGGCTGGGGCAGGAGAATCACTTGAGCCCGGGAGGCGGAGGCTGCAGTGAGCTGCAATAGCAGCCCAACCACTGCACTCTTGCCTGGGCAACAGAGTGAAACTCCGTCTCAAAAAAAAAAAAAAAAAATTATAAATCTAACAAGACATCTTCAAAACATTTACACTAAAATCTATAAAATAATATTTAGTACAATTAGATAAGTAAATTTAAAGTGATGCCCTTTTGTGGACAGAAAGTCTCAATATCATAAAAATGTTTATTTTCTCAAACTGAGTGATGTCACAGTCCATTTGTACTCCTATAACAAAATACTGGAAACTGGGTGATTTATAAACAACAGAGATTTATGTTCTCACTGTTCTGAAGGGTAGAAAGTCCAAGACCAAGGCGCCAGCAGGTTGGTTGACTGGAGAGGGCTATTAATTGCTTCCAAGATGACACCTTATTATAGCTGCATCCTCTAGAGGGAAAGAATGCTGTGTCCTCACATGGCAGAGGAGACAGAAGGGGTTCAAAAGGAGCCAACTTTCTCAATCAAGCCCTTTTATCATGGCATTAACCCACCCATGGGGGCCAGGACCTTATGATCTAAATAACTTTCAAAGACCCTGACTTCCAAGACTATTGCATTGGGAATGGAGTTTCCATCACATGAATTTTGGGGGACACACTTAGACCATAGCCATTGATAAATTCAGTACACTATCACTAAAGTTTCTAGGGAACATGAGTGTTTAGATTGTAAAAATTATCAATATATAACTTATCAAGAGAAAACAAGGCACAAGGCTATCAATCATACCAATGAAACGTAATAGAAAGTAAAGAAAGAAACACACTCACATATACCTGCATCTGATTTAGGACTGTACAAACCTAGCATCTATTCAATAAATGGTGCCAGGTAAATTGGTTATTTATATGGAAAATAATAAACTTCTAATGGATTATACATATGTGACAGGTAAATTAATTAATGCTTCTAGAAGAAACAAGAGGGTAATAATTATCTTGAGGTAGGTAAAACATTCTTAAACATTACACCAAAATCTCTTTTAGTAAAAGTAAAATGAAAACTAGATATAGTAATAAATTTTATTTATAGAAGTGACAGTAAAAATGGGGTGAAAAATTTCCAAAGAATAGGATATATACATCTGACATTTTTTCCCCAAATGCATAAAAGTTGGTAAAGAAAAGATGTAACCTCCTTACCCTCAATTGATAAAAATCTTTACCAGACATTTCACACAAAATGATATTCAAATGGTAAGTAGGCATGTGAAAAGTTGCTCAACATTATAAATCAACATAGAAATACAAATGAAAATACAAGCAACTACACACCCACCAGAACAGCTACAGTGAAAAAGGCAGACAATACAAGTTTCAGTGAAATGTGACACAGTTGAAACTTAAAATATACTGATGTGGTGTACATTTATTTAACCTCCTTGGAAAACAGTTTGGTAGTATCTGCTAAAGTTTTGTATGTAACAAGGAATTCACAAGTCCATGTCTACTTATACACATGAAAAATTCATATTCATAAATACATTTCCCCAAAGACATGAACAAAATTGCTGATAGCATTTATTACTTATTACTCAAAGTGATGGAACAACAACCATGTAAAAACTAAAATAAAGCTAGATAATGCTGATATATTTATATATGGAACACTCGATATTGCAAAGATAGTAAGTCTCTCTAAATCTAAAAGTCCTACTTTAAATTTAACTCTATATTTAGGAAACTCTAAAACTTCTAAAATTTATGAAGAAGAATTAAAGCCAAGTAAAATTTAACAGATAAAAATTAGGAGAGGATCTTGACTAAATACATATTAAAATACTATAAAGTGGTAGTAATTTAAAGAGAATAGTACTGATATAGAAATCTAAAATATAGAAATTTAAGAGAGTAGAAGTTCAGAAAAAGACTTTTGTATACATAGGTATATGTTGTGTAAAAAAAAGTAATATAATGGAAAAACAAAAGACAGATTAATATTGAGATAATTGGCTATTCATTTTAGAAAAAAATGTCAAAAACAGACTTCATAAAATAGAATAAATCCCAGAAAGGTTAAAAATCTAACTTTAAAGCTACATAGGCTTCTTATGTCTGCTAATGGGTGTCACAATTATTAGAACAATTTTAGTGATGAAAAAAATAAACAGGCTGGATAAACTATTAAAATATCTTAGCACCAAAAGACTAAAATATCTACTGAGATCAAAATATACTAAATTCAATTAAAGAGGAAATGGAACCAATCTGAACACTGAAACTCCCTCCTCCTTTTATTTTTCTTTCTGAGAGACATTTGCAAATCTCAGCAAGTGTAACTCTGGTTCTGATGAGCGCCTAAGATGAACAGGATGAACAGGATGTAAATCAAATTCCAGAGTCCATGCTGAGGATTCAACTTATCACACAATGAGGGAGAAATCCAAAGTTATATACCTCAGTGGAAGCAAGAACCAGAATTAAAACAGTTATCATGCAGATTTACAGCCTGTGTTTGTAGGTTCTCAAAAACTCAAGGAAGCTCAAGCCATCACGTTTTAAAGCAGTTCTAGACTGCAAACGCCTTTGTGAGCACAGCAGAAGTGGTTTGGCAAACCCTCTACAAATAGATTTTGAAATGACTAACACAGGCTCAATGATATAGGGTACATTAGAAAACAAGGAATAATGCCTGTATAGAAACTGAAATGTCAGTCAGGAGAAATATATATGTGAACACTTCAAATACTGGAATGAATGAATGTATATTATTTAAAAAATAAAACCATAGTAACTGCATGTAAAATAAAGGAAAAGTTTGTATATTTCTGAAAGAAATTACAGAAAGTGTCACTGAAGATTTTAGAAAGTACCAGTTAGTATTTCTGAAAATAAAAACTCAGTAACAGAAACTTAAAATCATATCAATTTAAAGCTTAGTAGATAGGAGGGGTTCAGTTTTCACTACAGCAGTATAAGCCCCTAGAGCACATCTCTTCCACTGATCACAACTAAAATTTGGCTAAATAAATGTTTATTAAAAGCTATCTGAAAAATCTGAAAATTGAAGGTGAATTGTGGAAGACAGTGAAACTTTGAGAAGCACCTCTCATCAGGTTTCCTTTTCTGTTTTCTGGTTTGGTTTTTGTTCTTTCGTAGCCATGGTTGGACTTCAGTCTTGGGCTCTAATCACAGTGATATAAGTTGGTAGAACATGGTAGAATCACTGCCCTGTTCATGGCCAGAAAAACAAACAAATAAAAACATTGAAAGAAGCCCAGGCAGACTGGCATGTGAGCAGGAAATCCAAAAGTAGAGAACGCCAGGAAAGGGGATCCCTTATTTTGCAAATGTACCCATGTGTCACAGCCTAACTCCCAAACCATACATGTGTGGGAAAAAAATCAAACCTAAGAAAGCCTCTGAGAACTAAACTTTGATTGGAACAACCCATACAAGCTTCAACCAGAGGCCAGGAGGATGACTGTCTATCTACTGCATATAAATAGGGAAAATTCGTTGTTCTCCATCCCTCACATATGAAGTGTCAGCTGCTCATGTATGAGGTAGGAGATTTTTCTCTCTAGCTTTTATTGTGTTGACCCACAAATAAGGCGTGGGGCAAGGGAAGCCGATATGCTTATAATTTACTATAAAGCAAGTAAGAAAAAGCCTGTCTTTGATTGAGAGCACCTGTGTATACATTTGGGACAAAATAATAAAATTTAAAAAGATAAATATTAAATAACCAGCAAAGGAATTATGTTTTGATCACATATTCTTCATTCCAATGAATCAACTTTTGTTTTGGTTACTTGGTTTCTTTATTACTAATATCATTTTATTTGCTTTATCATTAATTCCAGCTTTAATTCTTATTTTTAATAAATTTAAATAATTGTTTTTGATTTTTGTATTGTCTGTTGCTACTTCTCAATATCCACATTAAATCTTCAAATTTTCTTTTTGAATAATACCAATTTAAACATGAACAATCATACAAGAAAGAGCAGGGTGTTATTTCTTCCTCGTCTCCTATGATAATAATATCTTGTTAGGTATTAGATGCTTCAATCACAGATCTTCTATTTTGAAGCCCTTGTAAAACTGTTTTTATTATTTTCTATCTCCCTAATTTCCAGATGCAAGGTTCAATACTAGTCTGATTTTTTTATTATAACAAGTAACTTACTCATTCTGCATCACTGGGATTCAGAAATTTCATTAGGAACTTTTCTGCAATGGATCAGTGATACCTTTCAATTACACTGTTCTCAGTGAACAGGTGTTAATCTTTCTCTCTTTCTCTCATATTATTGTTCATATTTTGTGTGAATGTTTTGCTTTTTTAAAAAAAATTTGTTGATACATTTTTCCAAAATGCATGCACTAGAACATTAACTTGGTTATTGGCAATGATATATCTTCAAAAAATGTCAGTTGTGGCTGGGCGCGGTGGCCGACGCCTGTAATCTCAGCACTTTGGGAGGCCGAGATGGGCGGATCATGAGGTCAGGAGATGGAGACCATCCTGGCTAACACGGTGAAACCCCATCTCTACTAAAAAATACAAAAACAAAAAAACTAGCCCGGGTGGGTGGTGAGGGTGGGTAGTCCCAGCTACTCGGGAGGCTGAGGCAGGAGAATGGTGTGAACCCGGGAGGTGGAGCTTGCAGTGAGTCCAGATCACGCCACTGCACTCCAGCCTGGGCGACAGAGCGAGACTCCGCCTCAGAAACAAACAAACAAAAAAAAATTGTATGTTTTACTTTGAAAATCATGTTTTTGAATTCTATAAATAACTTTTATTGTTTTTCTTCTTAAAATTTTTCATTATTTGTATAATTATATTTTCTTTATTTTCCATTGACCTACTGCAATAGGATTATCTAGTCCTATTTTTCAATCGAGTAGAACTATCAAATTATTGAGTTCTCTAAAATGAAGTTTTTTTCTTTAAATTTTTATGTAAGTGGATGTTATTTTTCAGAAATCTTCAGGAAGATGAAATCACTGGGATAGGTTAAACTTGTAGGTGGTAGAATACAAAGTAGAAGGGTCTGTTCCAGTTCATCAGTGGCAAAAGATGAAAATTGATGTTCTGCTATGGGGTAGTCAAAGAAACATCTTTGTTCCTTGTCCTCTGTAGATGCAAAAGGTATCTATTAATAATAGATATCTAGTAAAATAGTAGTACTATTAACAGTAGATATCTAGTGAAAGATAAACTTTCACTGTTTTTTATCATATTTATATAGAACATGTTGTTATATAATCACTGCTTATTTTGTTTCTCCATGCTATTTTCATTATTTCATAAAAAAAAAAAAGAGCTTGGGTTTTGAATGGCATTATTTCAGTCCACCACTTCAGTCTGTTTTTCAGAGATGTATAGCACCACTTGGCACCACACAGGAAAAGGTACCTTAAGATGATCATTCTTATTGTTCCAGAGTCCATTTGAGTGGCACTTACAGGACAAGCAAGAGATGGCTAGTCATTGTTACAGAAATAGATAGCCAATATGCAGTTCTCTGCCACTGAATCCTTTATTCTCTCTCTCTCCCCAACTCCCAAATGCCTCAGAACTACTCTCTTTTCTCTTTTGCCTATATATCCTGGCTTGAGATTCCCTGAAATTCTCTCCAGCCTGCCAGGTAGTTAAGTCTTCCTAAGTGGTTCTGGTAAGGAAGGTAGAGTCTTACCTCAGCCTTCGGATTTTCAGCTGTGTAATAATATTTCGTTTCTAAAACTTTTATTCTTTAAACTCAGAAGTACAATATTGTGTTATACTTTTTCCTTAATTCATAACAATTATCCTGACATTTTGTGAACAGTGCAATTAGTTTTGTTGTATTATTGTTTCCCCTTCATTCTTCATTTAAGCATCCATTCCTTCTTCTATATAAACACTTACTGTATGGATTTAATAAGAGTCCTAAGGTAAATGTTTATCTTTGGAAAAATATATAATGTAATTTGGGGCCAATTATAAGTATATGCTGTACTAATTATATAAGCTTTATGTGTATATTTGTAGTAATCTGTTTCAGCTTTACTCAGTATTCTTTTTAAGATCTATTATTTATACTGTGTGTATGTCTAGTTTGTCACTACTCTCCATTTAGTAATTATTTATCCATAACCTGGATGATGGATATAGGATTTCCACCTAGACACCTGCTACTAGAAAAAAACACACGGTGAATATAAATCTCCAACAGGGTTATTTACATCAAATGATTATTATGCTGGCATGATTTTTGCATTATCATTGTGTTGTTTTCATTAATTATAAAGAGCAATGTTGGGGTTGGGTGGGAAGAAAATAGCTGAAAAAAATCACTTTTTTATCTGGCTAAAATAATGATTAAAATGTGATTCATATGGATGTTTCAACTCACTGCATGATACCAATATATCATCAAGAATGAACCATGATGTTAGGCTCACTGACTCATGTACCAAATTAAAATGTACTGATTCACAGGGAAATAATGTATAACCATCTGTTCTTTTTCTGTAAGATTGTTATGAACTTTTGCCTTGAAAAAAAAGAAAAAAGTTAGTGTTTACTTGAAAAATGAAGACTAAAACAAAATCAGTATTTGTTACTGAGAGAGTCAATTCTTAGAACTGGCTAATAATGCTGTATTTTCCTATACAAATGTCTTGATATTATGTTAGTTTCAAAAGATCAGGAATGCTCTGTCAGATGAAATTACAACTGATTAATATTTCATCATTGCCAAAGCATATCTTCCCAACTATCTTTGATTTATTTTTGAGTCTTGAAATATGTTTGCATATCCCTAGACTGAGTTTTAGGTTCCTAACTTTTTCAACAACTCTATATCAAATGAAAGTATAAAATAAATTAATGTCAACTTAAAGTTCATTATAATTTCTTGAAACTATTTTTTTTTTTTTGTGAGATGGAGTCTCGGTCTGTTGCCAAGCTGGAGGGCAGTGGCACAATCTCGGCTCACTGCAACCTCCACCTCCCGGGTTCAAGCACTTCTCCTGCCTCAGCCTCTCAAGTAACTGGGAGTACAGGTGTGTGCCACCACGGCCAGCTAATTTTTGTATTTTTAGTAGAGACAGGGTTTCACCATGTTGGCCTTGATGGTCTCGATCTCTTGACCTCATGATCTGCCTGCATCAGTCTCCCATAGTGCTGGGATTATAGGTGTCAGCCACCACACCCGGCCTTGAAACTATTTTTTAAAAGACATGGATGATGTGTATTTGTGGACAATTATTTTCAGTTGTTTTAATGCCAATAGCTGTAACTGATCTCTTTTGTTTATGGAATAAAAACAGCATGGAAGAACAAAATAATCAGTGATTTTTATAATAACATGTCCTACATAAATATAATAAAAAGCTGTGAAAATGTATTGCTTATACAGATTAAATTAATGAAAAATTATTTAATTAGCTGTTACTACCACATGGGAAATATAATGAAAAGATGTCCAGACGATGTTAAGAGAATAATCAGCACCATCTGAGTTAAAATTCAGTGTATGCTAACATTTTACTGTATCTTCAGCACAGTACCCATGCCAAATATATATTTTTGTATTTATTACAACACTTATATTTCTCTAAAGACATAAGTATGTATTCCCCAGATGTAACAGTTTCTATAAGAGACAAGAATGCATTTAGAAGCAGCAATAATTTCTTTCTTTTTCTTTATTTTTAATTTCAATAGCTTTTAAGGTACAAGTGGTTTTTGAATACATGGATGAATTGTATAGCGGTGACATCTGAGATTTTCATGCAACTGTCACTCTAGTAGTATACATTGTTCCCAATAGTTTCTTAATCTCTCATCACTTCTCACTTCTCACTTTTGAGTCTCTACTGTTCATTATATTACACCGTGTGCTTATGTACCCATATCTTAGCTCCCACTTATAATTGAGAACATACATATTTGTTTCACATTCCTTTATTACTTTACTTGGAATAATGGCCTCCAGCTCCATCCAAGTTGCTGCAAAAAAAATTATTTTATTTCCTTTCATGGCTGAGTAGTATTCGATGATTATACATACTATATTTTCTTTATCCACTCATCAGTTGATGAACATTTAGGTTGGTTCCATATGTTTGCAACTGTGGATCATGCTACAATAAACATGCATGTGCAGATACAATTTTTTAATATATATGCAATGACTTCTTTTCCTTTGGGTAGATAGGTCTACTTTTAGTTCTTTAAGAAATCTCTATACTGTTTTCTGTAGAGGTTGTACTAATTTACATTCCCATCAGCAGTGTATAAGTGTTCCCTTTTCACCACATCTGATATGGTTTGACTCTGTGTCCCCACCCAAATCTCATCTTGTAGCTCCCATAATCCCACATGTTGTGGCAGGGACCCAGTGGGAGATGACTGAATCATGGGGGCGTGTCTTTCCTGTGCTGTTCTCATGATAGTGAATGGGCCTCATGAGATCTGATGGTTTTAAAAATGGAGGTTTCCCTGCACAAGCTCTCTCTTTGCCTGCTGCCGTCCACGTAAGATGTGACTTACTCCTTCATGCCTTCCGCCATGATTGTGAGACCTCCCCAACCATGTGGAATTGTAAGTCCAATAAACCTCTTTCTTTTGTAAATTGTCCAGTCTCAGGTATGTCTTTATCAGAAGCATGAAAATGGACTAATACAACATCCATTATAACCTGTATTGTTTTTGACTTTTTAATTATGGCCATTCTGGCTGGGATAAGGTTATATATCATGGGGGTTTTAATTTGCATTTTCCTGATGATTAGTGGTGTTGAGCATTTATTCATGTTGGCCATTTGTATATCTGCTTTTGAAAAATGTCTAATCATATTGTTTGCCCATTTTTTTGATGGAATTATTTTTTTTTTCTGGCTGATTTGCTTGAGTTGTAGATTCAGGACACTGGTCCTTTATTATATGCATAGTTTGCAAATATTTTCTCTCATTCTTTGGGTTATCTGTTTAGTCTGCTGATTATTTTGCTATGAAGATGTTTTTAGTTTAATTAGGTCCTATAGATTTATTTTTGTTTTTGTTGAACTTGCTTTTGGGGTCTTTCTCATAAATTACTTGCTTAGGCCAATGTCCAGAAGAGTTTCTTGTCTAGAATTTTCATGGTTTCAGGTCTTAGATTTAAGTCTTTGATCCTTCTTGTGTTGATTTTTATGTACAGTGAGAAAGAGGGATCCAGTTTTATTCTTCTACATGTAGTTGCAACTATTTGGCTTTATTTCTGGGTTTTCTATTTTGTTCCATTGGTCTATGTGTCTGCTTTTATACCAGTACCATGCTGTTTTGGTATATTTTGGCTTATAGCATAATTTGAAGATAGGTAATGTGATGCTTCCAGATTTGTACTTTTTGCTTGGGAATGCTTTGGCTATTTATGCTCTTTTTTGGTTCCATAAAAATGTTAGGATTTTTTTATTCTAATTCTGTGAAAAATGATGTTGGTATTTTGATAGGAATTGCATTGAATCTGTAGATAGTTTTGGGTACTATGGTTATTTTCACGATACTGATTCTTGCAATCCACAAGCATGGGATATATTTCCATTTATTTTTGTTATCTATTATTTATTTCAGCAGTCTTTTCTATTAATAGTTTTCATTGTAGAGATCTTCACCTCCTTGGTTAAATTTCCTAGGTGTTTTTTTCTTACTATTTTTTTTTGCAGCTATTGTAAAAGGGCTTGAGCTCTTGGTTTGATTCCCAGTGTGGCCTTTGTTGATGTATAGCAGTGCCATGGATTTGTGAACATTGATTTTTTAATCTGAGACTTCACCGAATTCATTTATCAAATCTGAGAGTCTTTTTGAAGGAATCTTTAGGGTTTTCTAGATATATAATGATATCATTGGCAAACAGAGATAGTTTGACTTCCTTTTTTCCAATGCTCTTAAATTTCAGATGCCCTTAATTTATTTCTGTTATCTGATTGCTCTGGCTAGGACTTCCAATATTATGTTGAATAGAAGGGGTGCAAGTGGGCATCCTTGTATTGTTCCATTTCTTAGGGGAAATGCTTTGAACTTTTCCCCATATAGTATGATGTTGGCTATGGATTTGTTATATATGGCTTTTACTATTTTGAGGGATGTTCTTTTTATGCCTAGTTTTTTTTAGGGTTTTTATAATAAACCAGGGATGCTGGATTATATTGAATGCCTTTTCTGCATCTGTTGAGATTATCATATGGTTTTTGTTTTTAATTCTCTTTATGTAATGTATCACATTTATTGACTTACATGTATTAAACCATCCCTGCATCCCTGGGATGAAACCCACTTGATCATAATCTATTATCTTTCTGATATGCTGTTGGATTCAGCTTACTAGTATTTTGTTGAGAATTTTTGCATCTATGTTCATCAGGGATAGTGGTCTATAGTTTTCTTTCTTTGTTATGTCCTTTCCTGATTTTGGTATAAGGGTGATACTGGCCTCATAGAATGACTTAAGGAGAATTCCCTCTTTCTCAATCTGTTGAAATACTTTCACTAGGATTAGTACCAATTATTTGAATGTCAGATAGAATTTGGCTGTGAATCCATCTGTCCCTGGGCTTTTTTTGTTGGCAAATTTTTTTTTTTTGAGATGGAGTCTCGCTCTGTCGCCCAGGCTGGAGTGCAGTGGTGCGATCTCCGCTCACTGCAAGCTCCGCCTCCTGGGTTCACGCCATTCTCCTGCCTCAGCCTCTCCGAGTAGCTGGGACTACAGGCACCCGCCACCATGCCCGGCTAATTTTTTGTGTTTTTAGTAGAGACGGGGTTTCACCGTGTTAGCCAGGATGGTCTTGATCTCCTGACCTCGTGATCTGCCCGCCTTGGCCTCCCAAAGTGCTGGGATTACAAGCGTGAGCCACTGCACCTGGCCTGTTGGCAATATTTTTATTACGGATTCAATCTCACTGCTCATTATTAGACTGCTCAGGATTTTTATTTATTCATGATTTAATCTAGGAGAGAGGTATGTTTCCAGGAATTTATTCATTTCCTCTACATTTTCTAGTTTGTGTGCACAGAATTGTTAACAGTAGTCTTGAATAATCTTTCATATTTCTGTGATGTCAGTTGTAATGTATCCATTTTCATTTCTAATTGAAATTATTTGAGTCTTCTCTCATTTTTGTTAATCTAGCTAATTATCTATTGATTTCATTTATCTTTTCAAGGAACAATTTTTTTGTTTTATTTATCTTTATTTTGTTTGCTTCAATTACATTTATCTTTTCTGCACTGCTTTTGCTGTATCCCAGAGGTTTTGACTACTTGCCACTATTACACTTCATTTCAAATAATTTTTAAATTTCCATCTTGATTTCACTGTTAACCCAAAACCCATTCAGGATAAGATTGATTGATTTCCACGTATTTGTATAGTTTTGAGGGTTCCTTGTGGAGTTGATTTCTGGTTTTACTACACTGTGGTCTGAGAAAATACTTGATATGATTTTGATTTTTAAAAATTTATTTAGACTTGTTTTGTGTCTTATCATATGGTCTATGTTAGAAAACATTCCATATGCTGATAACAAGGATATATATTCTGCAGCTCTTGGGTAGAATTTTCTGTAAATATCTCTTAGGTCCATTTGTTCTAGAGTGCAGTTTAAGTTCGATATTTCTTTGTTAACTCTCTGCCTCAATTATTTGTCTAGTGCTGTTATGGAAGTGTTGATTTCCCCCACTATTATTGTGTCATGGCTTATCTCTTTTCTTAGGTCTAACAGTACTTGTTTTTGAATCTGGGAGTTCCAGAGTTAGGTACATATATATGTAGAATTTTAATACCCTTTGTCAGATTGATTCTTTTATCACTATATAATGATCTTCTTTGTCTTTTTTACTGCTGTTGCTTTAAAGTCTGTTTTATCTTACATTAAAATAGATACTCCTGCTAACTTTTAGTTTCCATTTGCATGGAACATCTTTTTCCACTCCTTTACCTTGATTATATAAGAATTCTATGAGTAACTAGAGTGTGAAAGACAACAGATATTTGTTTTGTAATTTTTTCTCAGCTATGACAATCTCTGTCATTTAAATGGAGCATTTAGACCATTTACATTCAATGTTAATATTAAGATGTGAGGTACTATTCCATTCATCATGTTGATTGTGACCTGGCTACTTTATTTTCTTCATTGTGTTATTGCTGTATAGGATCTGTGAGTTTTATGCTTTCAAGGTATTCTGTTCTGGTGCATATCAAGGTTTTGTTTCAAGGTTTAGAACTCATTTTAGCATTTCTTGTAGGGCTAGTCTGGTAGTAACAAATTCCCTCAACATTTACTTGTCTGAAAAAAACATTATTTTGCCTTCATTTATAAAACTTAGTTTTGCTGGATACAAAATTCTTGGCTGACTGCTCTTTTGTTTAAGGAGGCTAAAGTTAGGACCCTGATCCATTCTGGCTTGTGATATTTCTGCTGAGAAATCTCCTGTTAGTCTGAACAGTTTTTCTTTACAAGTTACCCGATGATTTTGTCTCACTGCTTTTAGAATTCTCTCCTTCATTTTGACTTTAGATAGCCTAATGACTATGTATCTTGGTGATGTCCTTTCTGCAGTGAACTCCTAGGAGTTCTTTGAGCTTCTTGTATTTTGACATCTAAGGCCAGGAGACTTTTCTTCAATTATTCCCTCAAATAAGTTTTGAAAGCTTTTTGTTTTCTCTTCTCCCTCAGAAACACCAGTGATTCTTAGGTTTGTCAGTTTCACATAATCCCATATTTCTTGGAAATTTTGTTCATTTCTTTTAATTCTTTTTTTAAATTTTGTTTGTGTTAATGCAAAAGCCTTATCTTCAGGCTCTGCAATTGTTTCTTTTACTTGATCTAGTCTATTATTAAAACATTATGCTGTGTTTTGTAATTCCCTAAGTGTGTCTTTCATTTCCAGAAGTTCTGATTAATTTTTCTTTAAAATATCTATGTCGTGGAAAATTTCTCACTTGTATTCTGATTTTTAAAAAAATATTTTTACGTTGGTATTCACCTTTCTCTATTATCTCCTTGGGTAGCTTAATAAACACCCTTTTGAATTTTTTGTGTGGTATTTCAAAGATTTCATCTTGGTTTGGATCCATTGCTAGTGTGCTCTTTTGGGCTAGTGTGATCTTTTGGGGGTGTAATAGAATGCTGTTTTGTCATATTGACAGAATTATGGGGGTGTAATAGAATGCTGTTTTGTCATATTGACAGAATTATTTTATGGTTTCTTCTCATAGATTATTTCTTCTAATTATTTTTGGATTTATTTTTGATTTGACTGTATTTTTCTTTAATTTCTTTTTTCCCCCTTGAGGATGTGATTTTAATGTTGATAGTTTATCATAGCCTAATTTGACACTTGGTGCTTTCAAGGATGAAAACTCTGGATAAGTTTCTTGGTTATAGTGGGTCTTTGTATGGTGGCTTTCTCAGATGCTGGATGTATTAATACTAGGAATGTGATTGGTGTGTGAGCAGGTTCACCATATCCTGTGGGGTTGGAATGGCAGAGGTCTCTTGAAGTTTATCTCATTCTCCCAATGGTGTGTACTTTTTATTTATTTATATTTTCCCCAGTATTTTATTTACTGGGTTGAACAGTTCAGGCTTCAGGCCAGTAGGGGATGTGTCTATGGGCAAATATTGCTTGTGGCTAAAGCAGGTGGGCTAATGCAATACCCACTGTTGGGCAGAGGTCCCAGCCTTGACAGAGGCTGCTGGGGAGCTGCCAGTGAAATATACTGAGGTCCTTTTGGGCAGAAGGGAGAGAGCCACATTAGCTCCTCTACTAGTCCAGCAGGAAAGTGATCCACCTCCCATTCACACTCCTGACCCAGTGGTCTGGCTATTCAGATCAAACAGGTAATGCTTTTCATCTTCAGGAATGTTAATGTTTCATATAGAGATGGATTGTGACTCTACCCCTTGTGCAAGCCTGATCCTGAAAGGCATAACTTCTGCAGGGATATAGTCACCCTGAAGTGTTCCAGAAGGGCCATCTGCAGGTATACCCACTCCAAGCTCCCATGGGAGGAGCCCCAGCTATGTCTGCAGTGGTGGGCAAGGGGGAAAAGAAGTCCCCTCCCCTTCTCCAGGACTCCTCATGAGCACCAGGGCTGCCTGATTGTTTGGGTAGAGTTGCAGACTTTCCCCACTGATCCCAGCATTACACTGGTGCCTCTGTTGAAAGAAACTTCCCACAAGTGGAAAGTTCTGGGACTCAAGCCCTACCATCTGGATTCTCTTGTCCCAGAGGGTGATCCCTTGATGTGGTACACTCTTCCCTCCCCTAGGAGTGGGAGTCCCTGTGAGCCAGATTACTGTGAATGCTGATGCTCCTCTGAGTCTATCCACCCAGCTAGACTGCAACACAACAGGCTAGTATTGGGGAATGTCTGCAAGGGATCCAGTAATGTGACCTGTCCTCAAGTCTCCCAGCAGAGGGTACCAGCACCAGCTCTGATGGGAGTGTCAGGGGAATGAAGTAGGCTCTATGAGATTCCTTAGTGGTGAATAGCCTTAGTGTGTTGGCTTTCTCAAATTCTGGTTGTAGTAGTAATGAACTGGTCACATGGACAGGTTTAGGACCTCCTGATTAGCCAGGGTGATGTGGGCAATGGTGATAGCAGAGGTCATGCACAGATTTTCTCTTTACTGTGTACTGTGTTATTCTACCAGCAGATGGTATAATGGACTGTGTACCTGCAGATGCTGTAATGGAATGTGTTGGCTGCCCTCCAGCCAGGAGGTGGCACTTGCAAAAGAGTGGCAGCTGCAGGGTACCAATGGGATTTATGCCTGCCTTATTTTACCCTGAAGAGGTTCTCTGGTGTCTCAGTCAATGTGCAGAGCCATAGAGCTCCCAAAAGTTTCTGTCCTTTGTGTTAGCTACAAGGGTGAGTGAAGGAGCAATGCCAGGTGTGGGCCAGGTCAGGCAAGTCTGCACTTTGGATCTCCACGTGCAGGACAAGTAGCAGTGTATGTTTATGTCCTTTGTCCACGTTTTTACGGGGCTATTTTACTCTTGTAAATTTAAATTCCTTATAGATGCTGGATATTAGATCTTTGTCAGATGCATAGTTGTCAAATATTTTCTCTCATTCTGTAAATTGTCTGTTTACTCCATTACTAGTATTGTTTTTGCTGTGCAGAAGCTCTTTAGTTTAATTAGATCCAATTTGTCAATTTTTGCTTTCGTTTCAATTGCTTTTGGCATCTTTGTCATAAAATCTTTGCTTGTTCTTGTGTCCAGGGTGGTATTGCCTAGGTTATCTTCCAGGGTTTTTATAGTTTAAATCTATAATCCATCTTGAGTTGATTTTTGTATATGGTGTAAGAAAGAGGTCCAGTATCAATCATCTTTATATGGCTAGCCAGTTATCCCAGCACCATCTATTGAATAGGGAGTCTTTCCCTCATTGCTTGTTTTTGTCAGCTTTGTCAAAGTTCAGATGGCTGATGCTCAGGGATAGGAAGAATCAATATCATTAAAGTGACAATATTTCCCAAAGCAATTTACAGATTCAATGTTATTCTTATTAAACTACCAATGACATTCTTCACATAACTAGAAAAAACTATTTTAAAATTGATATGGAACCAAAAAACAGCCTGAATATCCAAGGCAATCCTGAGCAAAAAAGAAAACTGGAGGCATCACATTACCAGGCTTCAGACTATACTACAGGGCTACAGTAATCAAAACAGCATGGCACTGATACAAAAACAGGTTTATAGACCAGTGATACAATAGAGAATCCAGAAATAAAACTGCACACCTATGATTATCTCCTCTTCCACACCTATGCACACCTACAAAAATGAATATTTTCAAGGCAAATCTATATCTCTATACTGTTAAATTTATTTTCTATCAGTGATAAAATATTTCCTGGTCCAATATCTACAATAAGAGCTATAGTTTATGCCAAAATCTAGGATAGAAATTCAATTGATTTTTTTCTAAGATATGTTGCTCTAAATAATCATAACATTTTATTTTGGAAAACATTTAAAATTTTAAACTTAAATTTTTTTTAATAAAGAACAGGTTTCAGAAATGTCAAATGAAAAATGTAGTTGCTAGATGCATGGGACAGAAGTCTAAAATGGAAATAATGAAACCTAAGCAGAAACTCTACAGCAAAACTAAAATAAAAATCTAGCATAGAAAAGATTAGTTAGAAAAGGCTCAGAAACGGTAAAGCCATTATATTAAAGTATAATACAGACTAAAGCTGATCAAGGACTAGAATAGTTACATCTACTACTGAAGATGTAAGTACTGAAGATGTAACATCTTCTTAAGATGGGTTTTGAATCAAAATCATGAAGAATGAATAGGATTTTCTCTTTGGACTTGGCTTTTAGACTGTGATAAAACCTGAATAATTCATTTAAGCATCACTCCTTATTGTTACTGGTATTGAAATGCTTCTGTGCCATTTACAAGATCACACTTCCTATGATAAAGTATAGCCAATTCTTCACTATTCAGTCATGTCTTTCAAAAAGGCCTCATTTATTATCAATGGCTTCTGCCAATACATTAATATATTAACTATAACATAAGTATTCAAAAATTGGCATACATAAACTTATACTATTTATACTTTTCTGGTAATATTTTTAAAAGTATTTGAGCAAATGTGGAATGAAGAGAAATGCCCTGTCCTACCTAGCATTACGATTCATTTTAAAAATCACATAATCATATCATTTTATATTTGCTTGTTTTGATGTATTTCAACATTAAAAGTGCGTTTGACATGCTATTCCCACATTCCAAAGATGCAGTCAATCTTGGGCCTGTGGTCCTCATTTTTCAGTCTATATATCACCAATGTTCTTTTAAAATCACTTAATTGTAATGTGCTAGTCACTTTTCACACTGTTTTTTTTTTCTAAGATAATATTGTTTGGCCAATTTAACAACAGAATGTTGGAAATAGAATAACAATGAGTAATTACACCTATTTTCATTAGTTTTAGGCCAGTGCCACAGAGTTTATCTGTACAGCATGGCTACTGTGATATCTATATTTCTATTTTTTCCTTTTTTTTAATCATCAGCTACTTGAGAATGGGAACTGTGTCTTTAGTATTGCTCATAGTCAATAATGTTAGCATATTTCATTAAGCATTATTAACTTGTATTTTTAGAGCTTTATTCAGGTATAGCTCTGTTGACATATTACACATATACAAACATATATACACACCAGAAATTTGGTATAAGAGAGCCCTGAGAAAAGGTAAAACTTGGGAGACAAGATTGGAGTTTCTCAGTCCAATTATCCATCTAGTCATTTGGAGTTGAGTTTTAAGTTTCATTTTTTTTAATTTAAGGAACCGGTGTATAGATAGAGCTAATATCAGTACTTTAATTTTCATGATTACTTTAATTAAACACTTAATAAAAATAATAAAATAATTCTGCAGTACATGTATGATTGTGTGTGTGTGTGTGTGTGTGTGTGTGTGTGTGTGTGTATGTGTATCTCCACCCACTTACCTCCACCTAAATTGATAACTGATGCACGGCAGATAGTCCAACAGGATTTTTTTTTTCCAGAAGAAGCATCACATTATTAGAGAAAAAATTAGCAGTGATTTTCACCAGGGAAGAGCTAGTACTCAAGATAATATTTCTTCTCAAGTGTATAATGCACTATAAAAATATTTATGTCCTATTTAAGACAAAAAAGTAACATATACACACAGAGGAATCTATGCTTTTTATTTGCATAAAATAAAACCTGAAAAACACCAAGGGAAAGAATATGCAACTATTTGGCATAATCAAAATAATGTGACTTTCAGGAACTAGGAATGACATACATTTTAAAACCTTCAAATACATCTTTCACCAAAATTGTATGTCTCCAAAATGTTGCATGCTACCCGAGCGATCATATTGTGGAAGTCAGCTGGTGATGAATAAGCATGAGATGCAAAAAGAAAGGCCGTGACTCACTGGATTGTTATTAATTAGTTTGATTTGGTTAAACACTGTCACCATCAACTAAACTAATGGCAATAATAAATTGAGAGGAAGAGATGAGCAGATGGGAAGCCACCATATGCTTATGCCATGCTCTTAATTGGTAATAATTAAGTAATTATGAAATTGGAGAAAATGTTAATTCAAATGTCTATGGCATTTGAAATGACTGCTTCTAAAATTGCATCGTTTATAATAGATGCTGTTCCATGTGGCCCCTGAATTAGCTAAAAATAATTGGGGGCAAAGGGAAAAAAACACTGTAATGTTTTCTAATCCATCCTCATGCACTCACCACATTCATCAAACATTTTTTTATATTTTTAAAAATTTATTTTATGTTACTTTTTTGAGAGATGATCTCACTCTGTCATCTAGGCTGGAGTGCAATGGCATGATCATGGCTCACTGCAGCCTTAGAACTGCTGAGCTTAAGCGATCTTCCCACCTCAGCCACCAGAGTAGCTGGGACTACAGACACACGCCATCATGGCTGGCTAATTTTTAAAATTTTTTATAGAGATGAGGTCTCACTATGTTGCCCAGGCTGGTCTCGAACTCCTGTGTTCAAGCAATCTTCCCTCCTTGGCCTTTCAAAGTGCTAGGATTATAGCTGTGAGCCACCACATCCCAAGCCCATCAGACATTTTTTAATGTGCATTTTCAATGGACAAATTTACTTATCACTGGATTTTTTGTTTGTTTGTTTGTTTGTTTGTTTGTTTTTAGATAGAGTCTCTGTTGCTCAGGCTGGAGTGCGATGGTGCGATCTTGACTCACTGCAACCTCTGCCTCCCGCATTCAAGTGATTCTCCTGACTCAGCCTCCCAAGTAGCTGGGATTACAGGCGAGCACCACCACACCTGGCTAATTTTTGTACTTTTAGTAGAGATAGGGTTTTGCCATGTTGGCCAGTCTGGTCTCCAACTCCTGACCTCAAATGATCCACCTGCCTCAGCCTCCAAAGTGCTGGGATTACAGGCTTGAGCCACTGTGCCTGGCCTACTTATCACTTTTTTTCTTATACTCAGTTCCAAGGAAACAGAATATCCTCACTGTCATGGCACATTAAGTAGAGAGATGGCTGTATATAGTAAAGGGTGTGTATTAATAGCATTTCTTGGAACATGGCTTGACTACATTTGGTTCTGTCTTTAGCTGTTTCTTCAAACATAAAAGGCAACAGAATAGGTCTAGTTTCAAAACATTATTCACACACAACAGCAACAGAGTTCTGACCTTAGAGTTTTGACATTTTATATTTCTTTCTTTTCCATGCTACTCATTCTATCTTGCCATCAAAAGATGCCTTTTCTTTACTTGTCCAACTCTCCCAAGATTCTACCTCACAATAGAGAACTATTTCATTTTAATTTATTCCAGAAGTGAATTATTAGAAATAAGAGCCTACCCCTTACTGTTTCAACTAGTTTCCTTCTTTCAGTAAAAAAAGTCAGCTAGCAATACTAAGACTTGCACTGATCTTTAAAATGTTATTTTCACTGTTATTTCTTATCATAGTATGTTTTTCATAAATAAAAATTGTTACATTGATTTTCCTTAGCCATTTTTATAGTGAGATAATGAATTGGACTAAAATTAAAGAAATTCTTATTCAGATTTGATATTAATTCCTGAGACTACATGAAGCAAGTGACTTTCCAGTTTTGGATAAAATTTTATTAAACACCTAGTATTAAAGAACACCAGTGTTTATTCTCATTAAGTTTATAAAGCAGGTAAGCAAACTGTATTTCTAATGCCACAAGATGTATCACTGAGGCATAAAAAATGATCAGAGTTTCACTTTAATAATATCAAGAAATTTCAAGAAAGTGTTTCCTAAAATAATGAAACTTTCAGGTAAACTACTTTTACTGTAAAATATTCTTATTTATAATTATGTTTAGGCACAAGCAAAAATTAGTGATTTCATTCATTTGGACTGTGACTTGGATGGACAACATATGGGAGGTTATCCCACACGTTAGGGATGACAATTCATTGTACAGAATGTATACACATCTGAGTAAATGAGCTTTTTCAAATTATAATATTCATGCTATGTCTTATATCATTACAGACAACACTTAGTTTCTCATACAGTTGTCTGAATTATAACCTGCAACCTATGTGGGCTTATGAGGGGTAGTAAATAGCTTGCTTGCCAAGACACATCTCATTCACTAGCATGGAGGCTGCCCTGCTATATGTAGAAATTCCAAATGGTGTTTTGCAGTAAGCAATATGACTGCAAATGTACTATTAATAATTTAACTCTTTGATAAACAAAACCAAAAATAATTGTAAAACCTCCTTGATACTTGCTTGGTTCTTACACATTGATTTCTTTGACTACCTTTCCCTTTTTTCCCCAAATCTACATAATACTCAGTAAAAATCTCTTGTGTGTTTTTTTTTATTGTTATACTTTAAGTTTTAGGGTACATGTGCACAACGTGCAGGTTAGTTACATATGTATACATGTGCCATGATGGTGTGCTGAACCCAGTAACTCGTCATTTAACATTAGGTATATCTCCAAATGCTATCCCTCCCCCCTCCCCCCACCCCACAACATGCCCCTGTGTGTGATGTTCCCCTTCCTGTGTCCATGTGTTCTCATTGTTCAATTCCCACCTATGAGTGAGAATATGCGGTGTTTGGGTTTTTTCCTTGCGATAGTTTGCTGAGAATGATGGTTTACAGCTTCATCCATGTCCCTACAAAGGACATGAACTCATCATTTTTTATGGCTGCATAGTATTCCATGGTGTATATGTGCCACATTTTCTTAATCCAGTCTATCATTTTTGGACATTTGGGTTGGTTCCAAGTCTTTGCTATTGTGACTAGTGCCACAATAAACATACGTGTGCATGTGTCTTTATAGCAGCATGATTTATAGTCCTTTGGGTATATTCCCAGTAATGGCATGGCTGGGTCAAATGGTATTTCTAGTTCTAGATCCCTGAGGAATTGCCACACTGACTTCCATAATGGTTGAACTAGTTTACAGTCCCACCAACAGTGTCAAAGTGTTCCTATTTCTCCACATCCTCTCCAGCACCTGTTGTTTCCTGACTTTTTAATGATCGCCATTCTAACTGGTGTGAGATGGTATCTCATTGTGGTTTTGACTTGCATTTCTCTGATGGCCAGTGATGATGAGCATTTTTTCATGTGTCTTTTTTTTAAGTAACATGTCAAACACTAATGACATACCAGGGACTTGACTAGTGTACAATATATTTTCTTTTATTTTAAAAACACTAATAAATGAAGTATTTTATTTCTTCTGTTTTATGCACAAAGACTCTGAAACTTAGACTAAATGATTTGTCAAAGAATAACAAAAAGTACAAAGCAGTAGAACCTAGCTTCATACACAGGTAAATCCGATTCCACAGCCCATTTCTAAAACTCAACACTCTACTACTTCCAGTGAGAATTATAGCTTCATCAAAAATTGGAAGAGGGGAAAGCATTCAGCATTTTATTATTGTGTATTTCATTAGACACACTTTATCAGATTGAGCAAGATCGATTTTATTCTTATTTCTCTGAGAGATTTTAAAAATAAATCTACATTGCATTTTGTCAAATGCTTTTTCTCTATTGAAAATGTGTATGTGTGTATATATATATGTATATATACATACATACATATATTCTTTTTTGGCTGTTAATCTATAAATTCTGTTAATTAGTTTTCTAATGCAGAACTCACTTTGCATTCCTGGGATAAATGCCACTTATTCAAAATGCATTATTGATTCTACATACCATTGAATTCAACTTACTTTCATTTTGTTATGGATTTTTTTATGTCTATGACCATGAGAAATAATGTCTACATCACTCCCATTTTTTTTTTCTTTTCATGTAATATCTTTGTCTGGTTTTAGTACCTCAGTAACGCTTTATATGCTCGGTTTTCTTAATAATAGATTTTAAACCCAGCCAATTCAGGACACTAGAAGTAATATCTAATTCATCCTAATTTTAGTTTCTTTCTTTAAAAGTGCAATGAATTCATATCTAGTCAAAATATCATTAGCTAATATTTGGTAGAATTACTATGTGTTGCACTCATTATGTTTCACATGAATTATTACCTTTAATTTTTTTTTTTTTTTTTTTGAGACGGAGTCTCACTCTGTTGCCCAGGCTGGAGGGCAGTGGCACGATCTCCCCTCACTGCAAGCTCCGCCTCCTGGGTTCTCGCCATTCTCCTCCCTCAGCCTCCTGAGTAGCTGGGACTACAGGCGCCCGCCACCACGCCTGGCTAATTTTTTGTATTTTTAGTAGAGACAGGGTTTCACCATGATCTTGATCTCCTGACCTCGTGATCCGCCCGCCTCAGCCTCCCAAAGTGCTGGGATTACAGGCTATTACCTTTAATTTTTACGTTTACCAAGTTGAAAACTTGAGCAAGACTATCAAATCCTAAGAAACAGCCTGTTTTTGTCCAAAGAATGGGTGCGCAGTGAAGGGGGAAGCCCCTTATAAAACCATCAGATCTTGTGAGAAGAAACTCACTGTCACAACAACAGGATTGGGGATTATGGGAACTACAATTCAAGATGAGTTGGGTGGGAACACAGCCAAACCATATCATAGCCTTACTTTTATAAGATGGCTTTGTTCATGACCACTATGTGATACATACTGTGGAAAACATATATGTGTTTGTGTGTGTGTGTGTGTGTGTGTGTGTGTGTGTGTTTGTGTGTATTTGCATTTCCATGTTAAACCATTTTAGAGAATTTTAACACCATCAGAGTGTAATATTGGCAGGAAGATAAAACTTCCTCCAGCAATGTATATACTATATAAACTAAAAAGTGTCATTGTAAACATCTTTTATTTTGATAAAAAAGGTTTTTTCTCAACTTAAGTATTCTTAGACCAGTTACCTATGACATAATGTTTTGAATTCAAATCTATCACTTGTTAGAAATAGCCCCCCAGGTAGTGAAAGACGGGATCTCATGACTTCATAAAATTTTGAGCTGAAAGAGACACATAAGTAACACCCAGTTTTTCCTTTTATTTTAAATTTTGAAAACTTGAGCTGTGGGATGAACATATAACTATATTCAAAACTGCAGCTTCCTGAATCTAACAGTTAACCAAAAAAAAACTTGAAAATGAATTACATACTAATTTAAGAGTTAAATTTTCTACTGTAGCATTTCAGGTTGTCCATACCAATTTACCTTTCTTTTGTGTCATAAACTGGTAGTCCTTTGTGTCACGATGGGATACTATAGATGTTATATATCACATGGGATATATAACAGCTGGAAGCTGTTATCCTGAGTGAAATGACTCAGAAGCAGGAAATCAAATACCACATGTTGTCATTTTTAAATCCTGAACAGTGGGTATACATGGACATGCAGAGGGGAATAGTTGCCACTAGGAATAATAGAGGCAGCATATCCACATGGGAGAAACACATATTGTTAGATACATATAATAAGTTCTAGTACTTGATTATAGAGTTGTGAAATTATAGTTAACCATAATTTATTGTATATTTTAAAATAACTAGAAGAATGTGTTACATTAGACACAAAGAAAAGTTTAATGTTTGAGATCATGGCTATCCCAATTACCCTGATTTGATCATTGCACATGGTACACATATCTTAAAATATTGCATGTATTGGAGGCTCCCCCAAAAAGGGTCAGGGGAAGGAAGTCAGGGCTGAAAAATTACCTATTGGGTATAATATTCACTTTTCAGGAGATGGGGACACATTAGAAGCCTAGACCTCACCACTGTGAAATATATCCATGAAACAAACTGGAACATGAACCCCATTAAATCTATAAAACAAACAAAACAAAATTCTTACCCTTGCACTTTTGCCTAATCCCTACCATCCAACGCCCAGCAATTTCTGGTCATGACTGAATAATTCTATTTTTTCTTTAGGTAAAACTCTCTCCCTGCCTTATACACCTATTTTTTTATTATTACTTTTTTTGCATTTCAATGCCTTGTAAAGATACAGGCATGCAAAAATGGGTGGTCCTGAACACAAATACAAAGCCAGACTGCTGTCCAAAATCTAAGATTTCAAAGGAAGAGGTATAATACAGTAGCTGAGGTACGATAAAAGTTTGAAGAAAGAGAGCTTTGAATTCAGATTTTTGGGATCCGCTTAGTTAGGGAAGGAAGAATGCAAAGTAGTGAACACTGTATTGAGACCCAAGGCCATGAAAGTAACATCTCCACATAGAAGGATGTAAGAAGCTAAGTGAATTTGGATGCCTACTCGGGCTGAACACCAAATTCCTCAGCAATTTTATGATGAGAGGATTTGATTGGGGTGTCTCTCAATGATGGACACTAAGCAACTTGGCCTCAGTAGCCTAGCAAGTGGTCTCTCATAGCCATGGCATGGGGAAAATGGACATACAAGCTGAGACATGTACCTAAAAATAAACAATACCAAGTGAGAAATTGTACAATATAAACCATAATAAATCATAATAAATATTATGAATGTCTTTTGTTTTCAGTAAATGTGTAAGTTCTGGAATTCTTCCATGAAAAAAGAGAGAGGGACAGGTCAGAAAGTTAAATTACGTTGCACTTCTATATTAATATGATAATTGGGAGCTTAAGTATATATAATCTATTATGGTAAAGATGTTTCTGTAATGTGATCTGGCTAACAGGCAGTTGGAGGAAACAATATCAGCAGAATATGGAAGTGATATCAATTTTCTCCACGTTAGGTTTTATGTCACATGCTGACTATAGCTGAATACGAAGTTCTGTCATTCACAGAGCTAAATAAAGTACGACCTGGGAGATTACAATAATCTACAATCTTTCCTTGGTTCTGCTTGGCCACTGTATTGGAAGTGTCAATTGCCTCATTCTTTGCATTTATTTGTGCATTTCCCTTTATGCCTACGCTGGGCAGCCTTAACTCTTTTTCACACAACCTTCCATTGCCTTTTTTAAAAGGGAAAATAAATAATTGTTAGTATTTACTTATTGGTGATTTAAAATGTCTTTTAAACCAAGCTAACATTTAAAAAATAGATTTTTAAGGCGGTTTTAGGTTCACAGAAAACTTGAGACTACAAATATTTCCCATATATCTCTTGCCCTCACATATGCATGGGTTCCCGTTTAGTAAACATCCACCACCAGGGTGGGACATTTGTTACAATTGATAAACCTACATTGACACATCATAGTCACCCAAAGTCCTTTGTTTATATTAGATTTCGTTTTATTATTTTTATTAGGATTATTATTAACATTAATTTTAGCGCTCTGGTTACAGAGTTGTTTAGGTTTGAAGTAGTCTGTACCTAATCCTATGTTGACCAAAAAATTTACTGGCTTTGTTTGTAATTTTGCTGAACATAGTAACTCTAAGAAACGAAAATATGCCATTGTAGCAGAAATTGGAACTTACATTATGACTTGGATAAGAAATGCAATGCTTTATGTGATAAATATTGTAGATAAAATATGTTGAAAAACAGATAACTAGTTCATGAAGATAAGACTTGTCTGAAAAAAAAAACCTGAATGTTTGATTCTAGATTTTTGTTGTTGTTGTTAAAAGTTCTAGACTTCACCAAGTAGTCTTTTAAAATATTACCAGAAAGCTTAGCATCACTTTTCTAAGGGAGCCAGAGTTTACTAATAGAAATTTGGGTTAAAAACCTGACCCTAGAATAAATTTTCATATGAATTCCACAATAAATTAATAGAGAATCAAAGTCAAAATACACTCATTGTAAAAACTGATTTTTAAGAAACAAATATTGTTAGATAGAAATAATACATTCTAGAATTTGAAAACACAGAGGTAAAATTATAGTTAACCAATAATTTATTTGATATTTCAAAATAGCTAGAAGAAATGTTATATTTCCAATACAGAGAAAAGATAGATGTTAGAGGTGACAGATATTCCAAATACCCTACTTTGATTATTATACATTGTATACATATATCAAAATATCACATGTACTCTAAAAATATGTACAACTATGATATATCAACATATACCAAAAGAAAAGAGACAGGCCAACTAATTAACTCATCAAATCTCTATACCATATAGTACAAATACAAGAATTCTTACAACAGCAAATTAATATTTCCTATCAGGTCAAGTGCCTATTTCAAACCTCTCTGATTTCTTATTAAAATAATATTTGCAAGAAAAAAAAACAATTATTATGAATGAAAGGAGTTGAATCAGTTATTGGAAAAAGATCTAAAAATTTGAATTCAGCTTTCCAAAAAGTTCTAGTATATTATTTCCTCCAAATTATCTTATTCTCCTCATCTTTATTGAGCCTCTTTATGTAGATTAAATTTAGAACATCTTACTGCTTTCTCCTAGATGCTCATTGGACTATTCTTAGCTTACTTTGGAATTTATTAAATTCCTTTAATAAATCAGTTGCCTTCATTTCATTTTGTTTTGTTTTTAATGCAAGCATTTCTCTTATTAAATAATTGCGTTCATTCCTCAATCCTGTTTTAATTCTTCATTATATAAAATAAAATGCATCCTGAAATATGGTAAATTTTATAGTGAGAGATTTTTGTAAGCTTTGGTTCTAGACGGTTAGCTTTCTCCACCTAACTATGTAAGGACTCATTTTTCTTGCCTTTCTGGTTTAGGCCCATGCTTGACTACAACAGCACAGGATAAAAGACTTTCGTAACTTGAAAGCCACAGGTAAATAAAGGGACATAAAATAAATTTATTAAAGAGCTCATATTATTTCTTAGGATAGACAAGAACATCCTGATGCTAGACTCCCCAGGATCAAAACTATTCAAAAAAGTGACGATAGTTATTGTTACAAAGTAAGTGTTGTATTTCCATGGCAATGAAACAACCCTTGGCAACCCTAGGACTTAATTGAATCAATGAAGAAGAGAATCTTCTCTTCTATCAACATATCAAACTTCCCAAAACACATATACACACACACATAAACACATACACCAAGGCATACATGCTTCTCCCATTAGGAAGCAAAACACAATAAGCGCTAGTCTATAGAGATGGTGAAAATAGCATATTGAAAAATGTAAACTATGAGAGTATAACATTATTATATTTTATTTTCATCCACAAAACCAAACAAAACATCTAGTAAACCTCTCACAGATTTCAAGAATAACAGAAATATCAGCTATGTGAAGTCACTTTTGATTTTTTTATGAATTTCTTTGATATCTTTATAGTGATTTTTGTTTGTATTCCTTCCTTTTTTGTTTCAAACATCGATTTTTCTAAGTGACCTCTTACTCTAGCAATCCTTAAAAACAAAACAATTGAACAATGTATCCTGAAATTCATACTTTAGAAGCTATTGGAGACATTGAGATACAGGAAAACATAGGTCATTTGATAGCAGGATCACCACAGTATTTGACTGAGATGGAGCTCCAGTAACTTAGCAAGTCTTAATGAGCATGGTAAGAAATGTTCCAGAAATAAAGCATTGTCATAAATTTTTTATAAAAATAAATGTGCCATTAAAAAATATCATTTGTCTTTCTGTGCCTTTCTTATTTCACTTAACATAATGACCTCCACTTCCATATATGTTACTGCAAATGACCAAATCTCATTCTATTTTATGGCTGAATAGAACTCAATTGTGTATAAGTACCACATTTTCTTTATGCATTCATCTGTTCATGGACACTTAGGTTACTTCCAAATCTTGGCTATTGTGAACAGAGCTGTAACAAATAATGAGAGTACAGATATTACTTTGATATACTGATTTCTTTTCTTTTGGGTCCATACCTAGCAGTGGAATTGCTGGATTGTATGGTAGCTCCATTTTCAGTTTTTTGAGAAACTTCCAAACTGTTCTCCATAGCGGTTGTTCTAATTTACATTCCCACCAACAGTTTACAAGGATTCCCTTTTCTCCACATCCTTGCCAACATTTGCTGTTGCCTGTCTTTTGGATAAAAGCCATTTTACCTGGAATAGGATGATATCTCATTGTAGCTTTGATTTGCATTTCTCTGATAATCAGTGATTATCAGAGCACCTTTTCATACTTATTTGTGGGATCTAAAAATCAAAACAATCGAGCCCATGGAGATAGAGAGTAGAAGGATGATTACCAGAGGCTGGGAAGGGTAATGGGGGAGACGGCGGTAGGGATGGTACAAAAAGTGGTTAGAATTAGTGAATACAGCATGGTACTTTATAGCACAGCAAGGTGCCTACAGTCAATAATAATTTAATTGTACATTTAAAATAATTTTTTAAAGAGTATAACTGGATTGTTTATAAAACAAAGGATAAATGATTGAGGGAACGGATAACCTATTTTCCATGATGTAATTATTAATATTAAACATTGCACACCTCTGTCAAAACATTTTGTGTACCCCATAAATTATACACCTGCTATGTACCCACAAAATTTAAAAAATCAAATGTAGAAATATAGTTTAGTCTGATTTTATATGAAAAAAATATAATCTCAATTAATATAAAAATTTTTATTCCTGAGTAATTACTGAATCTCATTTTCATAGTTTGAACAAAAGCAGAGATTTTGAATGTTAATATTTACAGTAATAAGTGTAAGCCTTGAGAGAATTCTTAAGGTAAATAAGTTTTAAAGTATGTTGTGTTTCTAATGTGTTCAAAGGTTCAGAACAATGTATTTTTTTTGGAAAATATTGATTATAAATAAGATCACATGACAATCACATTTTGTAGAACTTGATAATGATAATAACCATAATTCCATTTATGAATAACAATTGTAATGTTATATAGAAAGATAAAATATACAACAGTCTAATTAGAAGAAAATAAGCTAAAAATAGTTATTTTTACTTCTTGTATCTAGTTTATGATGTTAACTCTAATAAACTTCTTAAATTTCTAGCTATAGTATCAAATTTAATATATTTGATTAAGACATAATACAAGACACTTATATTTTTGATTGATGATTTCTAATAGCCAATCAATAATTTATTTATAGAGGGGAGATGTTAGACCTTTGAATTAAAAGTTTAGAGATTTGCATGCAAAATCTCACTAGTGTAGTCTGGATGACTTAACAGAGCAAATTGGAAAAACAAGAAAAGACTTATCTCATCCTTTAATTCTACTTCATGAATCAACCAAGTTTAGCATTGAAAACCCATGAATTCAAAAAACAAAAGAAATCTAATATATTAGTAACGATTCTCCAGAGAAATAGAACCAACAAGATGTTTGCGTGTGTGTGCATGTGTGTGTGTAGATTTAGGGATCAAACAGGTTTCACTGGAAGCTCTCAGGATACTTTCACCACAACAAAATTAAAATATTACTGCCAAAATATTAAGATGTGGATTTTAGCCTTCTAAACAACAAACGTGTACTACTTTTCACAACCTTGAGTGACAGAGAGCCCTGAAAAATGCTTCTTGACCCCCACATGACCCAGGGAAGTATACCTAAAAAGAATAATAAGAACAATCATTGTAATAAATAGCTAAATATAGGCTTCTGTGATTCATATCCTGCTTACCGGGATGCTATTTTTCAAATTAGATGCTTTAGCTACTTCCCTGGAATAAAGAAGTGAAGGCTAGGGCTCAATAGCAGCCAAGCTACAAGCCAAACATGTCATGACCAATGAATGTAATTGTTTTCAGTCACATCCACCTGGAGTAAGGGCACCAACACAATGAAAGTATTCTGCCTGAGGGACAATGATGTCTGCATAGTGGAAAGGGCATTTAGCGTCATCTCTTCCATCATTGTCTCCTGTGCCCTATTAATTTTTTTTCAAACTGTTTTTAGGAAGACAGCTAGCTATTGGTACTTAACTTTATTATTGAATATTGGAAATGCCAGAATATTTTAAGGTAAAATGTTTTACACACACACACACACACATATATATACACACACACACAAACACCTTTTTTCAGTTTATCTAAAACCTGAGATCATCTAAAGTAGGTACATTTCAGGATATTCATTTTAGTAAGGAATAGGCATGAACATGTACACCAGGGATAACCCAAAAATATGACATTGCTTCCTCCCTCAAGGAACTCTCATTCTAACAATGAAGACAAGATTATTGGTAGTCACTGAATGCTTGTTCCTAAGTGCCTGACAACTTGCCCTGCAATAATTCATTTTTTTTATACCAAGTGTGTGTTCTAAGTATTACTCTCATCCTCATTTTAAGAATGGGGAAGCAAAAAACAGATTAAGCTAATAAGTGTCACATATAGATTCAGAGGACTCTGATTTTAGAAAAGATTACTTAACTATTCTGTGATACTCTCCGTGACCTACTAGGGGAAAAATAGAAATATAACATGACTTTAGGGAGAAGAAAGACTTGTAAACATGTTTGTTTCCACAGAAATATTAACTGTTGGCCTGGCATGATGGCTCACTCTTGTAATCCCAGAACTTTGGGAGGCCAAGGCGGGTGGCTCATTTGAGGCCAGGAGTTTGAGACCAGCCTGGCCAACATGGCAAAACACTGTCTTTACTAAAAATACAAAAATTAACCGGGTGTGATGGCGCACACCTGTAGTCCCAAGTACTTGGGAGGCTGAGGCACCAGAATCTCTTGAACCAGGAGGCAGAGGTTGCAGTGAGCTGAGAGCATGCCATTGCACTACAGTCTTGGCAACAGAGCAAGACTCCATCTCGAAGAAAAAAAAGAGAAATATTTAGTGTTAAAACATACACAAGAGTATGGTAGGGAAAATTCAGGTAATGAGCCCAAATAAGATTGGAAATTGAAGGCATCATTTTCTTTTCTTGATGATACCATAATGATTCGTTCATCTTGTTAGTTTTTGTGTCCTCTGCTGCACTTTCAACATGCCTGTACTATAGCACTCTGTATAATACATCATAATTGATTTGTTTACAAGTTTTATCTTCTCCATGAAACAATAATTTCTCCCAGAGCAGAAACTGAGTTTCTTTCATGATTGAATCCTTAGCAGTCAGCTTTACAAGCACAAAATAAATGTTTATGTATAAGAGAATTCACATTAAAAACACTTATTTCCATTGGATGTAAAAAATTTTAACCCTCAAGAAAGACATTTGTAAACCAATATGTATTTTGCTACCTTAATTAATTCCAAATAGAGTCACTTAATATAGGTAACAAAAAGCAATTCATAAAAATTTTACTAAATTTAAATATCTAAATTTTATGTACTTTCAAATATGAGTTGGAGGCACTAAAATCAATGACTTCAATGTTCTCATTACAACATTCCTTCTGTAATATATGTATCACACTCCTCAAAATCCTACCAGAAATCATTGAAAATGCATAAAGCATCCATCTCCCCTTTATGTTTGATAAGCCTATTTACTTTCTTCTCTCTATTATACCTGCTCAACTTTATATCTATTTACAACATATTTGTTAATTAGTACAGAGGGCCTGCTATTATATAGGTTCACATTTCTTTCTTTTTTTTTTTTAATTGTACTTTAAGTTCTGGGATACATGTGCAGAACTTGCAGGTTTGTTACATAGGTAAACACATAACATGGTGGATTGCTGTACCCATCAACCCGTCATCTACATTAGGTATTTCTTCTAATGCTATTCCTCCCCTAGCCCCACGTCCCCCAACAGGCCCTAGCGTGTGATGTCTCCCGCCCTGTATCCATGTGTTCTCATTGTTCAACTGTCACTTATGAGTGAGAACATACAGTGTTTGGTTTTCTGTTCTTGTGTTAGTTTACTGAGAATGATGGTTTCCAGCTTCATCCATGTCCCTGCAAAGGACATGAGCTCATCCTTTTTTATGGCTGCATAGTATTCCATGGTGTATATGTGCCACATTTTCTATATCCAGTGTATCATTAATGGACATTTCGGTTGGTTCCAAGTCTTTGCTATTGTGAATAGTGCCTCAATAAACATACATGCACATGTGTCTTTATAGTAGAATGGTTTATAATCCTTTGGGTATATACCCAGCAATGGGATTGCTGGGTCAAATGGTATTTCTAGTTCTAGATCCTTGAGAAATCACCACACTATCTTCCACAATGGTTAAACTAATTTACGCTCCCACCAACAGTGTAAAAGCATTCCTATTTTTCCACATCCTCCCCAGCTCTGTTGTTTCCTGACTTTTTAATGATCGTCATTCTAACTGGTGTGAGATGGTATCTCATTGTGGTTTTGATTTGCATTTCTCTAATAACCAGTGATGATGAGCTTGTTTCATATGTTTGTTGGCTGCATAAATGTCTTCTTTTGAGAAGTGTCTGTTCATATCCTTTGCCCACTTTTTGGTGGGGTTGTTTTTTTTATTGTAAATTTGTTTGAGTTCTTTGTAGATTCTGGATATTAGCCGTTTGTCAGATGGATAGATTGCAAAGATTTTCTCCCATTCTGTTGCCTGTTCATTCTGATGGTAGTTTCTTTTGCTGTGCAGAACTCTGTAGTTTAATTAGACCCCATTTGTCTATTTTGGCTTTCGTTGCCATTGCTTTTGGTGTTTTAGACATGAAGTCTTTGCCCATGCCTATGTCCTGAATGGTATTTCCCGGGTTTTCTTCTAGGGTTTTTATGGTTTTAGGTCTTACTTTTAAGTCTTTAATCCATGTTGAGTTAATTTTTATATAAGGTGCAAGGAAGGGATCCAGTTTCAGCTTTCTGCATATGGCTATTCAGTTTTCCCAACACCATTTATTAAATAGGTAATCCTTTCCCCATTGCTTGTTTTTTGTCAGGTTTGTCAAAGATCAGATCGTTGTAGATGTGTGGTGTCATTTCTGAGGTCTCTGTTTTGTTCCACTGGTCACATTTCTAGAAGACATAAATAAAACAAATTACAACTTAATATTACAGACACCATAATGGAAATAAATAAAAGGTGCTATTGAAATATTGCCTGATCCCCAAGAGTAGGAGAAAAAGCAGCCCGGTTTAGTTGTAGTAAGTTGATGGTAAAATGGGTTGGAAAAATGTCAGAAAGGTAGAGAGACAGGCAGGCTAGGATCTTCCCCACCATGGCAAGAAGTTTTTTATTTTAGTCTACATGCAAAGGAAAGACTTTGGACATCTGTGGCAGTTGTTGATGCAATCTTATTGCATTTTTATGATCTCTTTGGCTATGGAGTGTAGAGTTGTAATAGGAAGCATGAATTTAGCATGGATTTTCACAAGATAAGTAATCAACTATATTTCTTTATCTCCATGGAAATTACCCAGATTTGCACCCAGAAACACATTCTAAATAATATTGTTCATCACAAAACATAAAATCTGTATGAAAGTTGTAAAAAACCTACTTTGAGTGAGTTCACCTTAATAGTATGTAGAATTTCAAACAAGGAACACAATTTTTAACAATAGAAAAGCATCTGCCTACAGGGTAATGGATATTTTGGTGGAAAGTAAGTTTATTTCAAAGAGAATGGCATGGAGGCTACTGGAACGATTCAGATAGGCGTGACAATGAAGGATATTTAGGAAGTTTAAACATAGGAATTCTTGATTGATTTAATGTGAAGCCCAAGGAACCCCAAGTTACATCCAGTGAACTAGGTAAATGTGGGCACACCATTCATGGAGATGGAGAATTCAAGATGAGGTTCCTTTAGAAACATATGGGTTCATTTTCACACTCATATATAAATAACTGAAGAATTTTGTCTGGGAGCCAGCAATAAGTTTGGGACTAGGATTATAGGTTGCTGAGTCATAAAATAGCAAGAGGATGAAAAGAAATACACTTAAATAATAGAAGCTATTGGGAATGTCAAAATGTAGGGGCTCAAAGATAGAACAAAGGGACACCAATATTTTGTGAAAGGAAAAAAAGAAGAAAAGTCCACAAAGAACACCAAACGTGGCTAAAGAGCAAGAAGAGACCACAGTAGGAGGATATGTCAAATGCCCCAAAAAGATAAAATCAGATGGTGACATGAATTTGACAAGAGGAAGGTCAATGAAAGTATTGATAATGATAGGAGTCAAATTTCATTAGTTTGTATAACAAACAGGAGACAAATAAGAGAGTGAATATCCTCCTAGAAATTTGGCAATACAGGCAAAAGAGAAATGTAGCTCCATGATTAGCAGGTAATAAAGTAGCAGAAAGAGTTTAGCTTCACCAAAACACTTAATCCCTCTATATTTAATTCTTTCTCTTTCAGTGCAGGCATGATTGTCTCCTCATTATTAAGTCATCAATATAATAACTACTTTCTTAGAAGACATTACTCTTTCCCTGGAGGACATTATTTAAGCCAGGCACTGAAAGACAAACATCACATGTTCTCATTCATTTGTGGGGGCTCAAAATTATAACATTTGAACTCATGGAGATAGAGAGTAGAATGATGGTTGCCAGTGGCTGGGATGGGTAGTGGGGGGAGTGGGGGAAGTTGCAGTGGTTAATGGGTACAAAAATGTAGTTGGATCAGATGAATAAAGTATTCTATTTGATAGCCCAACAGGGTGATTAAAGTCAACGATAACTTACAGTACTATTTAAAATAACGAAAGGAGTATAATTGGAATGTTGTAACACAAAAAAATGATAAATGCTTGAACTTACCAATACCCCATTTATCCTGTTATTATTACACATTGTATGCCTTTATCAAAATATCTATGTACTCCATATATAATACATATATATATATATACCCACTCTCTACTTATACAAATTAAAAATAAATTTTTTAAAATTATTAATGAACTAAACACTCCAATCAAAATCCACAGATTCAAGAATGGTTTAAAAAATAACTATCTATGAGCTATCTACAATAATTACATTTTAATATAAAGACACAGTAAAAAGGAAATGGAGAAATGAAGATATACCAGAGGCTGGTTAATGGGATAAAAATACAGTTAGACAGAAGGAATAAGATTTAGTTTGTGGTAGTACAGTAGGGTGACTTTAGTTAACAATAATGTATTGTATATTTCAAATAGCTAGAAAATACGAATTGGAATGTTCCCAACATAAAGAAAAGATAAATATTTGAGGTGATGGATATCCCAAATACCTTTGATCATTAAAGATTGTATGCATGTATCAAAATATCACACATACCACCAAAGTATAAACAACTATTACGTATGAATAAAGAAAGAGACTTGAAAAAAATAAAAAAATGTGAGAGTTGTGCCCATTATGATATTATGTAATGTGGACTAAAAAGGGTAACAGTAGATTCAAAAAGTGTTTCATAAGGATGAAAACAAGTCAAAATATCAGGAAAAGAGTAATCACAAATATTTATGCACCTAATAGAGCTTTCAAGTGCAATAACAATATTTCAGGAATTAAAAGTTGAAATAGAAAATTTCTTCCTAATACTACGAGATTTTATCACCCTCTCTCAGCAATTGATAGAACAACCATTAAACAAATCATCAGTAGAAACACAGAAGATATACAAAAGAGAGTCAACCCTCTCAACCTATTTTCATAAAACATTATACCTAACAAGTTCAGATAACACATTATTTTAAGTATACTTGATATAATCACCAAGATAAACCATATGTTGAGTGATAAAACAAGTTTTAGTAATTTAGAGGTTTCAGCTTATAAGATTATATTTATTAAAATTGAATTAGAAGAACTGGAAGTATGAGATGCTATGTTCTACCACAATGCTAATCAAATTTTCTGTGGTGGTGGAAATGTCTTATATCTTCAATGTCCAATATAAAAGACATAAGTATATTTGGTTATTGAGCACTTGAAATCTGACTAGAGTAATGGAGGAACTAAGTTTTTAAAATTTTGCTCAATGTTAATTTTTTATATTTTAAAGCTACAAGACCAAATTACATTACCCCAAAATTCATATGTTGAAGCCCTAACACCCCAATGTGACTTTATTTGGAGATAGGGACTTTAGGAGATAATTAGGCTTACATGAAGTAATAAAGGTGTAACCCTAATCCAATAGAATTAGTAGCCTTATAAGAAGAGGAAGAGAGAGATTTCCCCTGCACACATCAAGGAAAGGCCATGGGAGAACACAGCAAGAAGGTGGCCATCTGCAAGCCAGGAGAGGAGCCTCACGAGAACCAAATCAGCCAAAGCCTTGATCTTGGACTTTTAGTCTCCAGAACTATAAGAAAATAAATTTCTATTGTTTAAGACATCCAGTATATAATATCATGTGATGGCAGCCCAAGCAGTCGGGTACATTTAATTTTGAAAGTTCCATGTGGCTATTGCCTACCATACTGCATAGAGCACTTCATGTGAATGCTATTACTCCAATATATATATGATCTGCTCTTCCATATATACAGATATTGAGTTGCCTTTACTATAAATATAACTATATATGTCAATATAGTCACTTTCATTATTATTCTTTCAACTCCTTATGTGATTGATCTCCTGATTTGACAGTTCAGGGTAAATATACACGGTTATTCAATCGGAAAGTATCAGCCAATACATTTGGACCAACATTTCAAGTGAAAGCCTTATTTGTACATCAATCAATCTTATGAATTTCTCTAAATTTGAAGAAGAAGCAACAAGTACCTATCATGGTTTGGCATACATTTTTCAGGTTTGCAGTTATATTAAGAAAGTGAATTAAATGATAAATGGAAAAGTAATGTGAGAGCTTACTATTCAACATATTTATTTTCTCTTTTGGAGTAGACTTGAGGTCCCATTCACTGTTCGGAATACAAAATACTCTTTGTCCTCAAAAGAAGATGCATTATATTTATTAGACTATGCTCACCACCTTGGTGATGGGATCATTTGTATGCCAAGCCTCAGTGATACATGATTCACCCATGTAACAAACCTGAACATGTACCCCCTGAACCTAAAATAAAAGCAGGAAAAATATGATAAGCATAAAAAATATAATTTTACAACAGAAAATCTCTATACTTGTAGGAAGGTGTTTAAGCTGTTATGGTTATTGGCCTCTTTGAACCGAGGTCCTTTTTCTGTCACTGTTGCCTGATGATATATGTGACTATCCCCTGGATTTGTTTACCTATTTGTTGTTCAGTCATATGAGGGATCAGTTCTTCAATTAGTTGATTTCCAAGCTTTTTACTAATCTGTCTTAGTTTTTTTTTTCTTTTTGAGACGGAGTCTCTCTCTGTCCCCAGGCTGGAGTGCAGTAACGTGATCTCGGCTCACTGCAACCTCTGCCTCCCAGGTTCAAGCAATTCTCCTGTCTCAGCCTCCCTAGTAGCTGGGACTACAGGCACGTACCACCATGCCCAGCTAATTTTTGTATTTTTAGTAGAGACAGGTTTTCACCATGTTGGCCAAGATGATCTCAATCTCTTGACCTCGTGATCCACCTGCCTTGGCCTCCCAAAGTGCTGGGATACAGGTGTGAGCCACCGTGCCCAACCAATCTGTCTTAGTTTTATTGTCCTTACTTACACAGGGGTCACTACTAAACTACATCCATTGTGATCAGATGATATTGATGTTTCAGCATATCTGGATGAATTTCAAAAAGCTTAAAATCACAGACACTGACACAAATACTGAAATAGTGTTTGGTACCTGGACTGACATGGACGTCAGAGATATAACAATCACTTTAAAGAGTTAAACACAGCTACAAATCATGTCTAAATTTTATCAAAATTGGAAATAGAAACAACTAGTGAATTAGAGGAATTCTATAAGATAATACACTACGTTTGTCCGAACCTAGAAATCCATTTTGGTGAAGCAATCAGTCATTGGCTTGTTGTTTTACTATGTACAGAATGCCTACTGTTCTAGGAAATATGTCTTTATTTGACAAACCTTAAAAGATTGAAACTTTAATCTTGATTAACAGTGAAGGCTTCTTTCTCTCTCCCTGTAGGGTTGGCAAAAGCTAGAGACTTGCAGTTAGAGAGGAAAATTCTGGTTGACTTCTGCACTTTACAACTTGCTATGCTACTCTTCCACTCTCATCTTGCTGCCTGCTGTTTTTGACTGCAGAGTTGAAACATTGGGGAATTAAAGAAAGAAGTTCAGATGTGTGCTATCTCTTGTCCAATGACACCTTCTCTGGCCTTGAAGATTTATAATGTTGACTTTTCTCCTATGCGTTCTTTTTTATTGAGGATCTCTTACCTGCAAGAGTCAACCTCAGTCTGTCCAGGGTTTTCATTCACTTCATCCTCACTCTCGAGCTACCCAGCAACAGTACCTACAACTTCCTTTTGCTGAGGGTCAGTAACCCCAAGAGCTGTCCTCTTAAACAGATATTGCAGATCATATACTAACACTACTACTCTCTTAGGTCATGTCTGATGCATGTAACACATGCACATCCCTTGTTCAACCAACTCTGGAATCAAAGCTAAAACATTATTTGCAGCTTACCTTTTCTTTGCTGGGCTCTAAGAGCAGCTAATTTTGGTAGTTCATTGTGTCCCTCAAATGCATGTGGTGTATACCAAAGGTTCTCTTTAAAATCTTTTCCCTAGGTTCATGAATGATGGAAATCTCATTACATAAATAGCTCTTTTTTAATACTCTTTGTGTGGTGAAGGGCTGAAAGTTGAATAATCTTTATTTTTCTACCTTATTAAATTTTAGTCTCACTTCTCATTTTCAAATGTATTAATAATATCAGTTAGATGTTCCAATATATACTTACATTTTAGCATCAATTTAACATAAATATTTTAAAATGTTGCAGTGTCCCCATGGCTTAGTCATCAGACTTCGACTCCATGCTAAGCTCACTCTTTAAATAATCTTACCTAGTCTCAGTCATCTGATCAATCCATATCTTCACTCTGAGCCCTCTTTTGTGTTCCATTCTTTCCTTCCTTTCTTTCTCTCTTTCTTTCTTTTCTTTCTTTCTTCTTTCTTTCCTTTTTTTTTTCTTTGAGGCAGAGACTCTCTCTCCAACTCTCCAGCTGCTTTTCAACTTCTCCACCTGGAGATCTAACAGCAGTTTTAAAATAAGCAGGAGCTAAACAATGGGTACACATGGATAAAAAGATAAAAATAATAGACACTGGGGACTCCAAAAATGGAAAGGGAAGGAGAGAGGAAGGAAGGGAGGAGAGTGAGGGTTGAAAATTACCTACTGGGTACAATGTTCACTATCTAAGTGATGGGTACATTTGAAGCCCAAACCCCAGCATTACAAAATATATCCATGTCACACATCTGCACATGTAACCCCTGAATCTATAATAAAAAAAAGCTCTGAGAAATTTTATAAATAAATAGAATAACACAGCTACTGACACAAATATAATTTAATTACCCCCAAACCTGTTTGTCTCATGTTTGTCATGCACGCTGTTTCTTCATCCAAAAGCCTAGGGGCTATATTTAATGTACAAATGGATTATATGAAGCTCATGCTTCGAATGGATTCTCCTCTCTCTGAGAACAGCATCCAAACTTCTTATAGTATAATAAAAGACAATACGTACTCTGGCATAATTTCTTTTCACCCTGGGATTTCTTCATCTTCTATCAGCCATTTCTGTCACATTACCATTTCATGTGTTATTTTCTCTGCCCGACACTCTCTTCTCTAGATATCTTCATGGCTTCCTTCTTGCTTTATTTCAAGATCGTGATTAACTTTCCTCTTCTGAGAGCCTGTCTTGGGGCAAGTTATTTAAAGTAATACACACCTCATACTGTAGATCATTCGCTGAATGTTTTTTATACAATTTTCTGTATATTGTTTATTTATTTATTTATTATTTATCAACTAGAATTTAAAATCTCTGCATGTAGGCCCTTTATTGTTTACTATTTGCATCATATGAAAAATTTCTATTTATGATTCATAAGCAATAAATTAACATTTTTAGGAATTGATTTTATAAAAGAAAATTTCTAGCATAATTTAAGTGAAATCATTTTGATAATATTTGTATATTAATTACATTTTTATATATGATTTTCAAGGGCTATATCCTATTAAGAAACTATTTGCAGTAGCCATTATAAATTTAAAATATTTTAAAAATATATCATGCAATATTACCTTATCACAATGGTAAATTTTACTACCTTTTTCTAATTGATTACCTTTGCTATTTCAAACATCTGTTTTTAATATTTGCCTCCTGGGTCAAAATAAAACAAACAAGAACAGATATTTGAAAGTAGAGTTGCCAAAAAGTACATCTGTTCTGGGGGACACAGATAATTCACTTGTATTTTGATTAGTAAAACCTTTCAAAAATTAATTTTCTTCAAATAATAGAACATATACTTTCAGATCAAATGTCTCTGATGAAGTAATGAATATTTTATTTCTCAGATGGGTTTCAACAAAACACAGAATACACTTTTTTTCAGTCAGTAGATGAAAACATAGTAAAATAAAACTCAAGAGTTCATTTGCTGAATTAAAATTAAGATAATCTGCAACCATGATAGCAACAGTGACTTTTGCTATCCTAAAATTACAAAGTTGGGAAGTTGTAGAGCTCTTTTGAGTAATGAGCCAAAGATTCGTCTATTCAATAAAAGTCCCCATATGAACTCAAAACACATAGTTTTAACAAATATAGGAAAAAAATATATTTTAATATATCAAAATTTAGTAATTTGGTAAGTCTATATTAAATACTAAAGTTCATTATTTTGAATAATATATATTTCTAGAGCTCTCTCACTCTCTGTCTTCTGTCTCTCTCTCTTTATATCTATGTATGTGTCTATATATTTATATATAAAGAGATAAATCAATATACACATTCACGTATAATACTTTCTTCTTGAAGCAGATACATTTATTACATTATTTATATTTACACATATTGAATGCAAGTTGAAAATAATTGTCACCTTCAGAAGAGAGAATTTAAAAAGATACACACAGATTAACAGTAAACTGAAATAAAACATAAATGATTGTCCTAACTTATATTATTCTTAATCTTTTATTCTAAGGTTTATAAGAACTTTTAAAAATCACCTGAAAAAAAGAGCTCCTTTGGGTTTTTGTAGAGGTAGTTACTCCTGCTTCCTTAATTTCCATTATAGATTTAAGTAAAATATGAATTGACCTGAAAGTAGGGAACTGAAATTTAAAAAGAAAAAAAGGAAACTGAAAAATTGAATTTTAAATAACCAATATGTATTTGATATTGTTTGTTATCTAGAGGGAAAATGATTTAATTTCTCTTTTTCCATCTCTACTTCCCACGGAATTTAGGTAATTAGTAAATTACCTAAAAGTTTTTCCAAACTTCCTGATGTACCTCCTTTCATTATAATTATGTTCACAAATACTACTTTTGGAAACTATAACTATTAAAGCATATAGCCAGGAGTTGTTACAGAAAAGACTGGCTTACAGTGTTTTTATTTTTTATATTGACCAAATCTGTCACTCGAATGACAGATTTTAAAAACATGCACTTCAATAATAGTTCAAATGTCACAATATTTTATTCAACAGTTACACTCTTTCTATCTTCCTTAAGTAAACAAAATTTTAAAGCAAAAATGTGATCTAGAACATAGATAAGTCAATTAATTATACAGCAGAAAGGATAGGTACTGAAGACATAGCTAAACGTCTTTTTGGTTGTCACTTAATTCAAATTATCTCTACCCGTACCCCCAAGTACCCCCAATTATGCAATGTAAAGCAATTGTGAAATATGATGCACATAAAAATGCATTGAATTAAAGTTAATCGCTACTGTCTCATTTTCCTTTTAAAAAATTGAGGTGACTTCCATTTGCAGTTCTGACAGAATAGCGTGTAGCATACCAAAACTCCTTCATGAACTCGAAAGCAAGATTTTTAAAAAAAGGCTTAAACAGTTCAAGAACTTCAGAAATAGCCAGAACTTGAGTATATAGAGAATGTTTAGTAAGATAAAAGTAACAATCAGAAAATTGCCCAAGTCAGGCAGAGATGAAGGCTGCAAGCTGATAAAGGCAAGACACCTAGCAGAGATTTCGTCAAATTCATGGGCCTGAAAAACACAAATTAAAAATCAGAGTTCCTAATGGTAGCAAAACTGGTAGAGATACAATCTCTGAGAAAAGAGAAATTTAGGGAAGAGATTCAGAGAATTTTTCTCTCCAAGTATGTGCCAAATTCTTAAACTCCTCAAAGTAAGAAATTAAGAAGGCACACAGAAAGAATCTTTTAAAAATGGCACTTAAAACCACTTCCTGGTATTGAGGAAACAAAAATTGAGATTCAGGATCTTGCAAATATTAGGGACCTTAGAATGTACCTGACCATTTACATTGGAAGTCCTGGAGGGTCATAGGAGTGAGGTCAAACACAGGAAGGCTATCCCTGTTGAAAACTTCAAACTAGCCTTTTGTCTGATAACTTTGTGACTCAATATACTTAATCAAGCCTCCTGTCCTTCAGAAGATAAAGTGAATAAACATTGGGTGAAGCCAACACCATCTGAAGCCTCTAAAATTATTCATATGTGTTATCTGGCATTCTTACAAAGTGGGGAAGGGCCAAGATGGCTGACTAGAAGCAGCTTAGGTGCATGGTTCTCATGGAGAGGAAGCAAAGGGGTGAGTAACTACAGCACTTTCAACAGAAACATCCAGGTACTCACACTGGTACTAATCAAGGAAACAACTCCACCCATGGAGAACTGAGGAAAGCAAAGCAGGACGATGGCTCACATGTGGCCAGGGGAACCTTTCCCACCCAGGTATGTGGTGAGTGAATGCATGACCCCAGGATACCATGCTTCTCCATGGATCTTTGCAACCCTCGGATCAGGAGATCCCCCTCATGAATGCACTCCACCAAGGCCTTCAGTTTGACACACAAAGCTATATGGAGTCTCCACAGAGCAGCTGCTTAGGTGCTCACAGAGACCCAGGAGCGTTAGATACTCTGGATTTCTGGGCATCCCAGCAAAAGTAACTGCAACTCAAATAAAGCAAGAGGTTAGACCCCTGTGTGTACCCCTAGGAAAGATGCTAAATTCAGAGAGCTGAGCAGTGACAGTCTGTGGGCCCCACTTCCATGGCACCTCACAGGGTAAGATACCCTGGATTGGAATTCCAGCCAGCCATCAGTAGCAGTAGCAGTGTTGCACCTTCCTGGGATGGAGCTCCTGGGGGGAGGGGCAAGCCACCATCTTTGCTATTTGGGCAATTTAGCCATTCCAGCCTGCGAACTTTGAAAAGCCCAACTCAACTGGGCAGAAGCAGTACCACAGCACAGCACAGCACAGCTGCTCTACAAAAGTGTGGCCTGGCTGCTGCTTTAAGCAGGTCCCCAATCCCATTCTGCCCTGGGCAAGACCTCCCAACGGGGGCCTCCAGCCACCACCACCACTGTTCTCTGGCCTACAGAGATTTGAAAAGTCCCATGTACAGAGCTCCCAGAGGGAGGGGCAGGCCTCCATCTTTGCTGTTTGGATGACTTAGCAGTTCCAACCTTAGGCTCAAAATAAAGGGAGGGAGGAAAAATCTACCAAGCAAATGGAAAACAGAAAACAAAAACAAAAACAGTGGTTGCAGTCCTAGTTTCTGACAAAACAGATTTCAAACCAACAAAAATTATAAAAGACAAAGAAGGGCGTTATATAATCCTAAAGGGTTCAATTCAAGAAGAAGATCTAACTATCCTAAATATATATAAACCCAACACAAGAGTACCCAAATTCATAAGGCAAATTCCTAGAGAGCTTCAAACAGACTTAGACTCCCACACAATAATAGTGGGAGACTTTAACACTGCACTGAAAATATTAGATGAATCATTGAGACAGAAAATTAACAAAGATATTCAGGACCTGAACTCAGCACTGGATCAAATGAACCTGATAGATATCTTCAGAACTCTTCACCCAAAAACAATAGAATATACATTCTTCTCATTGGCACATAGCACTTACTTTAAAATTGATCACATAATTGAAAGTAAAACACTCCTCAGCAAATGCAAAATAACTGAAATCATAATAGTCTCTCAGAACACAGTGCAATTCAATTCAAAATTAAGACTTACAAATTCACTTAAAACCATACAATTAAATGGAAATTGAATAACCTGCTCCTAAATGACTTTTGGATAAATAATGAAATTAAGGAAGAAATCAAGTAGTCTTTGAAACTAATGAGGATGAAGATACAATATACCAAATCTCTGGGACACAGCTAAGATAGTGTTAAGAGGGAATATTAATAGCACTAAAAGCCCATATCAAAAAGCTAGAAAGATTTCAAATTAACAACCTAACATCACAAGTAAAATAACTAGAGAACCAAGAGCAAATAAGTGCAAAAGCTAGCAGAAGGCAATAAATGACCAAAATCAGAGCTAAACTGAAGGAGATTGAGACACAAAACCCATTCAAAAGATCAACTAATCTAGAAGATGAAAAAAAAAAAAAAACTGGATAGACTACTTGCTGGAATAATAAAGAGGAAAAGAGAAAAGACTAAAATAAACACAATTAGAAATGACAAGAGGGATATTACCACTGACCACGTAGAAACACAAACAACCATCAGAGGATAGTATGAACACTTCTATGCACATAAGCTAGAAAATCTAGGAGAAATGGATGAATTCCTAGACACATCCACCCTTCCAAGACTGAGCCAGAAAGAAACTGAATCCCTGAACACAACAATAATGAGTTCTGAAATTGAGGCGGTAACAAATAGCTTACCAACCTAAAAAACTCAGGACCAGATGGATTCACAGCTGAATTCTCCTGGATGTACAAAGAAGAGCTGGTAGCATTCCTACTGAAACTATTCCAGAAAATTGAGGAGAAGAGGCTCCTTCCTAACTCATTCTATGAGGCCAGCATCATCTTGACAACAAAACCTGGCAGAGATACAACTAAAAAAGAAAGTTTCAGGCCAATGTCCTTGATGAACATTGATGCAGAAATCCTCAACAAAATACTGGCAAACCAAATCCAGCTACACATTAAAAAGCTTATCCACCATGATCAAGGAGGCTTCATTCCCAGGATGCAAGATTGGTTCAACATATGCCAATCAATAAATGTGATGCATCACATAAATAGAAATAAAGACAGAAACACCTAATAGCTCAATAGATGTAGAAAAGACTGATAAAATTCAACATCAATTTATGTTAAAAACTCTAAATAAACTAGGTATTGAAGGAGCATACCTCAAAATAATAAGAGTCATATATGACAAACTCACAGCCAACATCATACTAAATGGGCAAAAGCTGGAAGCATTCCCCTTGAAAACCAGCACAAGAAAAGGAGGCTCTCCCTCACCACTCCTATTAAACATAATATTGTAAGTTCTGGCCAGGGCAATCAAGCAAGAGAGAGAAATAAAGCACATCCAAAAAGAAAGAGAGTAAGTCAAACTATCCCAGTTTACAGATGACACGATCCTATATCTAGAAAACCCTATTGTCTCAGCCCAAAAGCTTCTGCAGCTGATAAACAGCTTCAACAAAGTCTCAGGATGCAAAATTAAAGTGCAAAAATCACTAGGATTCCTATATACCAACAATAGTCAAGCCAAGCCAAATCAGGATGAACTCCTATTGACAATTGCCACATAAAGGATAAAATACCTAGGATTACATTAACTAGGCAGGTGAAAGGTCTCTACAGGGAGAACTACAAACCTCTGCTCAAGAAAATTAGAGAGTACACAAACAAATGGCAAAGTATTCCATGCTCATGGATAGGAAGAATCAATATGGTGAAAATGGCCATACTGCCCAAAGGAATTTGTAGATTCAATGCTATGCCTATTAAACTACCACTGACATTCTTCACAGAACTAGAGAAAACTATTTTGAAATTTATATGGAACCAAAAGAGAGCCTGAATAGCCAAGGCAATCCTAAGCAAAAAGAACTGGGGGCATCATGCTACCTAACTTCAAACTACACAACAGGGCTACAGTAACCAAAACAGCATGGTACTGGAACAAGAACAGACATAGACCAATGGAACAGAATAGAGAACCCAGAAATAAGATCACACACTTAAAACTATCTGATCTTTGACAAACATGACAAGAAACAAGCAATGGGGAATGGATTCCCCATTCAATAAATGATACTGGGATAACTGGCTAGCCATATGCAGAAGATGGAAACTGAACCCTTTCCTTACACCATAAAAATTAATTCAGGATGGATTAAAGACTTAAATGTAAACCCCAATACTATAAAAAACCCAGAGGACAACCTAGGCAATACCATTCAGAACATAGGCATGACAAATATTTCATAACAAACATGCCAAAAGCAATTGCAGCAAAAGCAAAAATGGACAAATGGGATCTAGTTAACTAAAGATATTTTATACAGCAAAAGAAACTATCAACAGAGTAAACAGACAACCTACAGAATGGGAGAAAATTTTGCAAACTATGCATCTGACAGAAGTCTAATATCTAGCATCTATAAGAAATTTAAACAAATTTACAAGAAGAAAACCCAAACAACCCCATAAAAAAGTGGGCAAAGGACATGAGCAGAAACTTTCAAAAGAAGACATACATGCAGCCAACAATCATATGACAAAAAGCTCAACATCCCTGATTCTTAGAGAAATGCAAATTAAAACCGCAATGAGATACCATCTCATAGCAGTTAGAATGGCTATTATTAAAAAGTCAAAAAATAATGGATGCTGGCATGGTTTTGGAGAAAAAGGAATGTTTATACACTGTTAGTGGAAGTGTAAATTAGTTCAACCATTGTGGAAGACTGTGCGTCAATTCCTCAAAGACCTACAGACAGAAATACCTTTTGACCCAGCAACCCCATTACTGGGCATGTATCCAAAGGAATATAAATTATTCTGCCATAAAGACACATGCATGCAAATGTTCACTGCAGCACTATTCACAATAGCAAAGACATGGAGTCAACCTAAATGCCCATCAATGATAGACTGGATAAAGAAAATGTGGTACATATACACCATGGAATACTAGGAAGCCATAAACAAATGAGATTATGTCCTTTGCAGGAATATGGATGGAGCTGGAGTCCATTATCCATAGCAAACTAACACAGGAACAGAAAACCAAATACTGCATGTTCTTTCTTATAAGTGGGACCTAAAGGATGAGAACACATGAACACATAGAGAGGAACAACACACACTGGGGCCTTTTGGAGGGTGGAGGGTAGGAGGAGGGAGAGGATCAGGAAAAATAATTAATGGGTACCAGGCTTAATACCTGGGTGATGAGATAATCTGTACAACAAACCCCCATGACACAAGTTTACCTTTGTAACAAACCTGAGCTTGTACCCTTGAACTTAAAAGTTAAAAGAAAAAAAATAACTTTTAAAAAAAGAAATATATACAAATTGGGAAAGAAGAATAAGATTGTCTGTATTTACAAGTGACATAGTTGTTTCTATAGGAAATCCTAAATAATTACCAATCAAAAACACAAAAACTCCTGGGACTAATTAGTAACTGATTATAGCATAGTTGCAGGATACAAGGTTAATATGCAAAAGTGAATAGTTTTCCTATACAGCAGTAATGAACAAGTCAAGTTTGAAATAAAAAAACATGATATCATTGATATTAGCACCCCCAAAAATCGAATACTTAAGTATTAGTTTACTAAAATATATTGATACAAGATCTATATGAAAAAAAAGATGAAAAATTTCAAATATCTAAACAAATTGAGAATCCCACCATGTATATAATATGAAGATTCAATATTGTCAATATGTTAATTCTTTCCACCTTGACCTACAGATTCAAAACAAAAATCAAAATGTCAGCAAATTGCTTTGGAAATATTAACAAACTGACTCTAAACTGTATATGGATAGGAAAAAGACCCAGAATAGTGAGCACAATATTGATAGATAAAAAACAAAGTCAGAGGATACTTATTAGAATGGCAATTATCAAAAGAACAAGAGATAGTTGATATAGTTTTGATCTGTATCCCACCCAAATCTCATGTAGAATAGTAATCCCCAATGTTGGAGGTGGGGGCCTAGTGGGAGCTAACTGGATCATGAGGGCGGGTTTTCTGCTTGGTATTGTGTCACAACAGTGAGTGAATTCTCACAAAATCTGGTTGTTTAAAAGTGTGTAGCACATCCCCCCTCTTCTTGGTCCTTCTCCCGCTGTGTAAGACACCTGCTTGCAAGTTTGCCTTCTGCGATGAGTAAAACTTTCCTGAGGCCTTCCCAGAAGCAGAAGCTGCTATGCTTCCTGTATAGCCGCAGAATTGGGAGTCAATTAAACCTCTTTTCTCTATAAATTACTTAGTCTCAGGTATTTCTTTATAGCAATGTGGGAAGGGACTAATACAATAGTGTTGGCAAGGGTGTGGAGAAAGGGAATTTTTGGACATGTTAGAGGGAATGTATATTAGTATAGCCATTAGAGAAAGCAGCCTGGAGGTTCCTCAAAAAAATTAAATATAGAACTACCATATGAACCAACAAACCCAGTTCTTGGTGTGTATCCAAAGGAAATGAAATCAGTATCTCAAAGAGATATCTGCATGCCCATGTTCATTGCAGCACTATTCACAATAGCTGAGGTAAGGAACTTCTAGGGTACAAATATGTTCTTTAAAAAAATATGGGTGCTAAATTTTTAAAAATTTACAAATGTGTATACTTACAATATGTGTGCTTTCTGTATTTTTTATATCTTAATAAACTATCAAAAAACAAATTGAATCACATCACTTAATTACCTTCTATTAAATTTTCCCATACATTTATAAAGCATGAAAATAGGTCTAAAATAAAATAATATTTAAAATAAGCCACAGATTCTAAAGACAGAATCTAAGGCAGAAAACTGAGTGGAGTAAAAATAATTCTCTAACATTTCCTTAGATCATTTTTATAATCACTAATATTATACTTCAACCCTCAGAGTTGAAAATCCAAGAAATACAAAGAATAACTTCTATTTTCATGGCTGTCACTTACTTTTATCTGCATTTGTTTTTAGTGTGTGTATATAAGAGGGTGATTCAATGCACTTTGATGCAATTCCACTCTATTTATTCTAGATTATTGTTTATGTGAAGAAACCTAACTGCAGAGTAAAAGACTTTATATAAGTCATTGTAATTCTAGATTTAAGGACTACTTATTCCTATTGCTGTTTAGTGTTCCATTGTGTAAATATATTATAATTTATCCACTTTAATTTGAAGGGACTTGGAACTCATTTGCTTTAAACTTTATGGTACTTTTTTTGGGAAACATATACATATATATTCTATTGGGTATACATCTATCAAATTTTGTAATTAAGTATTTAATGAGTTGTCAATCTCAATGAGTCTAGGAGAGTCTTTCAAACAGTGAATACAACTTTTGCTTAAGAATGAACTTTACATGCAAAAATCTTACTAAACTTTTACATATCTCGTGAAGTTTTGCAAAAACCCCACAAACTCAACATGTACACAAGTTAACTCATGATTTTTCCAACTCTTCTTTTAAAACTCAGTTCTTTTCCACATTCCATTGACTCAGAGAGCAGTAGCAGTATTTATATTATTATGAACATCAGAAACCTATGCATGGCCATTGTTACCTCCCTTTTCATTCTCCTCATATCCAGTCCGAAACACATTCCTGCTGTACTCTGTATTAGCCTGTTTTCACATTGCTATCAAGAAATATCTGAGACTGGGTAATTTATAAAGAAAACAGATTCAGTTGGCTCATGGTTCTGTATAGGAAGCGTGATGTATGAGAAGCATGATTCTGGCACCTGCTCGGCTTCTGGGGAGGCCTCAGGAAACCTACAATCATGGCATTTCACGTGGTGAAAGTAGAAGCAATAAAAGAGGGGAGGTGCTGCACACTTTTAAACAACCAGATCTCATAATAACATACTCACTATTATGAGAACAGCACAAAGGGGATGGTGCTAAACATTAATGCAAAACCACCCCCATGATCCCATCACCTCCCACTCGGCCCTACTTCCAACACTGGGGATTGCAACTAAACAGATCTGTGGAGTCACAGATGCAAACCACATCATTAACCAAAAGTATCTGAGATAAGTCCCAATCAATTCAGAAAGTTTATTAGGCCAAGGCTGAGGTCACACCCATGACAAAGCCTCAGGAGGTCCTGACTATATGTGCTCAAGGTGGTCAGGGTACATCTTCGTTTTAAAGATTTATTTTTTTGAAACAGGTTAGAGTGCAATGGCGTGATCTCGGCTCACTGCAGCCTCAACCTCCCAGGCTCAAGTGATCCTGTCACCTCAGCCTCCCGAGTAGCTGGAACTTCAGGACTGCATCACCATGCCTGGCTAATTTTTGTATTTTTAGTAGATACAGGGTCTTGTAATGTTGTCCAAGCTGATCTTTAACTCCTGGGCTCAAGCAATCCTCCTGCCTTGGCCTTTCAAAATGCTGGGATTATAGGCATGAGCCACTACACCTGGCCAGTTTTATACATTTTATGGAGACAATGAGACATCAACAAATATGTGTAAGATGTACATTCGTTCGGTCTGGAAAGGCAGGACAACTCAAAGCAGGGGGTTGGGGGGGTGGTTCTATGTCATAGGTAGATTTAAAGATTTTCTGATTTGCAGTTGCCTCTAAAAGTTATTATCAATAGAAGGGAATATCTGGGTTATGATTAGCGGTTGTGCAGACCAAGGTTTTATCATGCAGATGAAGCCTCTAGGCAGCAGGCTTCAGGGAGAATAGATTGTAAATGTTTCTTATCAGAATTAAAGAGTCTCTTATATCAATGATTTAGTGATTCCAAAATTGAGAAGTGTATAATGAGGCATGTCTGCTTCCCCCTTCCCATCATGGCCTGAACGGTTTTTCAGGTTAACTTCGGAATGCCCTTGACCAAGAGGGGTTCACTCAGATGGCTTGGAGGTCTTAGAAATTTGTTTTTGGTTTACGCTATTAATTTCATACCATAAATATCTCTCAAACCTATTCACTCCTCTTAATCATTTCTGACACCTCTTTGCTACAAAGCACCTTACTTACTGCCAAGTATTCTAACTAATCTATTCATCTATTTCCTTGCCTAGCTCCAGTTACCCCAAAGAAGTTAATGAAGGGAGGAAATTCTTTTGAAATACAAGCATGATTATGTTATAAGCACACATACACATACACACACATTTAAATGCCTTCTTTTTATTAACATAAAACCTCCCCAACAGAGTCAATGAAACCCTACATAATTTGAGCATTTTTCTCCATTGTCTTCCTATAAGCTTCCTTCCTACTCCTTTAATTCTGCCCAAAACGTTTTGACATTATTTCATTCAGTTGGAAGTACCCTACTCCCTTTGGTAAAAGTACTTCCTCTTTCTTATCCCTGGAACATGTTTTTCCACTTTACCACCAGTTGTTTTTTTTACCCCTAGTTTCAGCTCAAGACCACCTTTCTCAATGATATCTTTCCTGACAATTCTTAATATATGCTAAGTAACAGTCATCCAATAACAATTCAGAATATATTTTAGCTTAACATTTGTTTCAGTGAATATTTAATACATAAAAGGCCTTTCCACTAAATAGTAAAGAAAATAGGAGTTTTAAAAATCATACACCAATTGTCTGGCACATGTATTATTTGTTGAATTTATTAAAGAACGAATGAATGACTGGATTAATAATTAACAGTAATACCTGTGTTTTGTTTCTGAATTTGACACTCAATTGCTTTTTGAACTTCACAGTGCTGTTATGAGCAAAAGTTTTTACAAGCATATCTTTTAGAATATTAAAATCATTAAAATTTTAAATTGATATAAAAAATTATATATACATGCGTACACCACACACACACACACACACACACACACACACATATATATATAGAGAGAGAGAAAGTGAGAGAGAGAGAGATCTGGAATCTATTAAGGTTTTAGGTATAAATAAAATGATAGTGAATATCTTCTTCATGAACTCTGAGTTCGACCTACACCTAAAATTCAATTATTTTAATCCAATTTTCTAATGAAAGGAATTTCAATTTTTCACAGAGTGAAAAATTTTATTACTTCCAATCATAGACCTTAATGAATTGCCATTTTGAAAATGAAGAATATTAGCTTATATTCAATCTGAAATAATTAAATGCTTATAGAATACCTGAATTCTGCCAATTACTTTTATCCAGATAGTGTTGAGACATATTACGGAATTTTATAATTTGTGAGATTTGTGGAAAAGATTGAGGCATCATTGCGTGATAGAGATTAATATTCAATTACCTTTTGTTATCATATGAGCTCCTAGAAAAGGATGAACATACCAAAAAACATAAGATTCATTGTGCCTTCAAAAAGTTTATAATGATTTAGTAATTCAAAAATTACACATGAAAACATTAGAAAAGCAATAAATAGATCACATAATTTTGTTAATTTATGTGAGACTAACACTGTAAATAAAAATTTTGAAAAACTTGAATGGATTGATTTTATTGGAGAATTTCCTACTCTGGAAGGAAGGTGTGGGCTAGACCTGGGGAAAATAACATTTGAATAGTGAGAGGAGAGTTAGGAGAATGAATTCAGCTCTCTCCAAGAGGTCTTTACTGCATTTCTACTGGTTTACAATGGGATTATAGGAAAAGGAAGTGGAGAAATTTCCAAGCAGGCCAGAATTGGTGATTGTCACATGTGAAGAATGAAATAAGAAATTGAGTCTTAAAAAAAAATCAGATCACTGGGACCTATAAAAATGGAAATAATTTATTCTTAAAATGCTACTTATTCAGAATAGGTAGACTATAGAAATGTTTTGTGGAAAGAGAAAGATAAAATAGATGTCCTTGAAAACCCTTAAAAAAGTGTTTATACTACAAGAACTGTTGAGTGTTATCTGTTCCCAGATTTAAAACGCCCTAAATAAGAATTTGGTTCTATCAAATAATAGTTTGAATTATACTGATATAGCTCCTCACAAAAGGAGAAGGGATCATGTCTTTGGGCTCTAGCTATAGTGGATATACGGTATTTTTAGTACAAAAGGGAAAGGAAGTCTGGGCATTTAATGTGACATGGAAGGAATATTTAATGACATATACTATTTATTTTTTATTTTTTTAGAAACTTGCCCAAAGCTATACTTCCTGATTATGTATATTTTTCTCTTAAAATAATACAAAACTCTTCTTGACACTACATTGCTTAACATAATTCAGCCCATTCTCTGGCTCAGCAAAGCATAGAAGAACATCATTTCATTATCATGCCTGGGAGACAATTTATCTGCCATTCTCATAAAAGGCCTTTCCACTAGATAGTAAAGATAATAGGAGCAGTTTTAAAAATTATTATTTTTCTGCTTATGAGAGGAAAATATGGTAGAATACCTGATGAATTTTTTTCCAAAGTATTTTCCCTTCCAAAAGACTTATGTTTATTTAGTTATTTATAACATATTTTATTGATATTTTAAAAGATTAATTTTATTATCAGAAAGATATGAGTTAAATTAATAAAAATTACTGAGCAAAACTGAGCAATGGAATGAAAAATTAATGTACAAGTTGTTCCACATTGATAAGAACCATCAGTTATTTTGTGAAAAATAGCACCAATTTTAGTTCTTGTGATTGGAAACTTCAATGTCATGCATTCTCGGAGTGTGAAGATAATAAAAATGTCTATCTCTGCAGAAATTTTAAATCACTATGATTTCATTCTGAATTTTTATTACTATCATTATACTCTGTTAGAACAACTTACAAGAAAATACTATCAAGGCAGATGAGTTGTGTTTTTTGGTTCATTTGTGTTATTACTAAAGTAAGTAGAATGATCATGAATTGGCATTATACAGTTTCTGACAGAAATTGTCTTTTTATTCGTGGCTCTTTTTAAATTAAAAGTATGATGAAATTTGAATATTGAGAAATAATTTAATGTTCTGAGGTCAATGTCCCTGTATTGCATATATGGCAATTTTTCCCTTACTTTCTTAAAAATGGCAGAAAACCTCCAAAATTCTGATTATCCAAACTATTTATTTTTTCTCAATATTTACAATATTATTAATATATATTTAATGGATGATCTTTTTTTGTTGTGTGTGTGTGTGTGTTTGTCTGTGCTCTCAATAAGTTATTTGAAAGAAGGGATCACATTATCTATTTTTCTTCCTGTTTGAAAAATTCCTCCACATTATACTTCTTCTGCCTCTCTCTCCCCCCACACACACATGCATGCACACACACAGACACACACATGCACAAACACAAACACATAAATTCACACACACACACACACACAGACACACACACACACAGGCCCAGATGAGCTCATCTGTTGAGAAAATATGAATATTGTAGTGAATACAGACCAAAAAGTAAATAGTGATAAAAGTATCAACCAAAAAGGATTAATATACTTTGAGTAGTTCAATGTGTGAAGGTTTTCCAGTGTTTGATTAAAATATGATGATGTAGAAAGAACACAAGAGACAGGGAAAGGAAGCTAAATTACTTTCGCCCCCAAATGAGGACAACTTCTGACCATCCATTAAAAGCAACAAAATGCTGCCAGGCAGTTAACTGATTTGCTCAAGGGAACTATTTGTGGGCTAAGGTTGAGCTACTGCCACTGGAATACTGGGCACTCAGCAGTGGAGATGGTAACAGAAAACTTGGTGAAAGGAAGGGGACACAATGTTGAGCATATGTTTAGCCTCAATGTCTAAAAATGTGGCAACTTTCTTCAGAATAACAAGATTGGACAAGTCCTGAAATGGTGGGGAAAAAAAGTGCATGTGTCAAAAATCAATACAGGAGAAGGAAACAACACTACATATATGAAGGAGAAAGGTATTTAAAACAAGAAAATAGATTCTTATAAAATTATTCAAAGAAAAGAAGAAATGATAAATGTTTGAGGTGATGGATATCCTAATTACCCTGATTTAATCAAAACACATTATATCATGTATCAAAATATCACATGTACCCAGTATTTATATACAACTACTATATATCAATTTTTTAAAATAACAAATGGATAAATGGAAGTCAGGGACATTAACTTGACTGTTGGATGCAGGGCTAAACTGCGGCACCTGCAATTTGGAAATGCTGCTACTTCTACTCTGCTGCCGCCAATTCAACTGCCACTCATTCATGAGGTTTTTGACTAGGCATTGGAATGTGGCTTCTTACAACTACAAACTTGCCTATTTGTGAAAAGTTGTTTTCAACCACCATAGCCATTGGATGATGGCTTCTGCCTAACGTTGTCTTTCAGATGTCAAAAATGTGCATCTCACTGTCAGAACCAAAGTTTTACTCATAGCCCAAAATAGAGTGACTATGAAAAATGTAAATTTCATCTTCTAACTCTTGTGATAAGAAAAAACATGGAAGGTTATGAAAAGAGATTTCATGTGACAATGGGTGATAGCCAGTACAGGAGACTGGCTTTTATTTAACAGGAGAGTTATCCTTTCCATTCTTCTATGTAGTCCTGTTGATAGGCATGAACACAATATTTTTCATGCTTTTGGCTTGTTGCAAGAAGTTCCTCCACATATCTATTTATCACAAATATCCCCATCTTGTAACTTTGCAGGTTTTGACAGTGAGGCCTGCACTCATATCTGGGAAGTTTTTACCTCTTCTATCTATCCAATGAAAAGTGGAAAACAAAATGGTCTTTGTTTTGGAAGAATTTATTTATACCTTTTATGAGTATTAGCATCATGTCAGGCAGAGCCATCTAAAAATTAGGCTGTAATTTTTTTACACTCTGTTATTTTAAGGATTATCCTATAGGTCATTTTGAAAGAGGGATGACAATGAGTAGGACTAGGCTTTCTAGGATTGTGAGCAATTATCACATGCAATTTACATGTGACCTCAGGTTCTATTCAGGCTTGCACTGAATGTAACACTATTATTTGGTGCTGTCAGGTTTGCCTAACTTTCTACCTAGCAGGAAAACATCATATCAAGTTAATATTGGCTGATTTTGAGTTGCATTGTTACTCTCCGGTGTTTCAAGATCAGGTTCAGTCTAATCAAATGTTGTTATTTAGCCAGGAGCAATTTCTCCAAGGAAAACTACTATAGTTAAAAACAGCACAGGATTTTTGTTCCAGAAATCTACAGATGTGCATAAGATGTGCACAAGGACTTGCCATAGGGTCTTTGCAATATCATTGTCTAGCATAGATACTTTGAGCAACATTGGATCTGCTGTTATATAAGGATAGAAGGCTTAAATTACAGCATATATTAAACAATAAGCACAGCTCATAGCTGACAGTGCCAAGTTACATGGTAAATACTCTAGAGAAAAATTCCCAAATATAGTGTACATTTCTATGCAAAAATTTTAAAAACAAGTTTTTCTCCTTGTGACAAATAACACATGTTGCAGCAATTTGCTCATTATTTTGGTGGACACCAGCAGAGACTCTGAGCACAAACTGATGATAGCATTGTGTACACAGAGAGTAGCAAGCAATTCATTGTTGATAGAGCATAGCTAATAAGACTAAGAATAATAATGCTGATGAGTAAACAGTAATCACAGTGGATCTTGATAACATATTAAGAAATTTAAGCTTTGTCTGATAAAAGATGGGGCCATGTACTGTGAGGGTTAATTCCAGGAAGCCCGGGCTGTTTTGCTGAAATAAAAATTGATTTTCTATGGCTCAGTAGCCATATGTCCTTGAAGTGTCAGCTTCTAAATATCTGAAAACAAAGAAATTTGTGATTTGCTCCTTGTTTTGTTAAGATCCATGGATTATGTATCAGGAATATGGTTACATGAGCAACAGGTTATAAAACCTCTGATTGAGATTGAAGTTTGGACCCTCTTATTCTAAAATGTTTCACTCACACTTGGTGGTTACTGGCTCATTAAACAAAGTGTGTCACAGGATGGCCCTTACAGAGGGGGGCAAATGTAGTTCACTCCTGGCCTTTCCAGATACTTTGCTCTGAAGCTGTCTCTGGCTGTGACTCACACCTTTACTTTAATGCTGTGGCTCTGTTGTGCCTTTTCCTGCTATAAACTGGGTATTTGTCAGCATTTCATTGTGGATTCTATGAGTCTTCTTTAGCAATCAGAATCTGTGTAACTGTTACATGAGGGCAAGTCACATTAAAAGTATTAATTAATGAATGGTATGTTGCTAGATGTAAGCGCTAAGGAGACCACTCACACGTTTCTGGTTTGGATGACCTTAGATAGAAGTACTTTCAACCAAAATGGGCAGCATGGGAGACACAGATTTACTGTGGAATATAGTATGTATAGTTTTGAATAAGGTTGGGTTTGGGTGTGTGCAGGACATCTGATTGAAAATATTTTAACAGTCGGATATACAAACCTTAAGCTGAAAAATGATTTGTCTTGCAAGCTATACGTTTGTGAATCATCGGTATGTTAAATACCATGAGATTTTGCAGAGCAGGCAATGGGAGAAAGACTAATGACATTTAAACAGATGGTGGAAGCAAAGGAGCCCACATTTCCCCCCTTGAATAACAGTCTCTTAGATTCAGATTTCTTCTCTGATTCTGGAGATGCTTACATTGCTTATGAATATTTTCTGGTTGTCCTAGCTCTAGCTCAGCTCCTCTTTCTGCCCATTAACATAAATCTTGGTGCATGAGAATGATAACATATGGACAACTTTATGCTTATTGTAATTTCTACAAAAATTAGATCTTTTTTAAAAACTCACAGTTTAACTATTATGCATTCTCTGACAATCTCTCTTCCTCTAGGAATGCATTGGGAAACTTCAGCTTAGGGATTCTACCTATTTAATCTTTAGATCCTAAAAATGTTGCATATTGCTCACATTTCTAACTGTGTTTGTTTGGTATGTTTATTATATGTCAAGTTAAAATTTTATTTTTGTGATTTTTATATTGTTTTAAAAATTACCAAGGATTGATCGTTTTTAGATTTATAAATAACAACATTATCACAAAGGCATTAATCAATCATTTTGAGATGTGATCTTTAAAATTAACTGTGTCTAAATAAATTTGGCTCTGTGATAATAATTAAACAATTAAAAATAATGAAATGATAATTTAAATATATTTAAATAAAAAACAGTACAAATAGATAACTCCTATCTGCTAACAACAGTAAGAATTATTTGAATTTCTGCCTTGAGAGATAGAAATACCTATAATAAACAAGAGATAAAAGGCAAATTATTTAATAAAAATGAAACAAAAAAGATTTGGAACTAGTTTCTACGACCTCTGGCATATGGGGTTAAATACCAACAGGATTTCTCTCTTTTGCTTATTGATTTCATTTACCATTGTGGAAATTATGCCTACTAGTAACTCCCAGTTCACGTTGTCAACCTTATCAGGATACAATAGGGGCCTTCTTAGTTCTAATTTTTTAAATGCTCAAGGAAGGACTCAGGACTGTTTCACTGGCACACTCCTTCCAACAATTATTTTGACCAGAGGGGGAGGTAATGTAAAAAAACAAAAAAAAGGAAACTAATACTGTATCATAGATGGGAATTGTGTATAGAGCTGGAGAAGGATATTCTTGAAAAGAGGATGATACTATTCAGGGGACATGAAAGAAGTATTGGGGAGAGAGAGCAATTTATCTCTGTTGAATGGATTATAGTAATCACTTGTTATCTGTGGTTTTAACATTATTGTTTTAGATTAATTGCAACAAAAATAATAGTATGGTTTCCTTATTGTTGATATTTACAATTTACAACATTATAAAATAATTTTATAATTAAATTATATAAAATTTATAATTTTATTGAGAAAAAATTGAATCACAAATACTCAAGGCTGGTGATCAATACTAAAACAGAACAAAACAAACCAAAGCAAAACTTAATCCAACACTCACCACATACAATACAATAAATGAGTCAGGGATGAAATTATTTTATTTTATTTTATTTTATTTTTATTTTATTTTATTTTACTCTAAGTTCTGAGATACATGTGGTGAATGTGCAGGTTCATTCCATAGGTATACATTTGCCATGGTGGTTTGCTGCACCTATCAACCCGTCATTTAGGTTTTAAGCCCTTCATGCATTAGGTATTTTTCCTAATGCTCTACATCCCCTTGTCCCCCACCCCCCGACAGACCCTGGTGTGTGATGTTCCTCTCCCTGTGTCCATGAGTTCTCTTTGTTCAACTCCCACTTATCAGTAAGAACATGTGGTGTTTGGTTTTCTGTTCCTGTGTTAGTTTGCTGAGGATGATGGTTTCCAGCTTCATCCATGTCCCTGCAAAAGGCATGAACTCATTCTTTTTAATGGCTGTATAGTATTCAATTGTGTACAAGTGCCACATTTTCTTTATCCAGTCTGTCAATGATGGGCATTTGGTTCCAAGTCTTTGCTATTGTAAATAGTGCTGCAATAAACATACATGTGCATGTGTCTTTATAATAGAATGATTTATAATCCTTTGGGTATATACCCAGTAATGGGATTGCTGGGTCAAATGGTATTTTTGGTTCTCTGTCTTGTAGAATAGTTGAACTAATTTACAGTCCCACCAACAGTGTAAAAACGTTCCTATTTTTCCGCATCCTCATCAGCATCTGTTGTTTCCAGACACTTAATGATCACCATTCTAACTGGTGTGAGATGGCATCTCACTGTGGTTTTGATTTGCATTTCTCTACTGACCAGTGATAATGAGCTTTTGTTCATATGTTTGTTGGCTGCATAAATGTCTTCTTTTGAGAGGTGTCTGTTCATATCTTTTGCTCCCTTTTTGATGGGGGGGTTTGTTTTATTCTTGTAAATTTGTATAAGTTCCTTGTAGATTCTGGGTATTAGCCCTTTGTCAGATTGATAGATTCCAAAATTTTTCTCCCATTTTGTAGGCTACCTGTTCTCTCTGATAATAGTTTCTTTTGCTGGGCAGAAACTCTTTAGTTTAATTAGGTCCCATTTGTCAATTTTGGCCATTGTTGCAATTGCTTTTGGTGTTTTAGTCATGAAGTCTTTGCCCATGCCTATGTCCTGAATGGTATTGCCTGGGTTTTCTTCTAGGGTTTTTATGGTTTCAGGTTTCACTTTTAAGTCTTTAATCCCTCCTGACTTAATTTTTGTATACCGTGTAAGGAAGGGGTCCAGTTTCAGTTTTCTGCATATAGCTAGCCAGTTCTCCCAGCACCATTTATTAAATAGGGAATCCTTTCCCCATTGCTTGTGTTTGTCAGGTTTATCAAAGATCAAATGGTTGTAGATGTGTGGTGTTATTTCAGAGGCCTTTGTTCTGTTCCATTGGTCTATATATCTGTTTTGGTACCAGTACCATGCTGTTTTGGTTACTGTAGCCTTGTAGTATAGTTTGAAGTCAGGTAGCATGAGGTCTCCAGCTTTATTCTTTTTGCTTAGGATTGTCTTGGTTATATAGGCTCTTGTTTGGTTCGATATGAAATTTAAAGTAGTTTTTTCTAGTTCTGTGAAGAAAGTCAGCGTTAGCTTGATGGGAATAACATTGAATCTATAAATTACTTTGGGCATTATGGTCATTTTCACAATATTGATTCTTCCTATCCATGAGCATGGAATGTTTTTCCATTTGTTTGTGTCCTCTCTTATTTCCTTGAGCAGTGGTTTGTAGTTCTCCTTGAAGCAGTCCTTCACATCCCTTGTAAGTTGTATTCCTAGGTATTTTATTCTCTTTGTAGCAATTGTGAATGGGCGTTCACTCATGATATGGCTCTCTACCTGTCTATTATTGGTGTATAGGAATGCTTGTGATTTTTGCACATTGATTTTGTATCCTGAGATTTTGCTGAAGTTGCTTCTCAGCTTAAAGAGTTTTTTGCCTGAGACGATAGGGTTTTCTAAACATGCAATTGTGTCGTCTGCAAAAAAAAAAAAAGGCAATTTGACTTCCTCTCATTCTATTTGAATACCTTTTATCTCTATCTTTTGCTTGATTGCTCCAGCCAGAACTTCCTATACTATATTGAATAGGAGTGGTGAGAGAGGGCATCCTTGTCTTGTGCTGGTTTTCAAAGGGAATGCTTCCAGCTTTTGCCCATTCACCATGATACTGGCTATGGGTTTGTCATAAATATCTCTTATTATTTTGAGATAGGTTCCATTAATACCCAGTTTATTGAGTACTGGGGGGAACCTGCCCCAATATTTCAACATAGGTTCTTTCTATTTTCCATAAGTGTCAGCCAGCTGAGAAATAATGAGAGACAGTACAAAGAGAGGAATTTTACAGCTGGGCCGCTGGGGGTGACATTACTTATCAGTAGGACCATGATGCCCGCCTGAGTCTCAGACCGGCCAGTTTTTATTAAGGGTTTCAAAAGGGGAGGGGGTGTAAGAACAGGGAGTAGGTACAAAGATCACATGCTTCAAAGGGCAAAAAGCAGAACTACTAATAAGGGTCTAACAAAGATCACATGCTTCTGAGGGAACAGGATAAAGGGCAAAAGCAGAACTACTGATAAGGGTCCAACAAAGATCACAAGGCAAAGGGCAAAAGCAGAACCACTGATAAGGGTCGATGTTCAGTGGTGCACGTATTGTCTTGATAAACATCTTAAACAACAGAAAACAGGGTTCAAGAGCAGAGAACCAGTCTGACCACAAATTTACCAGGGCAGAGTTTTTCTCCACCCTAGTAAGGCTGAGGGTGTTGCGGGAAGTCAGGGACCCCAAATGGAGGGACCGGCTGAAGCCATGGCAGAAGAACATGGATTGTGAAGATTTCATGGACACTTATTAGTTCCCCAAATTAATACTTTTATGATTTCTTATGCTTGTCTTTACTGCAATCTCTAAACATAAATTGTGAAGATTTCATGGACACTTATCACTTCCCCAATCAATACCTTTGTGATTTCCTATGCCTGTCTTACTTTAATCTCTTAATCCTGTCACCTTGTAAGCTGACGAGGATGTATGTTGCCTCAGGACCCTGTGATAATTGTGTTAACTGCACAAATTGTACAGCCTGTGTGTTTGAACAATATGAAATCTGGGCACCTTGAAAAAAGAACATGATAACAGCAATTGTTCAGGGAATTAAAGAGATAACCTTAAACTCTGACTGCCAGTGAGCCGGGCGGAACAGAGCCATATTTCTCTTCCTTCAAAAGCAAGTGGGAGAAATATTGCTGAATTCTTTTTCTCAGCAAGGAACATCCCTGAGAAAGAGAATGCACCCCTGAGGGTGGGTCTATAAATGGCCGCCTTGGGTGTGGCCATCTTCTATGGTCGAGACTGTAGGGAGGAAATAAACCCCAGTCTCTCATAGCTCTCCCAGGGTTATTAGGAAGAGGAAATTCCCGCCTAATAAATTTTGGTTGGACCGGTTGCTCTCAAAGCCCTGTCTGCTGATAAGATGTTATCAATGACAATTGATATGAAACTTGCCTGAAACTTCATTAGCAATTTTAATTTCGCCCCGGTCCTGTGGTCCTGTGATGTCGCCCTGCCTCCATTTGCCTTGTGATATTCTATTACCGTGTGAAGTACATGATCTTTGTGACCCACACCCTATTCGTACACTCCCTCCCCTTTGAAAATCCCTAATAAAAACTTGCCGGTTTTGCGGCTTGTGGGGCATCACGGAACCTACTGACATGGAATATCTCCCCCAGATGCCCAGCTTTAAAATTTCTCTCTTTTGTACTCTGTCCCTTTATTTCTCAAACCGGCTGATGCTTAGGGAAAATAGAAAAGAACCTACGTGACTATCAGGGCAGTTTCCCCGATATGAGGGTACTGCAGGAGACCAGAGTGTATCTCAGTCCTTATCTCAACTGCATAAAACAGATATTCCCAGAGCAGCCGTTTATAGACCTCCCTCCAGGAATGCATTCCTTCACCAGGGTATTAATATTAATATTAATATTCCTTGCTAGGAAAAGAATTTAGCAATATCTCTCCTACTTGCAAGTCCTTTTATAGGCTCTCTGCAAGAAGAAAAATATGACTCTTTTTGCCCAATCCCACAGGCAGTCAGACCTTATGGTTGTCTTCCCTTGTTCCATAAAAATCGCTGTTATTCTTTTCTTTTTCAAGGTGCACTGATTTCATATTGTTCAAATACACATGTTTTACAATCAATTTGTACAGTTAACACAATTATCACAGTGGTCCTGAGGTGACATACATCCTCAGTTTACGAAGATAACAAGATTAAGAGATTAAAGTAAAGACAGGCATAAGAAATTATAGAAGTATTATTTGGGAACTGATAAATGTCCATGAAATCATCACAATTTATGTTCCTCTGCCGCGGCTCCAGCTGGTCCCTCCATTTGGGTTCCCTGACTTCCCGCAACAATTGAGCGTTTTTAACATGAAGGGGTGTTGATTTTTATCAAAGGCCTTTTTTGCATCTATTGAGATAATCATGTGGTTTTTGTCATTGGTTCTGTTTATGCTATGGATTATGTATATTGATTTGTGTATGTTGAACCAGCCTTGCATCACAGGGATGAAGCCAACTTGATTGTGGTGGATAAGTTTTTGATGTGCTGCTGGATTTGGTTTGTCAAAATTTTATTGAAGATTTTCTTATCATTGTTCATCAGAGATATTGGCCTGAAATTTTTTCTTGTTGAGTCTCTGCCAGGTTGTAGAATCAGGATGATGCTGGCCTCATAAAATGAGTTAAGGTGGAGTACCTCTTTTTATATTGTTTGGAATAGTTCAGAAGGAATTGTACCAACTCTTCTTTTTACCTCTGGTGGATTTTGGCTGTGAATCCATCTCATGCTGGACTTTTATTGGTTGGTAGGCTATTAATTACTGACTCAATTTCAGAACTTGTTATTTGTATATTCAGGGATTCAACTTCTTCCTGTTTTAGTCTTGGGAGAGTGTGTGTGTCCAGGAATTTAACCATTTCTTCTAGATTTTCTAGTTTATTCACATAGAGGTATTTATAGTATTATCTGATGGTGATTTGTATTTCTGTGGGATCAGTGGTGATCTCCCATTTATCATTTTTTATTGTGTCTTTTGATTTTCCTCTCTTTTCCTCTGTATTCTTCTGGCTAGTGGTCTATTTTGTTCATCTTTTCCAAAAAAAACCTCCTAGATTCATTGATTTTTTTGAAGGGTTTTTCGTGTCTCTACCTCCTTCAGTTCTGCTCTGATCTTAGTTATTTCTTGTCTTCTGCTAGCTTTTGAATTTGTTTTTTCTTGCTTCTCTAGTTCTTTTCATTGTGATGTTAGGGTTTCGATTTTAGATCTTTCTTGCTCTCTGATGTGGGTATTTAGTGCTACAAATTTCCCTCTAAACACTGCTTTAGCTGTGTCCCAGAGATTCTGGTATGTTGTGTCTTTGTTCTCATTGGTTTCAAAGAACTTCATTATTTCCACCTTAATTTCATTATTTACCTGGTAGTCATTCAGAAGCAGGTTGTTCAGTTTCCTTGTAGTTGTGCGTTTTTGAGTGAGTTTCTTAATCCTGATTTCTAATTTGATTGCACTGTGGTCTGAGGGACTGTTTGTTATGATTTTCATTCTTTTTCATTTGTTGAGGAGTGTTTTACTTCCAATTATGTGGTCAATTTTAGAGCAAGTGCTATGTGGTGCTGAGAAGAATGTATATTCTGTTGATTTGGGGTGGACAGTTCTGTAGCTATCTATTAGGTCCTCTTGGTCCAGAGCTGAATTCAAGTCCTGAATATCCTTGTTAATTTTCTGTCTCATTGACCTGTCTAACATTGACAGTGGGGTGTTAAAGTCTCCCACTATTATTGTATGGGAGTCTAAGTCTCTTTGTACATATCTAATAACTTGTTTTATGAGTCTGGGTGCTCCTGTATTGGGTGCATAGATATTTAGGCTAGTTAGCTCTTCTTGTTGTGTTGATCCGTTTACCATTATGTAATGCCCTGCTTTGTCTTTTTTTATCTTTGTTGGTTTAAAGTTGTTTTATGCAGGGATAAAATTTTAGTGAAACTTGTAACCCCAAACCTTGGGTTTGAGAATATATGAGATAGTTTATTTTCCAACAAAATGTTGTTTTAAACATTTTCATGAATAATTCCATATTAATTAAGGTATAGGATTTGAGAAATTCTCTATAGGCAGATATTGATAATAACTTTACCTATATTTGGTTTTATACCATAAATTCTGTTTATTAATAAAATGTCCTTATTTTTTGTACAAGACAGTACAAAAGCACCTAAGGTCACATGTTTAATTTTAACAGAATGGGGATATTTTTACCTGACAAGAAGCCACCACCATTTTTGATAAGTGAAAACTATCTAATTATAGACAATAAAATCCAAACATCTGACAGTCTAAAGGTGGTCCAAAAATATTTAGGAAAATTTAGTTAGGTTCCAGTTTTTTAATCATCCAAAATGATAGAAGTTTTCTAATTTACTGGAATTAAATCAAGAGATGCATTCTTATCTCATCTTTGTTATTCAACAAATGTGTGTTGTGGACAAGATATTTATTCTCTTTGGATCTAGTTGATGTATATTCATGTTGACAGATTTAGTATAAAATCTGATTACTTTGCAATTTATGAAAATCAATACATTCATTTTTGGCACACTTTTTTTCCCTCTTCAGAGGGTTAAAAAATCAACTAAACCAACATATATGTTTTAGATAATTTTCAACATATATGATTTTCTCTCCACCTTTTTGGTACCCTCTGAGCATTAACCAATTTGTTCATAATTTCTTCAGTCTCTCTGTATGAATAAGCCTAGATTTTTAGATAAATTAATCCTTAATGATAGATAATAGTAATACTGACATTTTTCCTGTATACTTTCAACTAGATTTTCACAAAGCATTCTATTACTAATCTTCAGAAAACAGACTACTTCTAAAACTCAGGTACAAAAGTGGACATTTCTCCCATGATGAGAAAACCTAGGAACTTTAAAGAATGCAATCTCTAGGATAAAGCTAAAGATCACGCATGGGGATTGCTTTATTTTTTTTCTTTCTTTACAAATACATGCAGTTTCTGTATTCCCAGAATGCATTTTAATGGCACATAAATTACCTTTTTTAATATTTTATAGTGTTTTCTGGCTTATTTATTTCTGCTTATATTGATTTGTATGAAATCAGATCATTTGCTGGTCAAATGTGTTTTACATCTTTGCACCAGACTGTATTTTCCAAAAATTGACACAATAATACATTCCATATCGCATGATTTTTTTTTTTTTTTTTTGCATTTTGACATTGTTATCCCTTTCATGGGGATTTGGGGCTATGTACCCTCTCCTTTTGCCTATAGTGAAGTGACCCCAGATGACTTTTGATGTTAGGTCATAAAAAGTGATACAACTTCTAGTGACTCACTTCAGATGCTCATTACTGGAACCCAAACACCATGCTTTGAGAAAGATGAAGCAGCCACATGGAGAGACACTATGTAAGAGTTCATCCTATAGTGGAACTCAGTCGTGAACATATGAGTGAGGAAGCCTTCAGATCTTGCACCTCCCAACTGTTAAGTCATCTCCAGCCTTCTAGTCTTTTTAGGGAGAGGCTTAGAGAATACTTATTCCCCAGATATGGATTAGAGACAAGCCATCCAAGCCGCGTCCTATTAAAATCTTTAACCACAGCATCTGTGAGCATCAAACATGGTTATTTTATGCCATTAAGATTAAGGAATAGATAACTTTAATGTTCTTTTAGAATGCTTTTTATTTGCTTCTTTAAGGAAACATTTACATCAAACCAGACCTTGTGACCTAGAGTTGACTCTTCTTTGTCACTGTCCTTGAAGAATTGTTTTTCATCAATTTTTCAAGTGATAGTCATCATGTCCACATATTTTGCAGAAAGAAATGAAAGCTTGCAAGTGATTACACAATTTGATACTATAATATAAATTTACTTCATATAACCAAACTTAAACCAAGGCTAAGTCAAATAATGTTTCTTATTTGTGATACAATAATATTTGAAGATCTAATAAGAGCATCTTGACTTTGCTTAGATTTTTATACATTACCAGATAAATAGATGAACATTTTTCTTCAAACCTTCATAAGTGTGCCAAAAATAATTACTATATACAGAATATACTTTACCCTGATTACACATGTCTTTCAAAACAAGACTGCATACCACTTAATATCATGTTTCTAAGGTTCACACGATTTTACTCAGGGGCCCTGAGGTGGCCTTCATAGTATTGATATTTGGTAGGCAGAAATCATGGTGTTTGTCCTCTCAGATGTGAGTCACTTGAATATAAGGTCTTGTATCTGAGGCTGCAAGTACTATTTTCCCTAACTGCTTTCTTAACCATTAACCTGACTTGATTTTTGCCTGTTTGTTTCCTCCTTGAATCCAGACTGTTGGTTTCTAACTGCTGTGGCTCCTTCTTGATCCCCAACTTACAGCAATTCTAATTATTAGGCTTCTTCAGTGCCAGGACCATTATTTTTCCCTTGTTTTGCTGTGAGTCTTTGGTCCTGACCTCTTGCCATACAGAACTGCCATAAACCAGATAGGAAGTCCAGTTGGAGGCAAAGCAAAAAGCTTAAATACTGTCCTTTATATCACCTTAGTTAATATTTTTAAAGGACACATTCAAAGCTACAGTTTTCTCTCATATCACCGATTCTCAATCCATTTTATTATTTGCCTGAGCATAAGCACCAGATAAAAATAAAAGACTATCTAGGCAATGAAAATAAATCAGTATAACTGCTTTACACAGTCCTGTACCCGAAAGTGAAACTTATTATTATTAAACCTATATGTTACACTACAGTGATTGTCTTCTCTGCTCTGCCTCCACTATAGCTTTTCTGTTATGACCTTTCTGCTTTCCAATAGCTGTTTGTCTTTTGTAAATTAAGAAGAGACAACAACCTTCATGCAATAAATAAGCATTTCTAAATCACCATTTAGAAACTCGAAGGCTGGGGTCTGATTGCCTGCTTCATTGGTTTTATTTATTGAGACTTAAACACAATTATTTCTACTGTCTATGGGCAGAGTAATTGCTTGCCTTCTTTTACCTGCAATGGCCTCTCAAATTACATGCTGTCTTTCTACGTTTGTAGAAAAGTAGAAGCGTAGATTTCTATGCATCTACTCCTGTCTTCTGGATGTTCATTATTTTTTTTAGACAGCAGCAGCACAAAATATATCTTCTTTGTAAAAGGTTGTGTTCATTGTAAAATAAAATTAGGAAAACAGAAAAGGACAGAAAATAAAACATTAAAATATAGGTACTGTTAATATTTTGATTTGACTCCCTTCAAGTTTCCTTTTCCTTACATGTGTATTTTTAAGCAATTGGCAAGAACATTATATATGCATTATGTATGATAATAGTATGTTCTAATTGACTTCCTTGCCAGGACATAGTATATAGAGTTTCTCTTGATTTCTACAATACCTGGCTAGCTTGCCTTTCTTATTTCATCTGAAGATAACACTTTGTCTCGACTGTAACTATCTTGGATTTTCTGGCTTCCCCTCACTTGGCTCCCTCTATGTTTCACTATTCCCACTCACTGAGAAATTGTCACATATTTTTGGATTGAAAACATGCTCAATGTTGCTGATCTTTCCAAGATTAATACAGACTCTGCCTCTGTTACTCTAGTTCCATGTCTATTTGGCATGAAGTGGATATTCAAAGCTTTGACTATTTATGGGTAAGCAGGAAAAAAAAAATAACCTCTTTATGCAGCTCCCTGTTTAGGTGGTAAGCTCTTTACTTGGGGACCTTGGATGAGCTTCAGGAGATTCCTGTGCAAAGTTGGTGGAGTGTGTTTTCATTGTTCTGGTGAAAGAATCCCAAAGCTTTTATCAGGATAAAGGGGTCCATGAATTTAATAATTTCAGGACTTGTTGGTCTAAGTAATAATTATTTTCAAGTGAACAAGATTAAAAATAAGAACTAGCAAGGATTCTACACAGCAACAAAATATCAGCTAAAAACATGTGTATCATAAAAGAATTAAATGCATCATCAGTTTATAAAGTGGAAATTAATATCTATGAATTTAGGTATTCCTGTAATGTTTTAAGAAAAAGAATTCTAACAATTGAATTTGATTCTACTAAAAAATAACAGCAGCTAAGCACCAGATACGGTTTTATGAATTTATACAGGGTAGATAAAAATCAGTTAGACATGCAGTACCTTTAAGCAGTTTACAGAGTAGGACAGAAGATAGGCAAATACACATGTAACCACTGTGGTGGATAAACAAGTAACATGTATGAAGTGTTATATACAAATAAACCAGTGCTTAAATTACTGTTCATCAGAACCCCCTGGAATTTTTAAAATACAAATAAGACTCAGGAGCCCAAAGACATCCTGAGAGATTTCAAATAAACCAGTCTGCAGGGTATCCTAGGAAGATGTATCAGAAGCTCCTCAGATGACTCTGTCAGCCATAGAACTAAAAGGCTGCACACCCTGCTGCCTTGTTTTTTTCATATTAAGCATAATGCATTGATATTTGCTATGTGTAAATTGACATAATTTGACATGGTTTAAAACCTAAACATTTTCACTATTAATGACCTTAACTTCATGTTCGTGTCATTAGTAATAATTTATATCATTCTACATTAAGTAAATACAACTAGGAAAAATGTAACATCTATCTTGGATATCATCAGCGTGTTAACTATATTAGTCTGTTCTCACGTTGCCATAAGAAATACCCGAGACTGGGCACTTTATAAAGGAAAGAGGTTTAATTGACTCACAGTTCAGCATGGATGGGAGGCTTCAGGAAACTTACAATCATAGCAGAAGGCAAAGGAGAAGCAAGGCATCTTCTTCACAAGGCAGCAGGAAGGAGAATGAGAGTAGGAGGAACTACCAAACACTTATAAAACCATCAGATCTCATGAGAACTCACTGTCACAAGAACAGCATGGGGAAAACCTCCCCCACGATTCAGTTACCTCCACCTGGTCTCTCGCTTGAAACGTGGGGATTATGGGAATTACAATTCAAGATGAGATTTTGGGTTGGGACACAGCCAAACCATATCATTAATATATTTTCACTTACACTTAAAATAGAGTTTTCTACAAGAACATATTCTAATTTTTGTTTTTATTTCTTTTTGTAATTAAAGTGTTTTCACACTCATATATATATATATATATATATATATATATGAAAACACCTGCTCATTTATTCTCAAGTTTCTGCATTAGGATTCTGACGTGTGTGTTTATCTAAAGCTATCACTACTCTAAAAAAATACATCAACTATGTACATTTAAAAATTAGTTTATAAACAACTAATTTTATTTCAGATGGGGGCTAGGTTGCTATAACTGACAAGCACAACAAAAAATCAAAGTAAGAGATAATTTTACTTTCACTTAACAGTTTGGTCATAAGAAGTCCAGGCTGGTTTGCTGACTCCCTGAGATCAAACACACAGGCTCTTTTTGCCTTGTTCCCATTCGAACCGTCCCCTAGGTATTGCCCCCATGTGCACATTCCAAGAAATCTCATCCTCACATCTATATTCCAGCCACTGGAAAAGAATCCAAGGGAAGGGAGGGTGCATATCTTCTCTTGAAGGGCATGACCTGGAAATTATACATATCACTTTGTTTCCATTTCATTGGCCCAAACACTATTATGTTGACACACCTGGCAGCAAGGGAAATGGAAAAGTCTAGCCTTTATTTGGGCAGACATGTACTCAGCTAGAAACTTCATTAAGAAAAAAACCAGAATGAATATCAGTGGGATGGTAGTAGTCTTTATTCTGCCATCCATAGAGAACAAAATATGTTAACTATTTTGTTATAACTATTTTGTATGAGGAAAATTAACCCTTTCTTCATAGGATTGTATTAAAATAGAGAATAACATCAGTATGATGCTACTATGGTAATTGAATGTATTTTCCTGTATTCAAATTAAAAACCACTGCTCTATTACTATGTACAAGCATGTTGCTAGGTGCTAAAAAGCTCCCAAATATATGTGTTATAGTTATGACACTCAAGGAGTTTATAATAATGGCTAAGTTGTGTTGGGAGGCAGAAAACAACACAAATGTTTACATAAGCAAGTCAGAAGGCTGAATACATGCTGTTAAAAAATATGCACTGAGGCTAAGGGGGTTCAGAGAAAAATAAAAGTTCAAATTTAGTTATAGGATTCAGCAAAGGATAACATAGCACTTGAAGAATGAGCTGTAGATATTAAGGCAGTGATGACCGAACAAGCACAACACATGTACCTACACATAAGGATGACAGAATTAAGACCATTTGGTGAATAAGGAGTCCATGTGCTTCATGAAGTAGTGGTAAGAAATGAAGTCAATTTGCTGGTATTAAGCATATTGTGGCAACCTTAAATACAAGAGCTTTATAATCAATTCTTAAGTCAATTAGGGGTTAGTGAAAGGTTCATAAAATGAAAGGCAGGTTGTAAACTGAAGGAAATAATGTGTACAGTGGTCCATTTCCAAGACAAAGTGCTTTGAATCAGCTTAGGTCAGCAAACTACAGAAGAAACAGGATGTACTAAGCCCCTGCTTGGATAGCCAAGGCCTGCTTGTCGGCCTCCCTCTCCCCACTCCCCACTCCTTAGTTGCCCTCACCCAAACCAAAAAAGTTTAGTCTAAGATAAATGCTAACTAGCCTGCAAATTAGCTCATTTTATCTGTTCTTATCAGCCTGCCCGGCTACTTAAGTCATAAGTCAAATACTTGAAAAGCCCCTAAGCTAACCAGAATTGCAATGCATTGTGGGTGGAAACAAAATGCAGCAAGACAACCCTAAAACAACCACCTAAAACCCCTACCTAACAATCAGTAGGCGATGTCCAGGAAGATTGTGACCCCATAATACTCAGCCTATAAGGAACTGGGGGAGGGACCTGCACACTAGGGGTTAAATTGCTTGTTAAAACTGTGCTGGGTGTGTTTGCCTATCAAACACCTAATCTCACAGGACCGTCATTGAAAGTCTCACTTTCGCTATTCTCCAAGTCTCTGAATCCATTCTTTGTGTTTGGATGCATAAGTTTGTTTCTCACATAAACCACTCAATAAGGGAAACCTATCTTATTCATCTCTGTGTTTCCAGCTCCTAAAGCAAATCTTCATGTAAAGTACCTATTAGATAAAACATTTTTGAAGGAACAAATTGGTGATAAGACATGTACCTCCAGGAAATTAATCTACAAGTGGTGCGTTGGATGAACTGAAAAATAGATGATCACACTACTTGCAAAATTGTGATTTTTATCATCATAGCGTCATACTGTTAGCATTTAGTGAGAACTTTTCTGAGAAGGTGTCAAGAACCTTGCAAACATATCTCAGCTAATAGTCACATTAACCTTATGACGTGAAATACAATTTTAAACCCACTTCATAGAAAAGGAGATAAATCCAGTGTTAGTAATATATCTACAGTCATATAGCTTGCAAGTGGTGTAGCCTTCCTCCAAGCCCAGATCATTGATCTACATTTCCCAGGCACTTAATCACTAATACTGTGCTCCATATTTCACTGAAATTTATCAATCTTCTCACATACAAAGAGTTCAAGTAAAGAAAAGTCAGTCTTCTCACTAAAGCAAGAGACTAAGTTATAAGCCAGGAGTGGGGGATATGAATGAAGACTTAAATCTGTGGACAGAGAAGTTTTTTTACAAAAATCTTGATCTGATTCTATGAGGATTTTATAAGAATGAATTAAAATCCTATTGTACATATGGCCTACATGACATAAAACACTATAGAATCATTTAAAATTCAACACCAATATTTTCTAAAGCAGAAGCTGAATTGCCCTTCAAACACCAGAGCAACAGTTGTCAGTAAAGAGTACATAAACATTTTGTAAACATAATAGTATTTCAAATAAACTCATTCTGTGTAGGCAGAAATCAAAGCACTATTAATTTCCACATTTGTCCTTTCAAACAACCTGCACTTCCATACATTATCCACGTGGAAACAAAACTTCTATGTATCCACAAGAGAATGTGACCCTTTTGAGCTGTAACACAATGGAGCTTATTTGGTTTTGTTTTTTTTTTTGTTTTTTTTTTTTTTTTTTTTGAGATGGAGTTTCGCTCTGTCGCCCAGGCTGGAGTGCAGTGGCGCGATCTCGACTCACTGCAAGCTCCGCCTCCCGGGTTCACGCCATTCTCCTGCCTCAGCCTCCCGTGTAGCTGGGACTACAGGCGCGCGCCACCATGCCCGGCTAATTTTTGTATTTTTTAGTAGAGACGGGGTTTCACCGTGTTAGCCAGGATGGTCTCGATCTCCTGACCTCGTGATCCGCCCGTCTCGGCCTCCCAAAGTGCTGGGATTACAGGCGTGAGCCACCGCGCCCGGCGGAGCTTATTTCTGTGTAAGCAGGCCTTATGCAATTAACTGAAGATGTTACGGCATTATTTCTTTCTTACTTTACATGAGGATTTTGACATGTAAGAAATGTGATTCTCACTGCAGGAATGCAATCAATAAAAATGAGAATGTGAAAAGCTACAGTATAAGTAATGCAGTTATTTTAACAAATTAATTGCAGGGTAAAGTTAATCATAGAAGGAAGAATCTATAGATTAAAAATGACATAGGAAATCTGTCATCCAAATGCAGTCGGTGGACTTGGTTTCCAAATTTATGACAAAAACCTCAGCATCACAGACCACCCCCCACAACACACTCTACATGCGGGAAAAATAAATGTATGATTGTATATATGTGATATTTTAAAATATATAATGTTTTATATATAATACAATATTTGGTTTTACTTATTAAAAATCCCTTATCTTTTAAAGATACTTTGAATATATTTAATGATGAAATAATATGACATATTGGATTTTATTCAAAAATTATAGAAGCAGTGAACTGGGGATATAATTTAAGGAAGATTGGCCATGTGTGAATGATTTATGTAGCTAAGTTATGGTACATGAAAATTCTTTGCAATACTTTCTCTACTTTTTGATTAGTCAAAATTTTCCAGAATAAAACATTTAAGTAGACACACACACACACACACACACACACACACACACGCACAGACACACACGATATTTTAAGCTATGTGGAAACTGAAACTCCCTTATAAAATTCAAGCTTATTGTTAGAGCTTCTAGAGAGAGAGAGAATATCTCTATAAATATATAGTTTTACATGTCAGTATAGACATTACTTTTGGGAAAAGAGATGTGATCATGATGGGGACAGGCATAAGAGTTCTAGGAAATATAGATATTTTATTTGTGATAATTCATTGAAGCAAAAATCATACATACTTTAGGAACTTTTCTGAATGTGTTTTACTTCAAGTGGGAAATGATTTTGAAAGTATAGGTTTCATAAATTTAACTCAGTTTCTAAAATAATGCATATTAGGTATCCTGAAAGAAATGAATCTGTAAAAATATATGTGGTACTTTTTACATTATTCTTCTAAATACTTTATGAATAGTAAAGTTTACGATTTTATGAGAAGTTATTATTACTGTTTCATCCATTTCATAGTGGAAACTGAGGCATATCAAGATGTACGAACTTTTCTGAGGCCACAAAACAACTGATGTAGAGAGAATAGACACCTCAGGGATACTAAATTTTGTAAATTCATTTCTTAAAAATCATCTGAAATGGCATATTTAATATTAGAAATTAGAAACTAAACTATTATATAAATCACTTTTCCACAAGCTAAAATGGTATACTGAACCATAAAATTTTTTCTACAAATGAATTGTGCAATAGTTATATGCAACTCTGCTATGTTCTACAATGTATAAACTGCTATTAATAACTTTTTTCCAAAAATGTTTCTTCTTTCTGAAAATCCCTAAATCATCTTTCTTTGCTTTCAGTAAGATTAAATTTAAGTCTCTCCATCAACTATGTGACAAACTGGAACCAACTGGTAAAAATACAAGGGATAATTAAACAGTCCTTTTTCTGAAGGCAGAGGACACATTTTATGTATATAGGAACATACTGGGAACTAAAATGAACACATAATAGGTTAAATCTAAATTCTCCCTACGCTTCTGCAGAGAAAATCTGTATATATTTCAAATATATATGAAATAAACAGAAATTATGACCTAAACAAAACAACATATCTCCTAAGGTAACTATGAGAATTAAATTGAGTAATCCATTCAAGGTATTTGACACAGTGTTCAACATAAAAAGTGGTTTAAAAAAAGTAACTTATATAAGGAATTTGTTTTAAGAGCTGGTTCTTGTATTTTGGAGAAAGACAAAAAGAAGAAAATAATTTGATAATAGAGGTGCTATTTTTCTAGGATTTCATAGGTCCTCCAGTTTCAGATTTCAGACAGTTTCTGCAGTCCAAGCCATGGCTGAGTTTATCCCTAAATGATTACATTTACACATGGGTGACCAGTAAGCCTGAACATCATTAAGTAGAAAGCAGGCCAAGATAACTACAGAAGACTGATTGTGAAAAGGCTGGGTGTAGACTGACAGAAATAGATAATCAAAATTTGGGTTCATTTATTTAATTCTGTCATTCATTCAAGTACAAAGTTTCATCTTCCTAGAAATACCTATCTAGACATTGAGTTCATCTCTTTAAAAAAAAATATCATGCCAGAGGGTAAGGAGCATAGTAGGCAGAAGAAAACAAAGATGTCAGGGAGATATATGAATTTGTCATTGGATCAGTTTTAGTTTTGTTACTGTAATACAGAAATGATACTCAACCACACATTTCCTTCAAGAGGTCAAAGGTTCAGTCAGACTTTTTTTTTTCTATTTTTTTCTTTTTTTTTTTTTTTTTGATAATGGAGTCTTGCGCTGTCACCCAGGCTAGAGTTCAGTGGCACAATCTCGGCTCACTGCAGCCTCCGCCTTCTGGGTTCAAGCGATTCTCCTGCCTCAGCGTCCTGAGTCGCTGGGATTACAGGCGTGTGCCACCACACTCAGCTAATTTTTCTGTTTTTAGTAGGGAGAGAGTTTCACCATGTTGGCCAGGCTGGTTTTGAACTCCTGGCCTCAAGTGATCCACCTGCCTTGGCCACCCAAGTGCTGGGATTACAGGTGTGAGCCACCGCGTCAGGCCCAGTCTGACTTTTTTTTTTTTTTTTTTTTTTTTTGAGATGGAGTCTCGCTCTGTCGCCCAGGCTGGAGTGCAGTGGCGGGATCTCGGCTCACTGCAAGCTCCGCCTCCCGGGTTCACGCCATTCTCCTGCCTCAGCCTCCCAAGTAGCTGGGACTACAGGCGCCCGCCACTACGCCCGGCTAATTTTTTGTATTTTTAGTAGAGACGGGGTTTCACCGTTTTAGCCGGGATGGTCTCGATCTCCTGACCTCGTGATCCGCCCACCTCGGCCTCCCAAAGTGCTGGGATTACAGGCGTGGCCACCGCGCCTGGCCCTGACTTTTTAAATAGAAACTTCTACTTTAGCACAATAATGTAGCTTGTGAGATAGCTAAGGAGTTAAGATAGGTCTTCAATTTTTATCGTATTTGTGTTATATATATAGTAGGGAAGCAGGGAATGAAAGGTTTCATATCTATAGCAGCCAGTAGTCATCATTCCAGGGAGAAGGCAAGGTGCCAAAAGAGGACTTTAAAGTGGGAAACTGCTGATGGTGTAGGACTTCCAGTTGATCTCTACTGAAACAAAATCATTTACTGTGGGGGTAAACTATTTCTTGGAATTACCAATAACAGTCTAAAACACTAGAATTAGTCATAGAAAATCTGTCTGGATCCAAAAACAAAATATGAGTAGATTTCCAAAGTAAATAGAAATGGAATATTATATAACCACTCGAAAAAGCCAATGCTGTAAGTCATAAGCAGGTTTTTTAGCCAAACATTTGGCCACAATGATCCTAAATTCGTAACTTTTTGAACAAAACTGGAGGCATCATGCTACCCAACTTCAAACTATACTACAAGGCTACAGTACCCAAAATAGCATGGTACTGGTACAAAAACACACATAGACCAATGGGACAGAATACAGAACTCAGAGATGAGACTGCACACCTACAACCATCTGATCTTTGACAAAACTGACAAAAACAAGCAATAGGAAAATAATTCCCTATTTAATAAATGGTGCTGGGAGAACTGGCTAGCCATATGCAGATAACTGAAACTGGATCCCTTCCTTATATCCTATACAAAAATTAACTCAAAATGAATAAAAGACCTAAACGTAAACCCAAAACTATAAAAACCCTAGAAGAAAATCTAGGCAATACAATTCAGGACAAAAGCACGGGCAAAGATTTCATGACAAAAATGCCAAAAGAAATTGCAACAAAAGCAAAAATTGACAAATTGGATCTAATTAAACTAAAGAACTTCACAGAAAGAGAAACTGTCATCAGAGTGAACAGACAACCTACAGAATGAGAGAAAAAATTTGCAATCTGTCCATTTGACAAAGGTCTAATATCCAGAGTCTACAAGGAACTTAAACAAATTTACAAGGAAAAAAAAAACCCATTAAAAAGGGGGCAAAGGACACGAACAGACATTTCTCAAAAGAAGAGATTCATGTGAACAACAAACATATATTAAAAAAAAAGCTCAACATCAGTGGTCATTAGAAAAATGCAAATCAAAACCACAATGAGATACCATCTCATGTCAGTCAGAATGGCAATTATTAAAAAGCCAAAAAACAACAAATGCTGGAGAAGTTGCAGACAAAAAGGAATGCTTTTACACTGTTGGTGGGAACGTAAATTAGTTCAACCATTGTGTAAGGCAATGTGGCAATTCCTCAAACATCTAGAGGCAGAAATACTATTTAACCCAGCAATCACATTCCTTGGTATATACCCAAAGGAATATAAATCATTCTATTGTAAAGATACATGTATGCATATGTTCACTGAAGCACTATTCACAATAGCAAAGACATGGAATCAACCCAAATGCCCATCAATAATAGACTGGATAAAGAAAATGTAATACATATATATACCATGGAATACTATGGAGCCATAAAAGGGGACAAGATCATGTCCTTTGCAGGGACATGGATGGAGCTGGAAGCTGTTATCCTCAGCAAACTAATGCAGAAAGAGAAAACCAAACACTTCATGTTCTCACTTGTAAGTAGGAGTGGAATGATGAGAACACATGGATACATGGAGGGGTGGACAACACACACTGGGCCCTGTTAGGTGTAGGGAAGAGGGGAGGGAGAGTATCAGGAAGAATAGCTAGTGTATGCTGCGCTTAATACCAAGGTGATGGTTTGATCTGTGGAGCAAACCACCATGGCACACATTTACCTATGGAACAAATCTGTACATCCTGCACAGGTACCCTGGAACATAAAATAAACAAAATAAGATAAAATAATAAAAATCATAACTTGTGGCTGGGCAAAGTGGCTCATGCCTGTAATCTCAGCACTTTGGGAGGCCAAGGTGGACAGATCATGAGGTCAAGAGATAGAGACCATCCTGGCAAACATGGTGAAATCCCATCTCTACTAAAAATACAAACATTAGCTGGGTATGGTGGCATGCACCTGTAGTCCCAGCTATGTGGGAGGCTGAGGCAGGAGAATTGCTTGAACCCAGGAAGCAGAGGTTTCAATGAGCTGAGATCGTGGCACTGCACTCCAGCCTGGTGACAGAGTGAGACTCCATCTCAAAAAAATAAAAATCATAATTCGTTTATAGATTCAAGGTGGTAACTATGAGCAAGGGCAATTTTATAAAAATAATATGATTGGCCAGAGAGAGGTGGAGCCAAGATGGCCGAATAGGAACAACTCCAGTCTACAGCTCCCAGCCTAAGTGACTCAGGAGACGGGTGATATCTGCATTTTCATCTAAGCTTTGAAGAGAGTAGTGGTTCTCCCAGCACACAGCTGGAGATCTGAGAATGGGCAGACTGCCTCCTCAAGTGGGTCCTTGACCCCTGAGCAGCCTAACTGGGAGGAACCCCCCAGTAAGGGCAGACTGACACTTCACACAGCCGGGTACTCCTCTGAGACAAAACTTCCAGAGGAATGATCAGGCAGCAGCATTTGCGGTTCACCAAGATCCGCTGTTCTACAGCCACCACGCTGATACCCAGGCAAACAGGGTCTGAAGTTGACCTCTAGCAAACTCCAACAGACCTGAAGCTGAGGATCCTGTCTGTTAGAAGGAAAACTAACAAACAGAAAGGACATCCACACCAAAAACCCTTCTGTACATCACCATCATCAAAGACCAAAAGTAGATAAAACCACAGAGATGGGGAAAAAAAAGAGCAGAAAAACTGGAAACTCTAAAAAGCAGAGCACCCCTCCTCCTCCAAAGGAACACAGCTCCTCACCAGCAACGGAACAAAGCTGGACGGAAAATGACTTTGACGAGCTGAGAGAAGAAGGCTTCAGACGATCAAACTACTCTGAGCTACAGGAGGAAATTCAAACCAATGGCAAAGAAGTTAAAAACTTTGAAAAAAAAAATTAGACGAATGGATAACTAGAATAACCAATGCAGAGAAGTCCTTAAAGGAGCTGATGGAGCTGAAAGCCAAGGCTCAAGAACTATGTGAAGAATGCAGAAGCCTCAGGAGCCAATGCGATCAAAAGGAAGAAAGGGTATCAGTGATGGAAGATGAAATGAATGAAATGAAGCGAGAAGGGAAGTTTAGAGAAAAAACAATAAAAAGAAATGAGCAAAGCCTCCAAGAAATATGGGACTATGTGAAAAGACCAAATCTACATCTGATTGGTGTACATGAAAATGATGGAGAGAATGGAACCAAGTTGGAAAACACTCTCCAGGATATTATCCAGGAGAACTTCCCCAATCTAGCAAGGCAGGCCAACATTCAAATTCAGGAAATACAGAGAACGCCACAAAGATACTCCTCAAGAAGATCAACTCCAAGACACATAATTGTCAGATTCACCCAAGTTGAAATGAAGGAAAAAATGTTAAGGGCAGCCAGAGAGAAAGGTCGCGTTACCAACAAAGGGAAGCCCATCAGACTAACAGCTGATCTCTCAGCAGAAACTCTACAAGCAAGAAGAGAGTGGGGACCAATATTCAACATTCTTAAAGAAAAGAAATTTCAACCCAGAATTTCATATCCAGCCAAACTAAGCTTCATAAGTGAAGGAGAAATAAAATACTTTACAGACAAGCAAATGCTGAGAGATTTTGTCACCACAAGGCTTGCCCTAAAAGAGCTCCTGAAGGAAGCACTAAACATGGAAAGGAACAACTGGTACCAGCCACTGCAAAAACATGCCAAAATGTAAAGACCATCAAGGCTAGGAAGAAACTGCATCAACTAACGAGCAAAATAACCAGCTAACCTCATAATGACAGAACCAAATACACACATAACAATATTAACTTTAAATGTAAATGGACTAAATGCTCCAATTAAAAGACACAGACTGGCAAATTGGATAAAGAGTCAAGACCCATCAGTTTGCTGTATTCAGGAAACCCATCTCACATGCAGAGACACATATAGGCTCACAATAAAGGGATGGAGGAAGATCTACCAAGCAAATGGAAAACAAAAAAAAGGCAGGGGTTGCAATCCTAGTCTCTGATAAAACAGACTTTAAACCAACAAAGATCAAATGAGACAAAGAGGCCATTACATAATGGTAAAGGGATCAATTCAACAAGAAGAGCTAACTATCCTCAATATATATGCACCCAATACAGGAGCACCCAGATTCATAAAGCAAGTCCTTAGTGACCTACAAAGAGGCTTAGACTCCCACACAATAATAATGAGAGACTTTAACACCCCACTGTCAACATTAGACAGATCAATGAAACAGAAAGTTAACAAGGATACCCAGGAATTGAACTCAGCTCTGCACCAAGCGGACCTAATAGACATCTACAGAACTCTCCACCCCAAATCAACAGAATATACATTTTTTTCAGCACCACACCACACCTATTCCAAAATTGACCACATAGTTGGAAGTAAAGCTCTCCTCAGCAAATGTAAAAGAACAAAAATTATAACAAACTGTCTCTCAGACCACAGTGCAATCAAACTAGAACTCAGGATTAAGAAACTCACTCAAAACTGCTCAACTGTGTGGAAACTGAACAATCTGCTCCTGAATGACTACTGGGTACATAACGAAATGAAGGCAGAAGTAAAGATGTTGTTTGAAACCAACGAGAACAAAGACACAACATACCAGAATCTCTGGGACACATTCAAAGCAGTGTGTAGAGGGAAATTTATAGCACTAAATGCCCACAAGAGAAAGCAGGAAAGATCCAAAATTGACACCCTAACATCACAATTAAAAGAACTAGAAAAGCAAGAGCAAACACATTCAAAAGCTAGCAGAAGGCAAGAAATAACTAAAATCAGAGCAGAACTGAAGGAAATAGAGACACAAAAAACCCTTCAAAAAATCAATGAATCCAGGAGCTGCTTTTTTGAAAAGATCAACAAAATCGATAGACTGCTAGCAAGACTAATAAAGAAGAAAAGAGAGAAGAATCAAATAGATGCAATAAAAAATGATAAAGGGGATATCACCACTGATCCCACAGAAATACAAACTACCATCAGAGAATACTACAAACACCTCTAAGGAAATAAACTAGAAAATCTAGAAGAAGTGGATAAATTCCTCGACACATAACACCCTCCCAAGACTAAACCAGGAAGAAGTTGAATCTCTGCATAGACCAATAACAGGATCTGAAATTGTGGCAATAATCAATAGCTTACCAACCAAAAAAAGTCCAGGACCAGATGGATTCACAGCCGAATTCTACCAGAGGTAAAAGGAGGAGCTGGTACCATTCCTTCTGAAACTATTCCAATCAATAGAAAAAGAGGGAATCCTCCCTAACTCATTTTATGAGGCCAGCATCATCCTGATACCAAAGCCGGGGGGCAGAAACACAACCAAAAAAGAGAATTTTAGACCAATATCCTTGATGAACATTGATGCAAAAATCCTCAATAAAATACTGGCAAACCGAATCCAGCAGAACATCAAAAAGCTTATCCACCATGATCAAGTGGGCTTCATCCCTGGGATGCAAGGCTGGTTCAACATACGCAAATCAATAAATGTAATCCAGCATATAAACAGAACCAAAGACAAAAGCCACATGATTATCTCAATAGATGCAGAAAAGGCCTTTGACAAAATTCAACAATGCTTCGTGCTAAAAACTCTCAATAAATTAGGTATTGATGGGACATATCTCAAAATAATAAGAGCTATCTATGACAAACCCACAGCCAATATCATACTGAATGGGCAAAAACTGGAAGCATTCCCTTTGAAAACTGGCACAAGACAGGGATGCCTTCTCTCACCACTCCTATTCAACACAGTGTTGGAAGTTCTGGCCAGGGCAATTAGGCAGGAGAAGGAAATAAAGGGCATTCAATTAGGAAAAGAGGAAGTCAAATTGTCCCTGTTTGCAGATGACATGATTGTATATCTAGAAAACCCCATTGTCTCAGCCCAAAATTTCCTGAAGCTGGTAAGCAACTTCAGCAAATTCTCAGGATACAAAATCAATGTACAAAAATCACAAGCATTCTTATACACCAATAACAGACAAACAGAGAGCCAAATCATGAGTGAACTCCCATTCACAATTGCTTCAAAGAGAATGAAATACCTAGGAATCCAACTTACAAGGGATGTGAAGGACCTCTTCAAGGAGAACTACAAACCACTGCTCAAGGAAATAAAAGAGGATACAAACAAATGGAAGAACATTCCATGCTCATGGGTAGGAAGAATCAATATCGTGAAAATGGCCACACTGCCCAAGGTAATTTATAGATCTAATGCCATCCCCATCAAGCTACCAATGACTTTCATCACAGAATTGAAAAAAACTACTTTAAAGTTCATATGGAACCAAAAAGGAGCCCGCATCGCCAAGTCAATCCTAAGCCAAAAGAACAAAGCTGGAGGCATCATGCTAACTGACTTCAAACTATATTAAAAGGCTACAGTAATCAAAACAGCATGGTACTGGTACCAAAACAGAGATATAGATCAATGGAACAGAACAGAGCCCTCAGAAATAATGCCACATATCTACAACTATCTGATCTTTGACAAACCTGACAAAAACAAGAAGTGGGGAAAAGATTCCCTATTTAATCAGTGGTGCTGGGAAAACTGACTAGCCATATGTAGAAAGCTGAATCTGGATCCCTTCCTTACACCTCATACAAAAATTAATTCAAGATGGATTAAAGACTTAAATGTTAGACCTAAAACCATAAAAACCCTAGAAGAAAACCTAGGCATTACCATTCAGGACATAAGCATGGGCAAGGACTTCATGTCTAAAACACCAAAAGCAATGGCAACAAAAGCCAAAATTGACAAATGGGATCTAATTAAACTAAAGAGCTTCTGCACAGTAAAAGAAACTACCATCAGAGTGAACAGGCAACCTACAACATGGGAGAAAATTTTTGCAACCTACTCATCTGACAAAGGGCTAATATCCAGAATCTACAATGAACTCAAACAAATTTACAAGAAAAAAACAAACAACTCCATCAAAAAGTGGGTAAAGGATATGAACAGACACTTCTCAAAATAAGACATTTATGTAGCCAAAAAACATGTGAAAAAATGCTCACCATCACTGGCCATCAGGGAAATGCAAATCAAAACCACAATGAGATACCATCTCACACCAGTTAGAATGGCGATCATTAAAAAGTCAGGAAACAATGGATGCTGGAGAGGATGTGGAGAAATAGGAACACTTTTACACTGTTGGTGGGACTGTAAACTAGTTCAACCATTGTAGAAGTCAGTGTGGCAATTCCTCAGGGATCTAGAACTAGAAATACCATTTGACCCAGCAATCCCATTACTGGGTATATACCCAAAGGATTATAAATCATGCTGCTATAAAGACACATGCATACGTATGTTTATTGCAGCACTATTCACAGTAGCAAAGACTTGGAACCAACCCAAATGTCCAACAACGATAGACTGGATTAAGAAAATGTGGCACATATACACCATGGAATACTATGCAGCCATAAAAAATGATGAGTTCATGTCCTTTGTAGGGACATGGATGAAACTGGAAACCATCATTCTCAGCAAACTATTGCAAGGACAAAAAACCAAACAGCGCATGTTCTCACTCATCATTGGGAATTGAACAATGAGAACACATGGACACAGGAAGGGGAACATCACACTCTGGGGACTGTTGTGGGGTCAGGGGAGGGGGGAGGGATAGCAGTAGGAGATATACCTAATGCTAAATGACGAGTTAGTGGGTGCAGCACACCAACATGGCACATGTATACATATGTAACAAACCTACACATTGTGCACATGTACCCTAAAACTTAAAGTATAATAATAATAAAATAAAAAGTAATAATAATAATATGATTAATACAATTCATAATTATCTTTAACTTATTTGGTGCCATATATTATTATGAGCTCTTTATACATGTTTACTCATTTAAACTTCACAATTATCCTATATTGGTAACTAATATTATCATATCCATTTTTCAGATGAGGAGACAGGTTCAGATAAGTTAAATGACATGTTCAAGGTCACACATCTGGTAAGTGGCAGGGATATGGTTCTAATATAGTCAGCCAGAGTTGAAATTTGTGTAGTTAGCAAATATTCTATCATATACACTGTTTTCAGAGTTGACAAGATCTTTCAGTTTTTACAAGCTTTCTAAAGGTCTAAACTATATTTGAGACCTGTGTGGGGGAAGAAATTAATTTTAAAAATAGAAAAGATCTGGAAAAGGGTGATAATAAATAAATGTTTTTTTGGTCTACAAAATATAATGCTGACTAGGGCTTACAAAGGGTCTAAAAATGTTTTCCTTTTCATGTAGTTGAATGTGAATTTGGGAAGGTACAATTGTACTTCTTCTCTCTAGCATCATTGAAATGAAGCCTCTTTGAGCATCACACAGTTTGGAAAATTAAGTTATTCCTTGTTAGCAACTCAGTTCCATGCTACCTAATCCTTTCAGAGTGCCTTCCTGATCTTGGCTCCTATGCATAATTCTGATTTTGCTACTAGGTTCAGCTCCACTTCCCTAAACTCTTTCAAGTTTCCATTTTTGTATTTAATAATTAACTTGGCATTGCCTTCTCCAGCCTACTCTTAGCTTCTGGGTTTGTATTGAGGTTTAGTCATGGAAAGTTGGTAATCAAAGCTTTCCATGATTTTTCAAGAATGCCCTTTTCTTCCAGGAAAAAGAATAATTGTTATTCACCTGTCAAATAAGCTTGTTGGACTATGTTAATTCAAAACCAACAGTTAAACACTCTTAAGTATATTTTGTTAGCTCCTTATATTCCATAAGAAACACCATGCTTTTCAAGTTTTAATTAAATTTGATGAATTCCTACTCCCCACAGTATCCTTAGTGTGCAATGACTGAAAGAAATTTTGGGGGAGGTGCCTGGGTGTGTAAACTTCAGCGAATGTATATATATATACACTCTGTGTGATACATATACAACTATGTGATGCTCAAAGAGGCTTCATTTCAATGATGCTAGAGAGAAGAAGTACAATTGTACCTTCCCAAATTCACACTCAACTACATGAAAAGGGAAACATTTTCAGACCCTTTGTGACCTCTAGTCACCATTATATGTTGTAAACCAAAAAACATTTATCACCCTTTTCCAGATATATATATATATATGTAATGTAAATTATTAGTTTTCTATTGCTGCATTGCAAATTACTCCAGAACTTAGTAGCATAAAACAGCAATGTTATCATCTTACAGTTTCTGTGGACCAAGAATCTAGGTGTGGCTTAGGTGGCTCCTCCAGGCCTGAGATTTTCACAATGCTGCCCTCATCTCAGAGCTTTACTGGAAGGATCCACTTCTTAACTCACTAATATAGTGGTTGGTAAGATTCTGTTCCAGCTGACTTGTAACTAAGGTTTCAATTCTTCACAAGCTGTTGGTCAGAAGCCTCCCTTATTTCCTTGCCATGTGGTCCTTTCCCAGAACATCTCACAATGTGGTAATTGGCTTCATCGGAACCAGGGCAAGGGTGTCAGTAAGAGAAAGGGTGATGGAAGGGGACTGTTGTGGTGTGGGGGGAGGGGGGAGGGGGGAGGGATAGCATTAGGAGATATACCTAATGCTAAATGACGAGTTAATGGGTGCAGCACACCAGCATGGCACATGTATACATATGTAACTAACCTGCACATTGTGGACACGTACCTTAAAACTTAAAGTGTAATAATAATAAAAAAAATTCCATAAGTCCTGGAATGCAAAAAAAATTAATTAAATCTAACTTCCAAATTAAAAAAAAAAAATCATGAAAGTGACATCCCATCACTTTAGCCATGTTCTATTTCTTAAAAGCAAGTTATTAGGTTCTTCTCATGTGCAAGGCAAGGGAATTATGCAGGAGCATGGATATGATGAAGTGGGGATTATTGGGAGTTTCTTTAGAGCTGCCTGCCAAACTTATTTTGTGTGTAGCTGAATTGATCATTTTTAACCCCCTGCTACTTACTGAGAAAATTCTTTTCGTGATCAATCCAATTTAAATATTTATTTTCTGATCATTTTATCAGTGTAGTTAGGCAGTGTTCAGGCTGATACCAAAATGTTTAGACCCTCCTGTGGCCTACCCATTCCCTTGCTCATTTTTCTCTGACATTTTTCAAGTGGGAGGACTGGGGTGTGGTTTAGTTGAGAAGCGCACACCACCTGAGTAAACTCAGGGCAGTTAAAAAATGTGTAAGTTATCAAGTGTAGATGCTTTTACCTCCCTTTGAAGTGATGTCTCTTGTCCATTAGGGTGTTGCTGCCCTTTCAGCTGAATATTGTAGCTGATGTAACGGGTAAGCTTGTCTCTTTTGACTTAGACAAGAACTAGTAGCACCGGACGCGGTGGCTCACGCCTGTAATCCCAGAACTTTGGGAGGCCGAGACGGGCAGATCACCTGAGGTCGGGAGTTCAAGACCAACCTGGCCAATGTGGTGAAACCCCATCTCTACTAAAAATACAAATACCTGAGCGTGGTGGTGCATGCCTGTAATCCCAGCTACTCAGGAGGCTGAGGCAGGAGAATCGCTTGAACCCAGGAGGCGGAGGTTGTGGGGAGCCGAGATCGTGCCATTGCACTCCAGCCTGGGCAACGAGGAAGACACCATCTCAAAAAAAAACAAAAAGAAAAAGAATTAGTAGCATCTCTTTGCTTAACCTGTCTGAGATCAGTTGGACAGAGACCAATCAAATATGGCCATGTCTCTATTAAACCTTGGCTCAGCCAGGTTATTCTGCAGGGCTCTTATACTACCGCCTTACCCTGTGTATGAAGGATGCTGCTAAAAAAAAATCACCTATGGTGCTGTGTCTATGTTTTGTGGAAATAATATGGCTCAAGAAGACTCAATCTAGCCATCTCTTTCAAGCTGCCCAACTCATACTGTCCTGCCAAATTTACTCTCATGTAGCTGCATGCCAGTTGGTACAGAGTGGCCAATGAGGAGTCTGCACGTACACTCCCAACGGTGATTATGAGTAACATGTGTCTGCTCCTAGCTTAAATTATGATCATTAACATAATGTACTCCTTAGTAAGACAAGGCCCACAGAAAAGAGAATCAGAACATAATTCAGAAATTTTTTGTCTCTTTTCTATTTTTGTTTCCACACTTCCCTTAGGGACTAAAGAATAAATTAACAGTTTCTTCATTCATTTTTCTGTATAGATTTCCCCATAATATTATTTACCAACACTACTAAGCCTGACTTTTGATGTATTAAAGGGCAAAAGAAGAAATTTAAATAACTTTCAATTCCTCTTAATTAATAAATGAATTAGACCCATACCTCAGAGTGCACTCAAAATTGACCTTATAAATTAGTACCTAATTAGACTTAGTATATGACATAATATAAAATTAGACCTAATGTAAGAGGCAAAAATAAAACTTAAAAAATAAAACAGGAGTAAATTCTGATGATCTTGGTTTAGGCAAAGTTTGTCATCAAAATTTAAAACTTTTGTGTTTCAGAATATACCCTTATGTAAGTATAAATACAAGCTACAGGCTAGAAGAAAACATTTGCAAGCAATATATCTGATAAGAGACTTTAGCTAGAATACATAACTCATTCAATTTAATAAGATGATGACAAATAACCGAATTAAAAACTGAGCAGAAAGCTTGGATAGATATTTTACCAAAGAAGATATACAAATGGCAAATGAGCACATGAAAAATGCTAACATCATTAGACATCAAGGAAATATGAAGTAAAATCACAATGAGATCATGCTTTACAAACACAAGGAAAGCTAAATCAAAAGTCAGACATGCACGTGTGTTAATGAAGGTGTAGAAAAGATGAAATCCTCATTGATGAGGGAATGTAAAATTGCGCACCTATTTTGGAAAAGATTTTAACAATTGCTTAAAACTTTAACATTAGTTAAACTTTGTAAGACTGATAAATTCTACTCCTAGGTCTCTCCCCAAAATAAATGAAAATATTTGCCTACACAAAATGTTTACACAAAAGCTTATAGCGTCATTACTCAAAAGTATATCCATATAATGGAATACTCTTCAGTAATAAAGAGGAACAAATTACTGTTGCATGCTGCAAAATGAAGGAAGAGACAAAATGTTATGCTAAGTGAAAACAGCTAGACACAAAAGATCACATATCATATGGTTTCATTTATATGAAGTATTCAAAATAAAAAAACAAATCTACAGAAGCAAAAGCCAGATCAGTAGTTCCCTAAGGTTGGAAGTAAGGATGGGAAATGACTACAGTGGGCAGAAATTTTCCTTTGGGGGTGAGAGAAATGTTCTAGACCAGCAGAGAAAATTATATAAAGCAGAATCCTCATTCTTGGGTCTTGAGATCCCATTACAAATGTAGGCAAAAACCCGCAGTAGGTATTAGCAGTGTCTGTGACATTGTCACCAATAAAAATTATGCAAATTTTCATATTACACATATATTTTCATATAATGATAATTTGGTATCATTATAGATACCACAAAATCTTGTTTACTCTCATCACCATTTCAAAATCATAATTGTTAGACCCACTGTAATATATTAATAATTTTAAAGGGGCACATAAATTACTATATAATACAGTTATTCTTTACTATTTACACATTTGGATCTCAATGTAATTAGTTTCTCTTGTAATCCAAAGTAAACATTATTCTTGGGAAAATGACTCAGGCTTCCCAGTCTGCTAAAGTTGTCCATAGCATAAGAAAAGGTTAAAAATCTCTGATACAGAGATGCAAATGTCACCGAAAGAGGACTTTCTTGATAAGAAATAAAGAAAAATTTTTTTCATAAGCAATAATGTGAAAAGTAATGAGAATATAAAGATTAGCCAGGAGATACACTGGAGACACCAACCTAAAGAGATAAAACAAATCTGATTTGCAGTACTCCAAGGAGCCAGCACAGAACTTTACATAAGACAATGATACAGATAAGAGATCATTTGAATATGTGGCTTATGAGATAGAGCTGGAAAAGAAAGTGATCTAAGAAAGGTTGGTGATGAACGGGATTGGACATTCCACATTGCAGGAAAGAGTATATATGTGTATGAATGTGTGCATGTGTATATATGTGTATGGTATATATATATATATATATATATATATGTATTGACATCAACTCAGTTTCTTTACTAAGTTTGATTTCTGTAATAGTGTTATTTATTTTTGAAGAAGAGTCACCACAAAAATTTTAGGCATTCATTGAAGAAAATTAAAATTAAAAGGTTATACATCTCAGAAAAGTCAGTGACTTGTTCAAAAGCACTGAGATAAAGAAAAACGTTACTAATCACACACTCTAGGCATTTAGTGTTTTGGCCTCTCTAATTCTTGCTTTTAGCAGTCTAAATTCTTGCCGTGGAAATCACTGTGTATTAACTAATCTTATTACTGATAGAACACAAGGAACCAACAGGATAATTTTAATAAAAATGTTTGAATACTACCCAAGTATTAGTGGGCACTAAAAGAAATCTCCCATGATATCACTATTTTATATTTTGTTAATTATGTTAGAATTTGCTATATTTTTAAGGTAAAATAATCTCAAAGGTAGTTATTATTTCAGAAACATAAGCTTAATCATGACTATTTAATAATCAACACATTAAGGAATGGGGATGCAGTTCCCTTTTTAAACTATGATATCTTTGGGGATGGAATATGAATGAATCAATCAGCTTCTATGGGCAAATGTCCTTCCAAAGTAATTGAGCCCTAAATGCCAAACCAAAATAGTTTGCCATAGATTCAATGAAAATGTTCTGTTCTACAGAATGTTCTGACTGATAGTAAATTTAATAACATTTTAAAATGTCAAGTTGAATTTTAATTCCAAGTCTGTATCTTCTAGAATGTAATGTGTTACAAATTCAATATCATGAGACCATCCTTCCTCAGCTTTTTTGATCTAAGCAGTAATAAATTCAGAGAGCAAACAATATCAAGACTCTATTTTGCTTATTTGTTTCAGAAATTCAAACAATTTGTCTGAATTACAAACCCGTAGGAAGCTATTTTAAAATAAAAGTAATAAGAACATTTAGATTCATGAAGTCTAAATCAGGCAGATTCTTATGATATCCGATAATTCCACTTAATTTTTAGCTTCCAAGCTAGACCAACCATAGGATAAAAATAAAATTTAATAAGTGGTAAAACAGCAATGTATTGGTAAAAGTTTCACCTGTTCTATAAAATACATAATTTTCAGTAAATGTTTATCTTGCTTGATGATAAAAAAGTAGTTCAGTTAATATAACTGAATTCATAAATAGGTATTTAAATACCTTAGCTATGTAAAACAACAATTCACAAATACAAGAGGCTGTAGTTTTATATTAACAAAACAATTGATCTTGTTAATGATAGTAAAAATGTAAACAATTGTTTTGATATCTATGTAAATATAATTTAGCATTACTAAACATAAGTTACATTTGGGCTTGTATAAATAAACATAAGTTACATTTATATAGGTTATAAATATAGGTATTTATAACCTATAAAAGATGAAGCCAAAATATGAAATTATGTTTCAGAAAGGTTTTCTATTACATGTAAAATGTAATGTGCTACTTGATATATCAAAAGATACTGTTATTTGCCAATGCCCTGTTATATATTTTGTGATCCCAGAGTCATTAGCAGCATTACAAAATATCCTGACATTCCCTGCCCCCTCCCTGCCATTCCCAAGGAAAGCAGGAAATTTTTCCCCAGGATTTAGCCATTTCTCTTGAATGAATGCTCCTTGAATTTTTGCAGGCCTTCTCAACTATTCCAGAATTCTGAAATAGTTGATTTTGATAAGTTTTGCCCTATTATCATTGCTTTGATTGAGGAACACACTTTTAGAACTCTTTACTCAAATGCTCTAGAGGTGCTTTTATACTTGGTGATATTTTAACGTTATTTTTATCTCAATTTCTGATTTTTCATTATTTGCATAAAAAAGTATAATTGAGTTTTATATATTGATCTTGTATATTATTTCCTTGTAAAACTTGCTGATTGATTCTAGCAGAATGTTTTGTGGGTATTATTCACTAAATTTTCTGCATAGGCAATCATGACTTTTGGTTTCCAAAAAGCCTTTTATTTCTTTTTCTTGCCCTAGTGTACAGGCCAGGTCTGTAGGAAAATGTTGACTAGAAATGGTGAGAATATACATACTTGCCTTCATTCTAACATCAAGAGAAGAGCACTGAGGCTTGCAGCAATAAGTACTGGATATTAGCTGTAGATATCCTTTATCAAGTTGAGGAAGTGGGTAAATTTATTATTTTTTATAAAATTAATGCAGGATGTTGCCAAGTGTCTTTTATGTATTAAGTGGATCATGTTAGTATTGTTTCTCTAGCTATTTTAGCATAGGGTATCTTTATCATTTTACCTTTAATTTGTATCTTTTTATTGAAAACAAGATTTGTAGACAGCATATAGTAGGGTCTTGTTTTTTTATCTGATCTGACAGTTCATATCTTAGTCTGTATTTAACATAATTATTGAAATTGTCTACTTTAAGTTTGTCATGTCACTGTTTTATTTTTAACTAATCTTTATACTATTCAACTTGTATTCTTATCCGCTTTTAAAACTGAGTGGGCAGTTTAATGATTTATTTTTAACTTTTATGTTGGTTGATATAGGGATTATACATACATGTTTAAATAAGAACACATCACTTTATTCATATAAGAACCTTAAAATACTATATTTACATGTGTCTTTCTCAGATTTTATGCTATTATTAAAATTCATTTTGCTTCCTCATATGTTTCTTGGTGGACAATAATAGACAGTTGTGAAAATCTTTTACTTTCAAGAATGCTGGAAAAAGAGACATAACCTCCACAACATAATTACATTTAACTTTACAGCATGGTACTGGTACCAAAACGGAGATATAGATCAATGGAACAGAACAGAGCCCTCAGAAATAATGCCGCATATCTACAACTATCTGATCTTTGACAAACCTGAGAAAAACAAGCAATGGGGAAAGGATTCCCTATTTAATAAATGGTGCTGGGAAAACTGGCTAGCCATATGTAGAAAGCTGAAACTGGATCCCTTCCTTACACCTTGTACAAAAATCAATTCAAGATGGATTAAAGATTTAAACGTTAGACCTAAAACCATAAAAACCCTAGAAGAAAACCTAGGCATTACCATTCAGGACATAGGCATGGGCAAGGACTTCATGTCCAAAACACCAAAAGCAATGGCAACAAAAGCCAAAATTGACAAATGGGATCTAATTAAACTAAAGAGCTTCTGCACAGCAAAAGAAACTACCATCAGAGTGAACAGGCAACCTACAAAATGGGAGAAAATTTTCGCAACCTACTCATCTGACAAAGCACTAATATCCAGAATCTACAATGAACTCAAACAAATTTACAAGAAAAAAACAAACAACCCCATCAAAAAGTGGGCGAAGGACATGAACAGACACTTCTCAAAAGAAGACATTTATGCAGCCAAAAAACACATGAAAAAATGCTCACCATCACTGGCCATCAGGGAAATGCAAATCAAAACCACAATGAGATACCATCTCACACCGGTTAGAATGGCAATCATTAAAAAGTCAGGTAACAACAGGTGCTGGAGAGGATGTGGAGAAATAGGAACACTTTTACACTGTTGGTGGGACTGTAAACTAGTTCAACCATTGTGGAAGTCAGTGTGGCGATTCCTCAGGGATCTAGAACTAGAAATACCATTTGACCCAGCCATCCCATTACAGGGTATATACCCAAATGACTATAAATCATGCTGCTATAAAGACACACGCACACGTATGTTTATTGCGGCATTATTCACAATAGCAAAGACTTGGAACCAACCCAAATGTCCAACAATGATAGACTGGATTAAGAAAATGTGGCACATATACACCATGGAATACTATGCAGCCATAAAAAATGATGAGTTCGTGTCCTTTGTAGGGACATGGATGAAATTGGAAATCATCATTCTCAGTAAACTATCGCAAGAACAAAAAACCAAACACCGCATATTCTCACTCATAGGTGGGAATTGAACAATGAGATCACATGGACACAGGAAGGGGAATATCACACTCTGGGGACTGTGGTGGGGAGGGGGGAGGGGGGAGGGATAGCATTGGGAGATATACCTAATGCTAGATGACGAGTTAGTGGGTGCAGCGCACCAACATGGCACATGTATACATATGTAACTAACCTGCACAATGTGCACATGTACCCTAAAACTTAAAGTATAATAAAAAAAAAAAAAGAAGTTACACAATTGGTAAATATAGTTTAAGCTTGGCCAATCTTTAAAACCCTTTTTTTCTTATTGGTTATTTTTGTGATGAAAAGACAAGTATCTGTATTCCTTATAATATTAAGAACTGCTTCTTTGACTTTGCTGGCCCTCTTTCCAGAAGAATTTTGTCTCTCTGCAAGAGGCTTCCAATTAAATATCAGTTTCTGCAGTATCTCCTTTTCCTGGGTGCATGGGAATAGCAGCTCTCAAACTCTATACCATGTATTGTTTGTGATTATTCTGATGAAGGCTTCCTTCTCCAAGTGATGAAATGCTGCCTCTGAATTGTAGAAAGAATAACCCATACAAATACAGAAGAAAACATTTTAATTACATTTATTCCTCTGTGTACTTGCTTCAATGGAGGAAAAAGAGTCAGTGTCACACATTAGATACACGTTTCATTTTTTTAAGTGTTATTTACAATATAAGAAGATTCACAAAACATACATGTCTGCCTCTTCAAGGAAAATTTTAGATCATTTTTGGCATTGGTTCTTTCCTTAAATTCTCCTGCACAATATTTAATGTTATCACAAACTTGAATTGTAAGATATCCGGAAAAGTATAATTTCCTGTGAAATTATCGATTCATTTGACAGAAATTCTGAAATCTGATTTAACCTTATTAAGTTAAATTCAGCCCATAAGAAAAAATATTGCCTTCTTTCTCCAACTTTTATTGTTAATATATACTTATTCACTTTTAATAGGTATTCATTAAATTTTCTATTCTCTACAGGAAGGAAAAAATGTTTATTGAGTTTCTCATAGACACCAGACCAGTTGTTATTATCAACTTCATCAAAGATCCATTGGTTGTAGACGTGTAGCATTCTTTCTGGATTACCTATTCTGTTCTATTTGTCTATGTATCTGTTTTGTACCAATACCAAGCTGTTTGGGTACTGTAGCCTTGTGCTGTACTTTGAAGTCAGGTGAGGTGATGCTTCCAGCTTTGTTATTTTTGCTTATTATTGCTTTCATGATTTATACTCTGTTTTGGTTCCATGTGAATTTTAGAATAGTTTTTTTTCTAATTCTGTGAAAAATAACATTGGTAGTTTGATAGAAATAGCATTGAATGTGTACGTTGTTTTGGGCATTATGGCCATTTTACTGATATCAATTCTTCCTATCCATGAGAATAGAATGTTTTCCATTTGTTTGTGCCATCTTTGATTTTTTTCAGCAATGTTTTTTAATTCTCCAAGATAACATATATCCAAATGTAAGTAGAAAGTGCAAGGGTAGAGATTAAGTATCTCCCAAGTGAGATATAAAATTGTATAACGTAAAAATTTATAAGTTTTTAAATGAATGACTCATGGATTTATCTCTAAATCTTCTGACAAAAGAAATGGGAAAGCTGCAATCACACAACACACATAGTCCAAAAAATAGAAGATGAAGAAAAAGGAGAAGGAAGGGAAGGAGAAGAAAAAAGAGAAGGGATAGGAGGAATAAGGAAAACTAATATGAAACCATATCTTAACATAAACAATATTCTCAGCAACACTATTACAGGAGACATAGTAAATAATTTTACACACTTTGTTTCCTTTATTTAATTTTGTTTGTTACCTAATAACCCATAATAAAGTCTGACAGTATTATAGCAAAGAAAAGCTCATTTAAAGCATGTATAGTGTGTTTAAAAACACATTTTATGTCTTCTAGAATAAATATAACTGTGGAATATATGTAGCTCTTTCTAACAATTCTCTTTAAGTTGTGTTTAGTACTTTTTGAGAAATAAAGAATTCAAAGCCTGGTAATTCCATTATCTAATGAGAGCTGAGGATATATTTTCATTGTTGCCACTAGAATACTAATTTATACATTTAATGGACAAAAAACCTGGAGTTGCTAGTTATTGACCTCTTAAATCTAAGGAAATAACATACATCAAATACCTAAAAAAAGACCAATTGATCTTTTGGATGGATGGTTGTCATTTTGTCTAATAATAATTGCATGATACATGAGTCTGTATAGTAATAGAATCATGATGTGTATTAGAACAAATTTCCTGAACTGGTTCAAATACATGTTGAGTTTTACAAGTTAAATAGAAATTAGACCATTAGGCTTCAGATAAGCATTTTGAGGAGAAAAGAAAAGAACACGGTATAAACAAAGGTGTGGATGGAATCAAGAAGAAAAACAAAAACTGGTGAGTGGAGATAAACATAAACACTAGGTTAAAGTGCAAAGTACAAGCAATGGAGTAACAAGAAGAGAATAGAGAATTAGGTTTGGCCAAGACCACGTATAAATGCAAATGTGTGAAAGGCAGCATTGTATAATGTTCAACAGCATAGATTTTAGAGTCAGACTCTTTGGGTTTGAATACTGGCTCAAACACTTACTGACTGTGACCTTGATCAAATTGCTTAACTTATCTGTGCTTATGGTATTTAAGCCATCAAAAACTACCTGCCATTCTCTCTCAGCACCTGCCCCCTCACCCTACAGCTCAGCATGACAGAAGCTATGCTCCAGGCAGGCGGACCTAAAAACACAGGACTCGCTATTCCTCAAATCCCAATTCCTATTCTATGATTATTATAACTCCTTAGGAGGAGAAGACCATCAGAATATTTCACTCACACACACACATACACACACACTCATGATACAGAAGTTCCACCACAAGCAAGAATAGCTTTGAGGTCTGGAGCTCCTTACAATCACCCAGCACCCACTTAGAAGCTCTACCCCAGTCATGACAGAGCAAGAATACTAGACCTCAATTTCCTGCACCCCAGCTTTCTCATAAGGCAGAGGTTCTACAACAAGGGAGGCAAACAAAGAAGATGAAAAGCCACTGCCGCATCCATTGACCCCCATAAAGCAAGTGTGTTACTTCATGATAAGCATGTCACTTTCCCTACACCCATATCCACAGCAGTGACAGGGTTTTGTCAAGTGGAAGAGGCAAGCTATAAAAACAGAGGGCTCTTCTTATAAGAACTAAACTTATTTGTAGCAATCATGGGGAATTTAAAGTTGCCATGGTTAATTTTAGTTGTCAACATGACTGGATTAAGGTCTACTTAGAAACTAGAAACCTGGTAAAGTATTATTTTTCGGTGTGTCTGTGGGTGTTATGAGATTGGCATGTGAGTCTCAGTGGACTAGGTGTAGAAGATCTGCCTTCAATGTGGATAGTCACCATCCAGTCTGCTGGGGGCCCAGAGAGAATAAAATCAAAATAGCAAAAATGCCAATTTATCTACTAGAGCTGGGATTCACTTTTCCTATCCTGTCCTTGGATAAGAATTCCAGGCTCCTCAGTCTTTGGACTTCAGGACTTAAACCAGCAGCATCCCAAGTTCTCAGACCTTTGACTTCAGACTGATAGTTATACTATTAGCTTCTCTGGTTCTGAGACCTTCAGGCTTGAACTGAGCCATGCTACTAACACCCCAGGGTCTCCAGTTAGCAGACAGCTTGTCATGGGACTTCCCAGCATCTATAATCACATGAGCAAATCCACTAATAAGCATGCTCTCACGTATCTATATCTGTCTGTCTGTCTATCTATCCTTTTGGTTCTGTCTGGAAACCTTGACTAATACACAAGCTTAATTGAGATGTCAAAACAGTGGGTATAAACTCCAGATAGGAAAAACAGAAAGAGATCATTCTCCACAATGCACCATATACAAATGTTGAAAGTCAAAAGGAAAACCTTAAATCTTTAAATCAAAAGAAAATAATGTGTTATGTTCAAGGTAGCCACAAGAAGATTAACAGGTGACCACTCAAAGATGACAAGACAAAGAGAAACATGTTCAGAATACTGAAAGAAACAACCAAGAATTTTATATCAAACAAAACTAACTTCCAAAATGAAGGCAAAATGAAGATATCCTGAGGTAAACCAAAGCTGAGATTACTTGTTACAAGATAACCTGCTTCACAAGAAATATTAAAGAATGTTCTTTAGGCTCAGGGCAAGTATTTGAATCCATATGAAACAAAAAGTGGTAAAGATAATTATGTAGGTAATTATAAACAATGTAATTGCATGTTTGTTTTTCTTCTCTTAATTGACTCAAAATCACCTCTATATACATATACAGGGAAAGAGAAAGAACGCTCTGTTCTATTATATACACTAATGTGATATAACATATTTGGCAATAAAAGCATAATGGAGGCAGGTGCAAACAAAGCTATATTAAGTTATACTGGACAAGAAATGACAACTTCAATCTCTAGCACCATATGAAAAGTAACAGAAATAGTAAACAAGAATGGAAATATAGTAAACACTATAAATACAATCTTTTCTTTGCTACACTTCTTTAAAAGGCTTTTTAACTTTTGATAAACTTATTATTATTATCGAAAATTTATATAAGTACATTCTGTGGCATGTAAGATATAGATATATGTATAACAATAATAGCACAAAATGAAAAATATAAATAGAGCTATATAGGAGTAATATTTCTATATTTCAGTGGAATTTAGTATAAATCTAAAGTAGATTCTGGTAAGTTAAAATGCACAGTGTAAGCACTCTAAAAAGCACTATGACAATGACTCCAAAAGTCATTAAATTAAATTAAATTACATCAAAGTAATTAAAATTTTATACTAGAAAATATCCAAGTAACGCATAAGAAATAGTAAAGAAGGATAAAAAGAATAAAAAGATGAAGATACGTGGAAAACAAAACTAAAATGGCAGACGTAAATTCAACTACATTAATAATAATATTAAATATGAATGGATGGAGAAATCCATTTAAATATCAGAGACTATTAAAAAGAACATCTTAAATCTTTAAATCAAAAGAAAATAATGTGTTATGTACAAAGTAACCACAACACGATTAACAGGTGAGTACTGTTAATCTTGACTACATTTATTAAAAATTCAAGGTTCAACTATATGCTACAATGTCTTTGCAGAAGACATCTTTATTTTTATGTGGCTTAATAAAACTCTACATCACTGAAGGTTTAATTTCACATAATTTTTACATGTCATAAAATATCAATTCTTCTTTTACTTTTTTCTTCAATATTTAAAAAATATAAAAACAAGCAGTGAGTCAGATTTGGCTTGTGGGCCACAGTTTGCCAACCCCTCATTTTTGATGCCAGAAATTTTATTTATTTATTTCCAATAGACAAATAATAATTGTGTATATTTATGGGGCACAAGGTGATGTTCTGATTTACGTGCACATTCTAGAAAAACTAAGTCATGCTAATCAACATATCTATTGCCTCAACTTATTTTTTGTGTATGTGGTGAGAACATTAAACATCAATTTCTTCAGCAATTTTGAAATATAAAGGACATTATTATTTACTGTGGCCAGTATGCAGTGCAATAGATCACTGAAATCTATTCCTCTAGTCTAACTGAGACTTTGTACCCTTTGATCAATATCTTATCTTTCTCTTACATCTCCTCCTCTCCCCCATCCTCTGGTAAATAATTTTCTACTCTCTGTTTCTATGATATTAACATTTTTAGATTCTACATATAATTGAGCTCTTACATTATTTATCTTTCTGTGCCTGACAGATACATGAAAAAAATGCTCAACATCTTTAATCAACAGGGAAATACACATAAAAACACAATGAAATAGCATCTCACACCTGTTAGAATTGTTATTAACTAAAAGACAAGTGATAACAAGTGTTGGTGAGGATGTAGAGAAAAATAAAGCCTTGCACATTATTGGTGGGAATATAAATTAGTACAGTCATTTTGAAAAATAGTATGGAGGTTCCTCAAAAAATAAAAATAGAATTACCATATGATCTAACAATCCCACTTTTGGGTATGGCCAAAGGAACTGAAATTGTTCTTTCAAAAAGATATCAGCATTCCCATATTCATTTCAGCATTATTCACAATAGCCAACACATAGAAGCATACTCAGTGTCCATCACTGAATGAATGGATAAGGAAAAAGTGGTATATATACACAATTGAATACTATACAGCCTTTAAAAGAAAGAAATTCTGTCATTGTTGACAATATGAATAAAATCAGAGATGTACTTTAGATTTAAAAATACAAAGAGTTTAGAAGTTAAAGTATGGTAAAATATATTTTACATAAGCAACATCAAGAACACTGGAGTTGATATACCATTATCAAACAAAACATGCTTTAAAGCAAAAAATGTGAAGATGGCCAAATAGGAACAGCTCCGGTCTGCAGCTCCCAGTGTGATCAATGCAGAAGACAGGTGATTTCTGCATTTCCAACTGAGGTCTTAGCAACTGGCAGACAAGGTGATTCTCTCCTGAGCCTGGCTCTGTGGCTCCCATGCCCATGGAGCTTTGCTCACTGCTAGCGCAGCAGTCTGAGATCTATCTGTGAGATGGCAACCTGGCTGGGGGAGAGGTGTCCACATTGCTGAGGCTTGAGTAGGTAAACAAAGCGGCCGGGAAGCTGGAACTGGGTGGAGTACACCGCAGCTCAGCAAGGCCTGTTGCCTCTAGACTCCACCTCTGTGGGCAGGGCATAGCTGAACAAAAGGCAGCAGACAACTTCTGCAGACTTAAAAGTCCCTGTCTGACAGCTCTGAAGAGAGCAGTGATTCTCCCAGCATGACATTTGAGCTCTGAAAACGGACAGACTGCCTCCTCAAGTGGGTCCCTGACCCCCTTGTAGCCTAACTGGGAGACACCTCCCAGTAGGGGCCGACAGACACCTCATATAGGCGGCTGCCCCTCTGGGACAAAGCTTCCAGAGGAAGGATCAGGCAGCAATATTTGCTGTTCTGCCATATTTGCTGTTCTGAAGCCTCTGCTGGTGATACCCAGGCAAACAGGGTCTGGAGTGGAACTCCAGCAAACTCCAGCAGACCTGCAGCTGAGGGACCTGATTGTTAGAAGGAAAACTAACAGAAAGGAATAGCATAAACATCAACACAAAGCTCATCTACACCAAAACCCCATCTGCAGGTCACCAACATCAAAAACCAAAGGTAGATAAAACCACAAAGATGAGGAGAAACCCGAGCAGAAAAGCTGAAAATTCTAAAATTCAGAGCACCTCTTCTCCTCCAAAGGATCTCAGCTCCTCGCCAGCAACAGAACAAAGCTGGATGGAGAATGACTTTGATGAGTTGACAGAAGTAGGCTTCAGAAGTTCGGTAATAACAAAATTCTCCAAGCTAAAGGAGGATGTTCAAACCCATTGCAAGGAAGCTAAAAACCTTGAAAAAAGATTAGACAAATGGCTAACTAGAATAAACAGTGTAGAGAAGATCTTAAATTACCTGATGGAGATGAAAATCATGGCACAAGAACTTCGTGACGCATGCACAAGCTTCCATAGCCAATTCGATCAAGTGGAAGAAAGGGTATCAGTGATTGAAGATCCAATTAATGAAATAAAGCAAGAAAACAAGGTTAGACAAAAAAGAGTAAAAAGAAAAGAACAAAGCCTCCAAGCAATATGGGACTATGTGAAAAGACCAAATCTACATTTGACTGGTGTACCTGAAAGTGATGGGGAGAATGGAACCAAGTTGGAAAACACTCTTCAGGATATTATCCAGGAGAACTTCCTGAACATAGCAAGGCAGGCCAACATTCAAATTCAGGAAATACAAAGAACAGCACAAAGATATTCCTCGAGAACAGCAACCCCAAGACACATAATTGTCAGATTCGCCAAGGTTGAAATGAAGGAAAAAGTGTTAAGGGCAGCCAGAAAGAAGGGTTGAGTTACCCACAAAGGGAAGCCAATCAGACTAACAGCAGATCTCTCAGCAAAAACCCTACAAGCCAGAAGAGAGTGGGGACCAATATTCAACATTCTTAAAGAAAAGAATTTTCAACCCAGAATTTCATATCCAGCCAAACTAAGCTTCATAAGTGAAGGAGAAATAAAATTCTTCACAAACAAGCAAATGCTGAGAGATTTTGTCACCACCAGGCCTGCCTTACAAGAGCTTGTGAAGGAAGCACTAAACATGGAAAGAAACAATTAGTACCAGCCACTGCAAAAAATTGCCAAATTATAAAGACTATTGATGCTATGAAGAAACTGCATCAATTAATGGGCAAAATAACCAGAGAACATCATAATGACAGGATCAAATTCACACATAACAATATTAACCTTAAATGTAAATGGGCTAAATGCCCCAATTAAAAGACAGACACAGACTTGCAAATTGGATAAAGAGTCAAGACCCATCAGTGTGCTGTATTCAGGAGACCCATCTCACATACAAGGATGCACATAGGCTCAAAATAAAGGGATGGAGGAAGATCTACCAAGCAAATGGAAAGCACAAAAAGCAGGGGATGCAATCCTTGTTTCTGATAAAACAGACTTTAAACCAACAAAGATCAAAAGAGACAAAGAAGGCCATTACATAATGGTAAAGGGATGAATTCAACAAGAAGAGCTAACTATTCTAAATATATATGCACCCAATACAGGAGCACCCAGATTCATAAAGCAAGTCCTTAGAGACCTGCAAAGAGACTTAGACTCCCACACAAGAATAATGGGAGACTTTAACACCCCACTGTCAACATTAGACAGATCAACAAGACAGAAAGTTAACAAGCGTATCCAGGAATTGATCTCAGCTCTGCACCGAGCAGACCTAATAGACATCTACAGAACTCTCTACCCCAAATCAACAGAATATACATTCTTCTCAGCACCACGTCACACTTATTCCAAAATTGACCACATAGTTGGAAGTGAAGCACTCCTCAGCAAATATAAAAGAAAAGAAATTATAACAAACTGTCTCTCAGACCACAGTGCAATCAAACTAGAACTCAGGTTTAAGAAACTCACTGAAAACCGCCCAAGTACATGGAAACTGAACAACCTGCTCCTGAAGTTAGAAATACACAATTCAAAATCATTAGCTGGAGATGCTAACACTTCACTTTTAGTTAACGGATAGAGCAAGTCGCAAGTAGGTTACTAATCAACAGGAGAAAAGAAGACTAAAATGACAATGTAAACCAAATAGCCATGAGAAATATCTATAAAACAATCTACTACACAGCAACAGTACATGCGTTCTTTCCCAGTGCATACTGAACACTTCTAGAATAGACCATATCTAGGATAGACCATAAGACAAGCCTGAATAAATTTAAGAGTATTGGAATAAAGCATGTTTGTCAACCACAGTGGTATGAACTTAGAAATTAATAACAAAGAAATTTTAGAAGTTCATACATATGTAAAAATTAAACAATATACTCAATGAATAGTTCAAATAATAAATCAAATGGAAAATTGCTAGAGAAACAATATTATGATGAATTAAAATGAAAATTGTAACAAACCAAAATTTATGTATGGGGCTAAAGCAGTGCATAAAGAAAAATTTGTAGCTGTAAACATCTAAACTAATGAAAAAAAAAAAGATCTCAAATCAATAACTTAATCTTGCACCTTAAAATGCTGGACAAAAAAAGCAAACAAAACATAGAGCATTCAAAGGAAAGAAATACTAAGTTAGGTATTTATCTTAAAGTTAAGGAAATAAAACAGAATAGAAAATCAATGAAACTCGAAGTTAGTTATTTAAAAAGATCAATAGAATTGACAATCTATTAGCTACATTTACTAAGAAGAAAGAGAAGTCTTAACTTTCTAAAGTCAAAAATGAAATGGAACATCACTACCACCTTAAGGAATAAAAAGCATTACTAGGGACAACTATGAACAAGTATGTAGTTATAAAATTAGGTAACCTAGATTAAATAAGCGATACTCTTAAAAGAAATGAACTTCTGAAATTTTCTCAAGGAGAATTTAAAATCTGCCCAGACCTGTACAAATAGAGAGATTGAATTTAAAAGCCATCCGATAAAGTAGAGTCCAAGCCCAAATGGCTTCACTAGAGAATTCTACCTAATATTAAATTAAGAATTAATGTCAATTATTGATAAACTCTTTCAAAAATAGAAGAGAATACACAACCAACTCATCCTATGAAGCAAGTAATACCCTGATATGGAAACTAGATAAAAACATAACAAGGCACTATAGAACATATCTCCTATGAATATATGTACAAATAATCCTCAACAAAACATAAGCAAATCAATTCCAGCAAACATAAAAGATGATTATAAACTATGACTACTGAGATTTATCCCAGAAATGTAAGATTGGTTCAACATGTAAAAATATATTAATATAATACATTATATCAATAGAATAAAGGTTAGAAACCACAGTCATATTATTCGATGTAGAAAAAGAATTTGAAAAAAAAATCTAGCTTGGTGTAGTGGCTTATGCATGTCATTAATCCCAGTGCTTTGGGAGGCCAAAGTGGGAGGATCACTTGAGTCCAGGAATTTGAGACCAGCCTGGCAACATGGTGAGACCTCTTCTCTGCAAAAAATTTTAAAAACTAGCTAGATATGGTGGTATGCTCTTCTAGTCCTAGCTATCTGGGATGCTGAGGCAATAGGATAACTTCAGCACCCAGGAATTTCAGGTTACAGTGAGCTATGATTGTGCCACTGCATTCCACCCTGGGTGACAGTGTGCGACGTAGTGTCAAAAAAAAAAAAAAATCCAAAACACTAAATGAACTTGAACTATAAAGAGATTTCCTCAACCTTATAAAGGACATGTATGAAAACCCTACAGCTAACATTCTACCTAACCATGAAATGCAAAATACTTTCTCATTAGGATCAGGAAAAATATATAGATCTATGTTCTTCACAGTTCTGTTTAATATTGTCGTGAGAAGCGCTAGGCAGATCAATTAGGGCAGAAAAATAAATTTAAAACACCTAGATTGGAAAGAAGGAAAGAAAGCTATCAATATTCCAGATGACATAATCTTAGGCATAAAAAACAGAGTCTACTTTAAAAACTATACGATTAATAAATGAGTTCAGCAAGGTTGCAGGATACAAAATCAATATCTAAAAATAAATTATATCCCACACAATAGCAATAAACAATCTAAAAGTGATATTTTAAAAAAATCTCATTAGCAGTGCAATGAAAAATAATAAAACTTGAATTAAAAATAAATTTAGAAATTAACAAAAGAAGTATAAGACACTGAAAACTAATACACATACACACACACGCACACTTTGGTGTGAAATAATTGAAATAAAGAAGACTTAAGTAAATGAAAAGCCATCTTATGTTAATCACATTATTGGATTGCAAGACATTATTATTAAGATGGCAAAAATCCTGAAATTGATGTAACTTCAATGCAATTTTCATCAAAATCCCAAATACTTTCCTTGCAGAATTTATCAAGCTGATCCTATAACTTATATGCAAATTCAGGGGACCCAGAATAGCCAAACCAACTTTTAAAAGAACAAAATTGAAGAAGCCACAATTGCCAATTTCAAAATTCACCACAAAGTTACAGTAATTAAGACAGAGTGGTATTGGCACAAGGGTAGTTATAAAGATCAATGGAAAAGAACTGGAAGTTCAGAAACAATGCTTAACATTTATAGACCATTACTTCTTGATTAGGTGCTAGGAAAATTCGATAGGACACAATAGTCTTTTCTACTAACCATTCTGAGACAATCGGACAGTCTCATGCAAAAGAATGAAGTTGGGCCTCATCCCATACACAAAATTAAATAAAGGTAGATCATAGACCTAACTATAAGAACTAAAACTCTATAAAATTCTTAGAAGAAAATATGAGAATAAATCTTCATGACCTTAGCTTGGGTAAAGGCTAAGACACTAAAGTACAACCAACTAACAAAAAATAGATTAATTAGACTTCACTAAAATTAACTTTTTGCCTCAGAAGTTTTACCATTAGAAACAAAACATATATCATAAGGAAAGCTAAAAGATAATCTCAGGAGAAATATTTGCAAATACTATATTTGATGAGAGAATTATATCTGGAATATGCAAAGAGCGCTTATAATTCAATCATAAAATACAAACAATTTAGAAAGTAGGCAAAGGATCTGTAAACATTTATCTATGGAATATGTTAATGCAGATGTCCATTAAAAACAGGAAAAGATGCTCAATGTCAGCAACAGTAAAATGCAAATGAAAACCACATGAGATACTATTTCACTTTTATTATGATAACTAAGATAAAACAGACATAGTAAGTATTGGCAAGAATGAGGAGAAACTGCAATCCTCAGACACTGGTGGTGGGAATGTAAAATGGTGAGGCTGCTTTGGAAAACATTCTGGATGTTCCTCAAATGGTTAAATATAGACTTAGCATATGATACATCAATTTCACTCCTCGGTGCATACCCCAAAGAAATAAAAACATATGTCCACACAAAACTTGTACACATAATTTCATAACAGCACTATGTATAATAGCAAATCATGGAAACACCTCAAATGTCAAAAGAGAACTAATATATCCATATGATGGACTATCATCCAAGCTAAAAATGGAGTAAAGCGTTGATACATACTACAATATAGGTGGACCTTGAAAACATTATGCTAGAAGCATTCAAACAAGCAGTCACAGAAAATGACATACTGTGATTCCATCTTTACTATATGTCTGGAATAGGTAAATCTATAAAACAGAAAGTAAATTTGTAGCTGTCTAGGGCTGAGGGGTTTGGAGGGGAATGGAGAATAACTGTTAATGGGTACAGGTTTTATTTTGAGAATGATGAAAATATTTTAAAATTGATTTTGCTAACAGTTGTATACATTTATAAATAAAATAAAAATGACCAAATTGTGTGATACATAAATTTTAATTTGACAATGCTGTAAAATATTTGATAATCTTATTAATAAGTTCATGCCAATAAATTTTAAGACAAATGAAATAGACAAATTCCTTAAAAGACACAAATATCACTCAAGAAGAAATAGGCATAGCCCTATATCAATAAAATAAAATAAAATTGAATACAAGGTTTAAAAGCTTCCAAGTAAGAAAACCACATGCCCAGCTTGCTCCACTGTTGAATTATACCAAAAATATAAGGAAGAATTAGTATCAAATCTATTCAAAATCTTTCAGAAAACGGAAGAGAAGGGAATACTGCCACAATCTCCTCCTGTGAGGCGGAAGAAAAATTATTCTTATATAAAAAACACTTCCTGGAACCCATCAGTTACTCATTTACACATTATTTCACTAAGAATTTTTTTTTAGTATCAACTATACTCCAGCCACTATAGAATGTGCTAGATATACAAGAGGTAATACATTGTTAATTATACAGTTTGATTGAGCGTCATGTACTATAAAGAGCCAAGTAAACAGGTAAATATAACACTGTTATAAATGCTTAGAAATTCACTATCCACAGCCCTCTGGGAGAAAATATTAAATAAATATTTCCAGAATATGTATGGTAGAGTGCAGGAAAGACTTTCCAGATGAAGTGATACCTAACTGTAATTGTTGTATTTCACTTTACCAGTTTGTTGTATAAGCAATGTTACTATAATGTTTAATCAACACATATTAACAACTGTAAATGCCAATATTGGCAGAAAGGACCATTTCTTCCTTCTGGAAGTTATCTATTTATAGCAATTCAAAACTCTGAAAGAGCACATGTAGTAGAGGAAGAATTCCTGAAGAGAGAAACGGTAGAGGTGAGAACTCATACTCTAAAATCATATAGATTTAAACTATTGTAGTAGAGTATCAGACAAGTTATTCAAGCTTACTGTTTCTAACTATTCTGCCTCCAATGGTTCTTGAGAAACTTAAGCAATTTAGTTTATTTGAAGTATTTAGAATACTACCAGGAACACTGCAAATGTTCTAGCGTAATCTATTATTTTTATTACATCGTCAGCAAAGGAAACTAAAAGATTGTAAGGATCTTATTTTCTAAGACTTTTGCTGCTCTGGCAATTATGTTTTAGAAAACTAGAGGTTCAACAGTGTGATACATAGATGTCACTTTATCCCAGTACTTTTAAGTATGGGTTGGCCTCTCAAACCCAAGAGTCCAGCCATCTAGTGGCAGACACTATAAACCTCCAGCAGCAAGCACTGCAATAAACATGGTACACCAATGTCATTGATACCAAGCAGTTTGGCCCTTCTATACCAAGTTCTATCTTATGATATAAGCCTCACATTGTCATGCCTCACCATCTTTAGCCTCTAGCCATCACTCTCATGACCTGGATGAGTTTTACTTAGCTCCAAATGTAATCATGCTAAAGTCATCTAGGCGTCTGTGATAGGCAAAATAATGACCTCCACAAAGCTGATTATGTTATTATCCACAGAAACTGCAAACATGTTAACTTGCATGGCAAAGGAGAATTAGCGTTGTAGATATAATTAAAATGTAATTCAGATGACCTTTAAGTGAAGAGATCATCTTGGATTATGTGGATGGGCCCAATGTAAGTTTGAGAGTCATTAATAGTGAAAGAGGGAGGCAAATGGATTCAACCTGATGTTACTAGATTTGAAGATGGAAGAATAGAGCCATGCACCAAGGAGTGGGGGCAGTCTTTAGAAACTGGAAAAGGGAAGGAAATAGATTCTTTCCTAGAATTTCCAGAACAAATTCAGCCCTTGTTGACACTGTGATTTGAGACTCATTTTGGACTTTTGACCTCCAGAACTACAACACAAATAAATTTCTATTGTTTTAAGCCACTCTGTTTATGGGAGTTTGTAATGGCAGCAATAAGAAACTAATATAAGTTCTCAACATTACAGATTTTTGTTGATAAAGTTCTTGACTTTTACAAATATAGCCATGATTTCCATAGTGCCTGGGTAGCTGAATACAAGTGCTCTTTTTCACTTGTTTGAAAAATTTTCTTGTAATTATTTGTTGAGATAATTTCTCTTCATAGCTGCATAGTAGTATTTCTATGGAATAATCATCACTATTTATTGATTGTATTTTCTATCAATAAAGCTGAGAGTCAAATCAAGAAGGCAATCTATTTACAATAAAAAAATCACTATTTAATAGTATAGTCCAGAGTATTTAGGCAGTTCCCAATATATCACTATTTATATATTATTATAGAGAACATTCTTACATGTAAACTGATATGGAAGTTCTGATAATTTCCTTAGAGCAAATGCCTAAAACTGTTAATAGTTGGGTTCAAAAAAGAAATGTGCCTTTTAAAGTTTTTCATGTCATGCCCATATTAACACTACCATGATCAGAGTAAGAGTGCCAACATTTATATATTCTTTATAAAATAGCTGTTTTTCCTTTTTTCCTTTTTGGCCAATTGTATAATCAGTAAACAATTGGTAATCACTGCTTTATTCTATATGTATTGGATTATTAATAATAGAAACTTAATATAAAATGAAAACTGATTTATTTATATTTATTTAAATGTTTGTTTACTTTTCTTAAATAGAAAATGGCCAGTCTCATATTTGTAGAGTCCTCGTTGCATTCATGACACTATGTTCATGTTAAATAAAGCTAACGACAAGTCCCTGCCTTCATAAAGTTTATAATCTCAATGTTAATCACAAACTAGCTATCATTAATGAACTTCCAGAGGAAACTCAGCCCTACTGACACCTTGATTTGAGACTCATTTTGGACTTTTGACATCCAGGACTATAACACAAATGCACTTCTGCTAGGGGATATAATAAAGTTCATTATACATATTTTCTTATCAAGACCTTTTAGTAATTTCACAGGAAAGTCATTATTGCCTATTTTATGAATGACAAAATAAAGATTCAGGGAGCTTAATAAATACGTTTTAGACCATTTGGCTGATATGTGTAGTACTGTCCTAGGGGATGAAAACCTCTTAATGGAGTAAAATTGATGTAACTAGACTTTACTATAAGTTTAATGCTGGCTGGTGGTATAGTACAATGCAGTAGATGGTTGTTTGGGCACATTTAACTCATATTTGATTATTTTCAAACTCTATGTCATTTTCTATGTCACTTTTTCTCCTAAGTCTCATTTTTTTCTCTAAAAAAATGAAGAAAATAATGCCTACATTACAGTTCTTTGTATAACTTTTGAAAATGGTGCTATTGCTCTAATTGTTCTACTGAACAAGAAGCTAAGGAAGAGCATAAGTCATAGCTACACTGCTAAAGTTTTATCCACTGTGCCTAAGATACTACCTGTCAAACAGTAAACACCCTGAATATTTGTTCTAATTTCTGTGGGTTTTGATTATTACTCTGTATTAGAATATTCTCCTAACTATCCACTGAAATTATTTATATATATGCTTTTATTTTATCCCTCATATAATTCAGTTTACTTTTAATAGGTATAAACATTTTCCAGCCTCAATTATGAATCATAATCTAGAGAAAAACAAATTGTGGAAATTGTGTACTAATAGTTAATTCATGATGGCCCATGTTACTTCCACTTTTTTAAAAAAAGGTTATTTACTTATCTGTGATTCCTTGAAAAATGTCATAAAGCTCTCTCTGTGTGGTCATTTGACCTACTAAAAATATGGGCACAGTTAAACTAATGAAAATAAATGTCATTTGTGATAATGAATCACAAGTCAATGAACATCTTCCCTTTTTTCTTATTTTCTCTCAGATTTATTTGGCTGCAAATATATACTGGTTGGCCCAGCAATTATTATAAAACCTCTTTATTCTTGGCCTGTCTCTATCCTAATGCTAAAAAAGCTGAAACTGATGTTTTAGCATTTTCAAATGTAAGGTTGTCTGTGTGACATAGTTTTGCACAAGGAGGAATTTCAGTGGGAAGGCTATTACTTCCCTGACAAAGTACACAGGTACTGCTGGAGGTGTCCTTGATTTTTTGGCACTTTTTTTTTTTTTGCCAAGTCAAATGTTCACAGGTTGTGGAGATTAAAATATGAACATCTTCGGTGGGTCATTATTTAGCCCATTACTCCTACTATCATTGCTATTTTTTCTGAATACGCTTCCTAATTTCTAAGCCAAAAAAATGTAGATTGAGAAAAACAATATATACAATTTTAATATGTGCTGAATTTAAAATTTATCTTCATTTGTATGAGAAAATATAATAAAAACAATATATAATCTACTTTTTACCAACTTTGATATTTAAAAAACACAAGACAAATTTTGCCAGAGAGAAATTTGTCTTTATGGATGCACCAATATTTTGTTTATATAAAAACCATAGGACCAGTTCAATAAACACCAAAAAAGCACTTGATAAAATTCAATACCTTTTCATAATTAAAAACTCTCAATAAACTGGAAATAAAAGGAAGATACCTCAATACAATAAAGGCCATATATGACTAATTCACAGCTAATACAAGACTGAATGAAGGAAGACTGAAAGCCTTTCTTCTAAGCTATGGAACAAAACAAAGATGCTCACTTTTCACCACTCTCATTCAACATAGTACTGGAAGTCCTACTCAGAACAATTAGATGAGAAGAAGAAATAAGGGCATTTAAATGGGAAAGAAAAATGTTAAATTATCCTTGTTTACAGACAATATAATCTTACATCTAGCAAATCCTTTAAAAGTCCATCAAAAACCTATTAGAACTGATGAATGAATTCAGTAAAGTTGCAGGATATAAAATCAACTTACAAAAATCAGTAGCATTTATATATGCTGACAGTAAACAATGTAAAAAAGAACCCAAGAAAGCAATCCCATTTATCATAGCTACAACAAAAAATAAAATACCTAAAAATAAGTTTAACCAAAGAAGTGAAAGATCTCTACAATTAAAACTATAAAATATTAATGAAAAACATTGAGGAGGACACAAAAATGGAATTATATTGCATGTTCATGAATTATAAGACTCACTATCACTAAAATGTCCATACTATCCAAAGAAATCTACATATCCAAAGTAGTATCTATCAAAATATCAATGATATTCTTCACATAAATAGAAAAAATAATCCTAAAATCTACATGAAACAACAAAGACCCCAATAGTCAAAGTAATTCTGAGCAAAAAGAACAAAGCTGGAGTCATCACATTACTTGATTTCAAATTATACTACAAAGCTACAGTGATCAAAACAGCATGGTACTAGCATAAACACAAGTGCATAGATCAATGGAACAGAATAGAGAACCCAGAAAAATTTAGTAATTTACAATCAACTCATTTTTGACAAAAATACCAAGAGCATACATCAGGGAAAGGATAGTCTTTTCAACAAATAATATTGAAAAAACTGGATATCCATATGCAGAAGAATAAAATCAGACTTCTCTCTCTTATATATAAAAATGAAATCAAAATGGATTAAACTCCTACATGCAAGACTTGAAAGTATGAAATTATTAGAAGGAAGCATTTAGTGAATGCTTCAGGACATTGGTCTGGGCAAAGATTTCTCAATAGCACAGGCAACCAAAACAAAAATTAACAAATGGGATCCTCAATCCAAAAACCTACAGAACAGCACAAGAAACAATCAAAAAATGAATATACAACCTACAGAATGGGAGAATTTATGTATACTATTCAACTGACACTTGATTAACAACCAGGAGATATAGGACACGCCAATGAAGCAATAGCAAACAACAACAATGAAAAACCTATAACACAATTATAAAATGGTTAAACTATCTGAATAGACATTTCTCAGCAAAAGGCATGTGAATGGCTAATGAGTATATAAAACAATGTTCAACGTCACTAATCATGAGAGAAATGCAAATAAAAACCACAATGAGATATAATCTCACTCCAGGTAAAATGAATTTCATCAAAAAGACATAATAATGGATGCTGATGAGGATGTGGAGAAAGGAGAACCTTTGTACGCTGTTGGCTGGAATGAAAATTAGTATGGATGGCCGGGTATCGTGGCTCACACCTGTAATCCCAGCACTTTGGGAGGACAAGGCGGGTGAATCACGAGGTCAGGAGTTCGAGACCAGCTTGACCAACATGGTGAAACCCAGTCTCTACTAAAAATACAAAAAGTAGCCGGTATGGTGGCACACACGTGTAATCCCAGCAACTCAGGAGGCTGAGGTAGGAGAATCGCTTGAACCCGGGAGGCGGAGGTTGTGGTGAGCCGAGATCGCAGCACTGCACTCCAGCCTGAGCGACACAGCAAGACTGTCTCAAAAAAAAAAAAAAAAAGAAAAGAAAGAAAAGAAAAGAAAATTAGTACAGATGCTATGGAGAATAGTATGGAGGTTCCTTGAAAACCAGAAAATAAAACAACCGTATGATCCAGCAAACCCAGCGCTAAGTATATATCCAAAAAAATTAGTAAATTAAAGAGATATCTGCATTCCCATGCGTATTGTGGCACTCTTGACAATAGCCAAGATATGGAATCAACATAAGTATCCGTCAACAGATTAATGGATTAAGTATATGTGGCACATATACACAATAAAATATTATACAGCCAAGTCATTTTCAACAACACAGATGGAACTGGAGGACATTATCTTGAGTGAAATAAGCCAGACACGCAAAGAAGTATATCACATGTGCTCACTCATATGTGGGAGCTATAAAAAAAAGTTGATCTCATGGAGGTATATAGTAGAATGATGGGTTATGAGAGGCTGGGAAGGGTACTAGGAAGGAAGGGATCAAGAGGGGTTGTTTTATGAGTAACAAAATACAGTTAAATTGTTAGATAGTATAAATAAGTTTCAGTGTTTAGCAGCACAATATGGTGACTGTAGTGAACAATTTATATTATTTTTCAAAATCTAGGGGACTGAATTTGGAATGTTTCCAACATGAAGAAATAATAAATATTCGAAGTGATGGCTATCCCAACTACCCTGATTTTATTGTAACATATTGTATTCTTGTATCAAAATATCACATGTACTCCATAAATATGTACAACTATTACATGTCCATAAAAATGGTAAATAATTTTAACAAAAGGTAAATCTAAGCAAAAATAAATAACAGGTAAATCTAATCATCTCTCTTAAAAAAGTTTTGGAGAAATTAGGACTAAAAGAAAGTTTATTAAGAACCCTACATACAAAGAAATAAAAAATAAATATATTTCCTAATAATCAGCAGTGACCACTTTGAAAATATTGTGAAATTATATTCATTTTTATAAAAAGAAAGACACGAAAGCATTTAGACTTAATAAGTTTACTAAAAATGTTAAGGTCAAACAACTATCCAAAAAATAAAATTAACAAAACTCTTACTTAAATAAAACAAGTCACATATAAATGTAAATATTTTTAATGTTTCTTTATGGATTATCTATCTATCTGTCTCTCTGTTTCTCTCTTTCTCTCTCTCTCTCTCTCTCTCTCTCACTCTCTCTCTGTGAGACAGGGTCTTATTCTGTTGCCCAGGCTAAGTGCAGCGGTGTGATCATAGCTCACTGTAGCCTTGAACACCTGGGCACATACGATCCTCCCACCTAGGCCACCCAAGTGTTAGGATTACAGGTGTGAGCCACCACACTCAGTCATCAAATCTGATGTTGTAAATATTTTATTTCCTGCAAAAACAGTCTATGCATTCAAGATAATTCCAAATAAAATCTCAAAGAATTCCGATTGGTACTTAAAAAATAATTCTACCATTAGCTTAGAAAAAAATGCTCAAGAATAGTGTATTTAGAAAGTGAATAGTAATAAGGCAGAGGAGAAATTTAATATAAAATAAATGTATATTTAAAAATAAGTGGTATTTATTTTTATAATGTGGGTAAAAACAGACTATTTTACAAATGGTTATGGAACAAAGGGCTCTCCTTTTGGTAAACAAAATTATATCTCTATCTGAAAGCATTTATTGCATTCTAGACAGACTACAAACCTCCCCCCACATACACACACATATATATAGACACAACTATAACAATACTCAAGCAAATAGCTTAAGGCAGAATATTCCTTCCTAAAATAAAATTCAAAGTCATCAAAAGTAAAGTTTAAAATTTTGAGCATTACTTTTTTTTGTAACAAAATACAAAGTTAATACGCAAGTAAACACATGGAAAAATGTGTGATATATATTTTTACAACCTATGAAAAACTCCTACAAATATAAATTACAAGATAACTGCTTAACTGCATAAAGATCAGTAGCTAAATGCATAAAGGTTATAAAGCAGGTAATTTATTGTAAAAAGAAATACAAATGGGTCCCAAAAATAAGAAGTTCAACTTTACATTTACAAATAGTAGTGTTACAAATTTTAAAAAACGAGGTGATGATACTATTCACTTATCAAATTGGCAAAAAATATTTAAGTTCAATAATATCCAATGTTTAACTGGAAAAAATGGGTACCTCAAGGCACTATTGTTGAGAGTATAAAATAGCAGCCTTTCTAGATGGAAGCTTGACTGAAAATATTCCTACAAATTATGCATTATATCTGACCCATCAAATCAATGTAATATATATAATATATATACATATATAATATATGCCTATATACATATAATATATATATAATATATGCATATATGCATATATTATATATATGTACTACAATCTGCCATACAATTCTGTATACAAGAGTACTTATCTTAGCATTACTTGTAATCATGAAACAGTACAAATTATATAAATATCCAGCAACAAATGTGGTTAGAGTGAATCTTCATTTTTTATAAAGTCTGACTGCATAGCATACTCATCTATATATGATCACAATATTTTAAAACTGACATGAATTTCAGAAATCTTATAGAGAGAAGAAATTGAGACCTGAAGATACTTTCATTTTTGCCTAAAATTGCAGAGCAAGTTTATGCCTGAACTGAGAACTGGAAACTGCTCAACCCACGGAGCTACTTACTTTTTACTGCAAAACTCTAAAGACCATTTAAACAAAAGCTACAGGAAAGGCTTCTACTATCACCCTCAGTTTATTGATATGCTAATCTGTCATTAAATATTTTCTACTTTCTGTTTATTTTGTTTCCAATTTATTGGAAATCACTGCCAGGATTTGTACCCGGTAGCAGCAGAAGAAATAATAAACTAATGGTTTTGTTGCCTAAATATTAATTTTTAAATTAGTCATTCTGAACACCAAACATCAGCTTAATTCATGACATATTAGAAGTGTTAGAAGTTTGGTTAATTAACCCAATCACATTTATCCTGACCCTAAATTTATCAGCTATGGGGAGAGTAAGAATGTCAATACGCAACTTACATTGCTATTGTTTCCTACCATGTTCCTGACTTGTTGGCATGAGAGTTAATAAAAATATTCCATACTTTAGGTAACAGTCTCATGAGGCCTTAAACAAAGAATGAGTAATAACTTACACTTAATGAAATATATGGCTGAGAATAAAGTGAAACAGGCATTAAAACACATGGCCGGTAGGCACACAAATCGTTAAGTTTTCTGGAAAGCAATTTAAAAATTCTTACCAAGATTCTCAGAAGTGCTCAGAACTCCAACTCAGAATTCTGTGAATAATAGTTCAACCTAAGGAAAGAACAAGAAAAAAGACAAGGGTTTATGTATAAATATCTTCATCTCAAAATAATTTACAATAGAAGAAAATAAGCATGCAATAGCTGCAAAATAAGTATTCAATTTTAACTAAGTTGATAATAAAAAGAATAAAACAAGGAAATGAGATAAACTAGATAGAATTACACAAAAATATATGTGTATGTGTGGAAACATGTAAGAAAACATTACTATGATTTGTCATGTTAACACATTTTTGAATGGGAACAACCAAACTAAATGTTCAGTGTAGAAATACTTCAAAACAAAGATTCTGGGAACTTCTTTGTAACAAAACTTGAATTTTTTTTCTCAATGGTTTTGGGGATACAGGTGGTTTTTGGTTACATGCATAAGTTCTTTAGTGGTGATTTCTGGGATTTTGGTGCAACTGTTACCCAAGCAATGTACACTTTATCCGATATATAGTATTTTATTCTTCACCCACCTTTTAACCTTTCCCGGTGAGTCCTCTAAGTCCACTATATCATTCCTGTCCCTGTATGCCCTCACAGCTTAGCTCCCACTTATAAATGAGAACCTATGATATTTGGTTTTCCATTCCTGAGTTGCTTCACTTAAAATAATGGCCTCCAGCTTTATCCAAGTTGCTGCAAGAGACATTATTTTGTTCCTTTTTATGGCTGAATAGTATTCCATGGTGTATATATATATACCACATTTTCTTTATCCACTCATTGATTAATGGACACTTAAGTTGTATCCATATCTTCTCAAGTGCAAATTCTGCTCCTCTAAACATGTGTGTGTATGCATATTTTTCATATAATGACTTCTTTTCCTTTGGGTAGATAGCTAGTAGTGGAATTCCTGGGTCAAATGGTAGTTCTACTTTTATTTGTTTAAGGGAGCTCCAGACAGATTTAGTGGTTGCACTAGTTTACATTCCCACCAGCAGCATAAAAGTGTTCTCTTTTCACCAAATCCACGCCAACATCTATCTTTTATTATTATTATTATTACTATTGCCATTCTCGAAGGAGTAAGGTGGTATCTCATCATGGTTTTAATTTGCATTTCCCTGATGATTAGTGATATTGAACATTTTTTTCATGTCTGTTGGCTGTTTGTATATATCTGCTTTTGAAAAATGTCTACTCATGTCTTTTGCCCAATTTTTTAAAATTATACTTTAAGTTCTGGGATACATGTGCAGCAAGTGCAGGTTTGTTATATAGGTATACACGTTCCATAGTGGTTTGCTGCACCCATCATCTCATCATCTACATTAAGTATTTCTCATAAGGCTATCCCTCCCCTAGTCCCCCAACCCTGACAGGCCCTGGTGTGTGATATTCCCCTCCTGTGTCCATGTGTTCTCATTGTTCAACTCCCACTTATGAGTGAGAACATGTGGTGTTTGGTTTTCTGTTCCTGTGTTAGTTTGCTGAGAATGATGGTTTCCAGCTTTATGCATATCCCTGCAAAGGACACGAACTCATCCTTTTTAATGGCTGCATAATATTCCATGGTGTATATGTGCCACATTTTCTTTATCCAGTCCATCATTGATGGACATTTGGGTTGGTTCCAAGTCTTTGCTATTGTGAAAAGTCCTGCAATAAACATATGTGTGAATGTGTCTTTATAGCAGAATGATTTACGATCCTTTGGGTATATATCCAGCAATGGGATGGCTGGGTCAAATGATATTTCTGGTTCTAGATCCTTGAGGAATTGCCACACTGTCTTCCACAATAGTTGAACTAATTTACACTCCCACCAACAGTATAAAAACGTTTCTATTTCTCCATATCCTCTCCAGCATCTTTTGTTTCCTTATTTTTAATGATTGCCATTCTATCTGGCATCAGATGGTATCTCATTGTGGTTTTGATTTGCATTCTCTAATGGCCAGTGATGATGAGCTTTTGTTCATAGGTTTGTTGATCACATAAATGTCTTCTTTTGAGAAGTGTCTTTTCATATCCTTTTCCCACTTTTTGAATGGAGTTGTTTGTTTTTTTCTTGAAAATCTGTTTAAGTTCTTTGCAGATTCTGGATATTAGCCCTTTGTCAGATGGATAGATTGCAAAAATTTTCTCCCATTCTATAGGTTGCCTGTTCACTCTGATGACAGTTTCTTTTGCTGTGCAGCAAGAATAATTATTTCCATATAGGCCTTTTGGATTGTCTTTGATGGAACTCTGTTCCTCAAGGAATCTCAGATAAAAACCTTTTAAAGCCCAGCCATGGGCTTGTATCCTCGAATACCTGTGAGTTGGGTGATCCTTTTCTCTTAAGGTCCCAAGATGAACTTGGAACTCCTGGATCTGTTAGAGAGTGGCATTCTTTACTGACCACAGGTTAGGAACCCTGTGCAGGGACTGTGTTGACAAGGTATGAGGTCAGTTCTCCTGACAGGGTTTTTATTGGCTCTTCAAGTCAAGATTGACTCCTTAGAAGGCAGCATACCCTTCCAGTCAAAGCCTTGATAAAATAACAGTTTTTCCAATTGTGTCCTGTTGAAAAAGTGAAATGGATTCTTATTGCACTGATGCAAACAACTATATTGCCATAAGTTAAGAGTACTCACAGATAGTTACCAAATTCTAGAGGATCCAGGCAGAGAGAAACAAACGTGCTCCAAATTTTGTTCAGAGGAATACACATTGCTCAATTATTAAAGGCTGTAAAAAGTTCAAAATAAGTTTCCTTAACTCTGAAAAACAAAACGAGGATCAGAAATATTCCAAGCAAAAGTCCAAAAGTTTGCTTTAACTTTCTGAGTGCAGTCCATTTAGTTAACTCTTGTTTTGCTTGACTTTTATGAACATTTTAGTTCTTCATGAATCCTTTCCTTTTTTTTCTCTATTCCAATTTACAATCTTGAAAGCTATTGGAAACCTGCATTTGAGAACACCTGTTAAAGTCTTATAGCTTGATTATAACCCATCTGTTGAAAAGGAACAAAGGAAGACAACAATTGTCTGTGAGTGACACAATTTCCAAGGTAGTTACACTTAAAAACACAACTGACAAAGAAGTTTAGTTATCTCTGTGGTTTACAATAACTTTACCCTTAATTAGGATTGATAGCATATATTCAGACATTAGAATTTTAGAAATCCCATACAATTTTGGAACATATATTAGTATTACTCAACAAAATATAACTTAAAGAAGATTAGACATCATTTTGGCAATCTCATGCAACTGAAAATGTCAAACGATCTGGTTCACCTCTTTTCTGAATGTTTCAGGGGTCCTCTGAACCATCCAGAAAATCAGGCATTAGGAAAGACAGTTTTGAAACTTGACGCTTGAATTTGGGACACCTGTTAAATGTTAGAGGTTTAAAACACTTGATGTTATGAAATAGAATTTCAAATTGCCATAAATTATTTATTTTGCCAAAATGACTCAAAAGGCAAAAACCTTTTATTAGCCTTTACTATTACATGAAAATCCTGTTCAAAGTCAAATTTACTTTTGCATTGGTATATTAATGTTAACTCCAATTTATTTAAATGAAACCTTATAGATGATTCTATCTAATCTTAACCAATTTCACCATGAGGTAAAATCTTTGCAAACCTTTTATAACTCTTTTGCCAAAGGGCAGATTAGCATCTTAAGACAACCTTGCTGTGCTTTTATTTCAATGCTCAATTTATGAAAAGACGATAGAGTACCCTTTTGAATTTAGTTAATGTTACATATTTTTGCAAGATTAATTTTTACAGTCTTTCCACAACTAACTTAAGTGTTTAGCTTTATCTTATTAAATTTAAGATAATTCCTTATCCTTGTGCAAAATTTACACTTCCATGCTTTCTTATAATCTTTTACTAAAAAATACATTTTACTGTTTTTATAAGCCTTGCATGTAACACTGTTTGGTGATCTCAAATACATGTTGCACTGTTAACTCAGCAACTTTTACTTTTGGTGAAAAACCTGGTTAGTAAGCAATTTTAATTATGTACCAGATGTGGAGCCTAGGACCAAGACAGAAGTGCAGATAAAGTCTGACTTTTCCCAGCATCTAACTCCATGTGTCCCAGGCCTTATACAACCTTGGAACATTTAGCAAACCTAGTATCTAAGTTGTATGATTTAGACCATCTATTTGCATTTTGATGACACTTTACTTTTATTACATTTTACCAATAATCCTTAAGACTATTTTTATTCCTTAAAGATTAAAGTCACATGAACTAAAACATATTTTATTTAAGTGCTCATTTTCTTTTAAGCCAATCAATTAGAGATCTTTTTGTAGACATTACACAAAACATATATATAGCAACACAGACAGAAGGTTCATCACTCATAAGATTTTTTATTTGCCAGTTTCTTACTTAGATCACTGGCTTCAGGATGGAACCTTTGGAGGAGCAGGGCCAGTAGAATGCATTTTTAGGGCCTGAGAAGCAGGCACAGCTGAAGGCAAAGACAGATCCCTAAAATTAAGGGTGCCATTTTATACTGAATTTTGGATCCTCAAAGGGAGGGAGATACTATGGAAGAAGACAGTACAGTGCTTCTGTCACACATTTCATTGCAAGGAAACCCAAAGCCAATCAGCTTATTTTGTAATCAGCCCATCTTCCATGGGAGTCTTATCTCTCAGTGGTGGGGAGAGGAATGTTTTCATGTCTTTCAGGTAGCTAAGAGCATGCTTCTCTGATTTATAATTACCATTAGCCATCCCTTAAAGTGTATTTTCTACCTAGTTATTACATACCAAAGCTGTCTCCTAATGTGAATTTGATAGCCCCAAAACTCAAAACTGTCAGATAACACAATGTAAAACAGAACAGAGCCTTTGATTTTGAGAGGAAATTATCTGCTTTTAATTCTTGGGGTTTCATGAGGAAAATGGAGTTTTTTTTTCCCAAAACAGTGTCTGTGGTGTCTCCTCTGTTTTTCTCAAGGAGTCCCATGCTACCAGAAGTTATCTTAGGTCTTAGGGCCTCTCATGTGTGCATTAAGAGTCGCAAGACAATAATTCAGTTGACTGAGAAGAAAAAAAATCTTTTTTCAGAAAAACAAGATCCAAGAACAGAAAAACATAAAGGCTTTTTAAATATACCTATAACTCGAATATCCACTTTTAATTAAGCTGAGCACTCTCTAAGAAAATCCTTTTAAATCCCTTGTTACTTGATGTTAGCCATGCCAAGCAGTTAAGATTCTCAGCTTTCGAACTCTACAAAAAGTAACCTCATAGGTGAAACCAATAAGCCTTAATTCGATTATGACTTAACTGTGAATGTATGAGGTATTTTCAAAGGGATGATAAGCAGCTTTTGAAACTGTCATTGGAAAATTGTGACCAAGAAAGTGAAAGGGATCTGACCCAAACAACTCTGTTTTGTTTCCAGCCCCGAAGCTGTCCTTGCTTATCCATGGGTGTAGACCAAACTAACTTTGAGAGGAGCCTGGTTTAGTTAATAGTCTAAAACAAAGATAATAACAGCCCCTTCTTAATATATACTTCCCTCTTGCCTGGGCACCAGACCAAGAAATTAGCCACAAGATTAGAAGCCATGGCCTAGGAGTCACACAGCTGGAAGCTACAAGATTTTGACCCTACCTAAACTGCTCTCAAGATCAGTGCTTAAGATATTTTGTAAACCCTGCCCTTGATGGATCAGCTGGCACCAATCAGATTGATAAACTGGCTCATCTGATTTTGTGGTCCCCACCCAGTAACTGACTTAGCACAAGGAGACAGCCACCATTGTAAAAGGGCAGAGACTAAAACAAAGTATTGCCAAGTGGTTACAGGTCATGTTGCCAAGGACCTGAAACAAGATGGAGGCCTGTAGCCATGTTTGTTACTGACCATTTTGTTGGACTGGCTTGAACAGCAGGCTTATGGGGTCCTGAGCCTGCATTCTAATCTAAGTGACCCTTTCTTTTCACAAAACCATACAGAAAGACACACAAAGCATGCCATATTGGCTACAGCTTAAGACCAACCTCACAAATCTTTTTCATTAATTAAAACTTTATGGGGAATATAAATAATGATCCTTATTATCACTTTTGCCAGTTTGCATAGAAAGAGAGAGAAGCCAAAACTTGACTGGTAAAAAATATATATTTATATATATATATATATATATATATATATATATATATATATATATCTTTCGCTCTTTTGCTGGCATGTCAGGCTTCTAGGTTCGGGAGAGAGAAACCAAAAGCTTGACTGGTTAAAACAAACAAAAAAATTTAGTCTTTTGCTGTCATGTCAGACTTCTAGGTTCCCTTACCCCTAGCTCAACTATAAGCCAAGCATTTTATTTTTTATTTTTTATTTTTTTTGAGACAGAGTTTCGCTCTTGTTGCCCAGGCTGGAGTGCAGTGGCATGGTCTTGGCTCACTACAACCTTTGCCTCCCGAGTTCAAGCGATTCTCCTGCCTCAGCCTCCCAGGTAGTTGGGATTACAGGCACCTGCCACCACACCCAGCTAATTTTTTGTATTTTTAGTAAAGACAGGGTTTCACCATGTTGGCCAGGCTGGTTTTGAACTTCTGGCCTCAAGCAATCCACCAGTCTCGGCCTCCCAAAATGCTAGGATTATAGGCGTGAGCCACCACGTCTGGCCTAAACCATGCATTTTAAGGTTCAGGGAAATTAACTTTTCCCAGGTTGGAAGAACATTATAAAAGTGCCATTTTAAACTGTGAAAAAAGGAAAAACACCATAGAACATACTGGGTGTTCCAATTAGGGTTGTCAAGAGGTACTGCCTCTCTTCCTATTGAAAATGGTGTTTCCCATATTTCTTTGCCTTCCCTATTTTCTCTCTTACCTTTTTGCCTACTATAGGAGACACAGTGCTCATCTCTGAAATCCTCTGCTGCCTGCAGAGTTCCTGTTTTTCAGTGGCAGTTAGGGTTTGGCTTAGGAGCAGCATAACAGCCCTCCATGAGAGGTCAAATATCTGAGGTAAATTTCAGAAAGCTTTTGTACACCTATCAGGGACATTAGAAAATTGACCTAAGTCTCCCTTTATTTGCCTAAGGTCCTGCAATGAGGAGGAAACTTGAACCCTAGTGGCAGCAACTTCATTGGGCATTTCCTGTAGGGGTAAGAGCAAAGGTGGGGGAGTGGGATATTTTGGAGATAGTGGGGGTGGAATAGCTGGAAGCATGGTTGGAGGTGGCCCCAGATAAGAAGGACTGGAAGGGCTGGGACATTCGATGGCTGCCTCAGATGGTGCCCCCAGAAGTTACTTTTCTAGTCTTGGGGAATCATTCCCTTTGGACCTGCCTGATCTGATTGCTAAAAGGACTGGGTTGATTGTGCAATGCTTGCAAAGGTCTGGGTTGTCTTGCAGAGCAACGGAAGCCTGTACGTAAGGTACCTCAGAACATTTGCCCACCCGTCTGCAGAAAAGATCTAATTGTTGGATAATATTAAAATTAAGGGTCCCTTCACAGGCCTGGATGGTTCAAGAGGGTGAGAAGCCCATGCCCTTGAGAAAAGAAAATAAGCCACTTTTTAAATTAAAGTTTCAGAGTCAAAGGAGTCTTTGTGCTTCAGAAGGCACTCCAGAGGAATACAGGCCAAAGATGATAAAGAAAAGTGAGAAAACAGAGTCCCTTTAGTCTCCTTCCTTTTGGTGTGACCCAGGGTGGAAAGGAAGACAGTGAGGGCGTACCCCCTGCTGTTTTCCCTCTGTGGTTTCTGGGTCCCAGCACCTTGTTGAATATGCTGCTCATGGTTGCAGGTGTGATCCCAGCCATAGAACCAGAGGAACTATGTGGTTGGGATTAGTCACACTCACCCAAGTGGCTCTAGTCCTCTGCCTGTGATTTCCCATTGACTTTCTAGACTTGTGTGACCTGCCTGGCTCCCCTAAGAATAGATCTTGGGAGACACTATGTGACAGTTACATTAGGGCAAATGTTGCACTTCCCTCCTAAATGGAGGAAGTGTGCTGGTTTGAGCTCTGTATCTGTTATTACAGCCCATGCTAAAGCGTTTACCCTTAGAGAATGGTTCTGGTTAACTTCTGAACCTAAAATTCCCCTACTAATTAAGTACCATTCTAACTGGAGGCGTAATAGGTGCGTTAAAAGAACATAGGGACTGAATGGCCATTTTCCTGCTGATGGGACAGTATCAAGACTAAAATTTGGCTTTGGAGGATATTTTACCCCTAATTGTTGAAATCAAAATTTTCCCATTTACACAAGCAGCGTGAAGCCTGGTTTCTAGTAGAGAGGTGCAAAAAGAGGAGAGAATTGGGAAGCTAGAGTGTTTTGTTGAAGGACCGACAATGTGCCTCAAGGAGAAGATTCCTATTCCACTAGGTGGCACTGTTGACCTTGAAGTGCCATATGCTCTCCAGACCAAGGGAAGAGTGACCTTGACATGTCATGTGCTCTCCAGGCCAAGGGCAGAGAGTGACCTAGAAGTCCCATGTGATCTCCACACCAAGGGCAGAGATTGACCTGGAAATGCCATGTAATCTCCAGGGCAGAGAGAGGTACTCACTGTTGGGTGGGGGGTCTCTGTTCATAGAAAATCACAAAGCCACCTTCCCTTGAGCTATATCCCCAGTTACTACCATATTACCTGATCTCGTCAAACAAGATTACGTTCCTGTAAAACTTCCCGCACATTGCATAAACAGAGAAGTTAAGAGATACGGATGGTCACAGACAGGAAAGGAGGAAATTACAATAGCAAATTTGGAGATCCTGTGGCCGACACTCCATCAGGACAGTCAGAGGCTGGGGTCAGTCCAGAAGCCCTTGGATAACAGTGGGAGGTAGCCCCAGCCAGAAATCCTCAGTTGTCTCAGGACTTCTTCCAGCCCCACATGACAGCTAAGCCCCTTGTGTAAGGAAGCTGGTTTAAACATGGCCAATATGCCCAGCCACCCATGGGTGCTGGGGGATTCTCCATGCTCTCTATAGCAAGTCTATCCCCCAAGTCTTGTAAGGCTAGCAGCCGTGCTAATCATTTTTAAATGGCTGAAGGGAACCCAGCATTTGGTTTGATTTGGTTCTAAAATGGAGGCCAAGAGCCTCAGAATGAAAGGACAGAGTTTGAGTTTGCTCCTCTACTCACCGTTTTGATGAATGTTGTACCTTGGTATCCCGAACGAGGTTCCCATTATGAAGCAGCAATATTGTCTGGGGCATATACCTGGGATTCATTGTCATGCGCCAGGAAAATTTAAGACACAGACAGACAAGAGTAGTTTAGGAGTGGAGGTTTAATAGGCAGAAAAGAAGAGAAAGAGAAACAGCTCTCTCTATAGAGAAAGGGGTCTCTGAGCAGAAAGGAGCAGCTGGTGGCAAATGCACCAGATTTTATAGTCCAGTTTGAGGAGGCGGTGTCTGATTTACCCTATGTATGTGTATGCTCACAGTTGGTTGGATCAGGTATGATGTTTACATAGTGCACAGGGAAGGCTGGTTACCCCACCCTAGTATTATGCAAATGGGCTTTCCAGTTGATCGGTGCCATCTTGTCTGCTCCTTACAGTACATGTGGCTGACAAACAGAAAGGAAGATGGAGCCGCCTTCTTGAACATGTCTAGTCCCTAGTTCCTGCCAGCATTCACACGTGCAAGCTCCCAGCTTGTTTGTCTATGTCTGCAGATTGACTTTATAGGCTGCTCTTTGTTAGAAAATGATTTGGGGCTGCTTTTTATGAAAAAGAGAAGCCTTACCAAGGAATCCTATACCCTTACTGTCTGCCTAAGTGATTTCTTCTCAACTCCTGCACCATTGGGATGGTTAATGGTTACAAAAAATCATTAGAAAGAATAAATAAAACCTAGTATTTGATAGCACAACAGGTGTCTATAGTCAATAATAATTTAATTGTACATTTTAAAATCACTAGAAGTATATAATTTGATGGTTTCAGAAGATAAATTCTTGAAAGGATGGATATCCCATTTCCCATGATGTGATTCTTACACATTGCATCCCTAAATCAAAATATTTCAACTACCTCATAAATATATAAACCTACCATGTACCTACAAAAAATACAACTAAAGACACTGAACCCAGAAATTTTTTACTTGCTTTGTGAAGTGGAGTAGCCCTGCCTCAGAACCCAGAGCTATGTCACTCATTGGCATAATGGTGATGTACTCATTCCTTTTGGGATATGTGAATTATCTATAAGTCTTTATAAAAATATATAAACCTGAACTTTATCTGTGAAAATGTTGATTTACTAAGTCTTGGTTGAAGCTCCACAGGAGAATCTAACATGCAAACAAGGTTGTGTTTATACTAGAATAATAGAAATATGGTATAGAAAGATCATATTAAGTAAGCTTTTTTCCAGAAATAGAATTACTGTAATATACTTAATTTGTTGAGATAATTGGTACACATGTCAAAGCCAGTGATTTCAGGATATGTGTGTGTACATACACAGAGAGAGATTATGTAATCATGTAATATTGTATAAGTATTAAATATACTTAATAAGGTATTAGATGATACATAAATTGATGACTGAAACATTGTGATGTAAAGAGAATTATTTTCATTTCACAAATAAACAAGGTGATGTTTAAAATGGCAAGCATTCACTCAAAGTTATGTACCAATAAAGATTAAATGCTGAATGCAATTCCTTGCTTTCTGATTGTTAGTATGAATTAGTGAGCTGGAGAAAGAGTAGGGACTTGATTGACCAGGAACTTTGATGTAATCAGGCTCAGTGTGAAGCTTTGCCTTGGCATTTCACTAGGTGTATATGATTTGGATGGTAGATAAGCTTTGTTTTCTGTTATGTACGAGTTAACAATCATGAGAAGGTTTCTTATCTCTAGAATAATCCTGTATACTTCTACTTTCCTGAAGCAGCCAGCCAATATACGTAAGGCTACAGCAGTCCTCTATCATCAAAGTCTGGCCTTATAAATGAATTGCAGAAAGTTCTAACTTTGGGAAATCCATAGCTATTTGCAGTAGAAAAATATAAAAGATGTAGGAAACTCAGACTCTCAGCACTCAAAAAGTTCAAATTAGAAAACCTATTTGGAATCCCATTTATATCAATCTGCTATGCAATTCTACCTTCTAAGCTTATGTTTTAGCAGTGAGAATAGCATCATATTTTTCCCTTCTGTTTTTTTATCAGGTGAGTGAATGTTTGTGGAGGCAGAATCACAAAGTAAGAGAAACTTACTTTTAGATAAGCTCTAGTGTTTCCATCAGATCTTGTTGGTCTGGTGAAAATAAAAAATTCAATCTCATGGGATTCTTGTGAGGTTCAAATTAGCTAAGATATGTGCATATGAAAGCAGAATATAAACCACAGAGTATTACATAAAGTTTCTCTCCTTTGAGGCTATGAAATTTTTATTTAGATATTTCTTTTTCTGAGATTTATAGTATTATCAATGTCAAATGAATTAAGAGAAACATCACATAACAAAATGGCTAAAAAGTAGGCTTTGGAGTTGGAGTGCCTGGGTTCACATCTAAGGCAAATAATTTATCTACTCACATCTTCAGTTTACTCATTTTTCAATTGTATAATTATAGTACTTAATTAATGGAGGTGTAGATTAAATATGGTACCATGTGTAAAAATTTAGTACACGGCCGGGCGTGGTGGTTCACGCTTGTAATCCTAGCACCTTGGGAGGCTGAGGCGGGTGGATCACGAAGTCAGGAGATCAAGACCGTCCTGGCTAACATGGTGAAAACCCATCTCCACGAAAAATACAAAACATTAGCCAGGCGTGGTAACACATGCCTGTAGTCTCAGCTACTCGGGAGGCTGAGGCAGGAGAATCACTTGAAACTGGGAGGCGGAAGTTGCAGTGAGCCGAGATTGCACCACTGCACTCCCACCTGGGCGACAGAGCAAGACTTCATCTCAAAAAAAAAAAAAAAAAAAAATTGTACGTATAATTAGCACTAAATACATCTTAACTCTTCTTTTCCAGTTCATCACACTAATGTACTTGTATTCAAAACCATAAATAACAGGATATCTCAAACTGCTTTGTTGGAGCTCTAAGTTTGCTCAAATTACTTCAGAACCAAGAAAAATATAAGGGTAGGCTCAAGACAACCACACATATGCCTTTCAACTGCTCCATTCTGCCTTTATCTGCTTTAATAGTTTGAAAAACATTTCTAGAATAATATTTTCTTTTACTTTGAATTTTCAGGAAAGATTGAAAACATTTCCAACAGCATTTTCAAATGTCTTAATATTTCATCAGTAAAATCTTACTATTTACAGGAATACCCCCATTTTATTGTGCTTTGCTTTAATGTGTTTCAGATATTGGTTTCTTTCTTTCTTTCTTTCTTTCTTTCTTAACCAATTGAAGCTTTATGGTAACCTTGCATTGATCTTCTATTGGCACCATTTTTTCCAATATGTGCTCAATTTGTATCCCTGTGTCACATTTTAGTAATTCTTGCAATATTTCAAACTTTTTAAATTATTATTCTGTTATGGTGATCACTGATCTTGAATGTCACTGTTGTAATTGTTTAGAGGCACCATGAGTCATGCCCATATGAGACAGTAAATGTATTCTGTTAATGTTGTGCATGTCCCGACTACTCCAGTGACAGGTAATTTCCCCATCTATCTTTCTCTCATTAGGCCTCCCTATTCCCTGAGACACAGCAATGTTGAAATTAGGACAATTAGTAACCCTACAATGGCCTCTATGTGTTCAAGTGAAAGTAAGTGTTGCATGTCTCTCACTTTAAATCAAAAGCTAGAAAAGGTTAAGTCTAATGAGAAAGGCAAGTTGAAAGCTGACATAGGCCAAAAGCTAGGCCTCTTGCACCACTTACCCAACTTGTGAAACAAAAGAAGCTTTCGGAGAAAATTCCAGATGCTACTTTAGTTAACACACTAATGATAAGAATGTGAACAGCCCTTTTGCTGATATGGAGAAAGTTTTAATAGACTGGATAAAAGATCAAACCACCTATGACATTCTCTTAAGCCAAAACCTAATCTACAGCATGAGCCTAATTCCCATCAAGTTTGAAGCTAAGAGAGGTGAGTTTATGAGACTTAAGAATAAAAAAGCCATCTCTAGTAACATAAAAGTGCAAGATGAAGCAACAAGTGCTGATGTAGGAACTTCAGCAGTTACTTACCAAGTATACTTCAGATAATTGAAGAAGTTAGCTAAACTAAACAACAGATTTTTGATGTACATGAAACAATCTTACATTCATTATAAAATGATACCATCTAAGACTTTCACAGCTAGACAGGAAAAATCAATGCCTGGCTTCAGGACAGAGGAACTCTCTTGTTAGGGGCTAATGCAGCTTGTGACTTTTACTTGAAGTCAATGCTCATTTACCATTCCAAAAATCCCAGGCCTTCAGAATTTTCCTAAATCTACTCTGCCTATGCTCTATAACTGGAACAAGAAAGCCCAGATGATAGCACATCTGTTTACACCATGATTTAATGAATATATTAAGGCCACTGTTGAGACCTACTGATTAGAGAGAAGATAGCTTTCAAAATATTACTGCTCACTGAGAATGCACCTAAATCACATAAGAGCTCTGATGGAGCTCTGATGGAGCTCTTGTGTGATTTGGTCTGCATCCGTTCTGCAGTCCATGCATCAGGGAGTAATTTTGACTTTCAAGTCTTATTATTAAAAAAATACATTTCATAAGGCTATAGCTGCCACAACTACTGATTCTTCTGATAGATCTGGGCAAAGTAATTGGAAGCCTTCTAGAAAGAATTCACCATTCTTGGTGCTATTAACATTCACAGTGCATGGGAGAAAGTCAAAATATCAACATTAGCAAGAGTTTGGAAGAAGTTGATTCCACCTCTCATGGATAATTACGAGAAGTTCAAGACTGCTGTGGGGAAATTAACTGTAGATATGGTGGAAATAGAGAACAAAAATTGGAAATAGAGTCTGACAATGTGACTCAAGTGCCACAACTCATGATAAAACTTTAACAATAAGGAGTTGCTTCTTAAGGATGAAAAAAGAAAGTTATTTCTTAAGATGGAATCTACTCATGGTGAAAATGCTGTGAACACTGTTGAAATGACAATAAATGACTTAGCACATTACATAAACTTAGTTAATGAAGCAGTGGCAGGATTTGAGAGGATTGACTCCAATTTGGAAAGTTCTACTGTGGGTAAAATGCTATCACACAGCCTCACATCCTCCATAAAATCTTTCATGAAAGGAAGAGTCAATAAATGTGGCAAATTTCATTACTGTATTATTTTAAGAAATTGCCACAGCCACCCCAACTGTCAGCAACCACAACCCTGATTAGTCAGCAACCATCAACACTGAGACAGGACCCCCCACCAGCAAAAAGATTGCGACTCACTGAAAGCTCAGATGATTAGAATTACTTTAGCAATAGAGTAATTTTAATGTATTTTGTATAGACATTACAAACAATATTATAAGTATGACATGAAATGTATTCTGTATATTATTCATACATTTATTATAGTCTAAATACAAACAATAATGTATTTACACTATAGTATAAACATAATTTTTATATGTACTAGGAAAACAAACGTTCATGTGAATTACTTTATCACAATATTTACCTTATCGTGGTGGTCTGGAACTGAACCTACAATGTTTCTGAGGTATGCCTCTATATATTTTTTGTACTGAAACTGAAGTCTCTGATATATTTAGTCTACACAATAAACATACAGAACAGATGACTCAGGTACCTTTGAGATGCTTTTATATATTGATGATTTCTACACTATTAACATTCATGTAGCAAAATTTATCAGGCAGAATTGTTTTATAAATTGGAAGATACGTATTCTCCAGCTCTGAAGCAGTTTTTGCTCAATATTTGTTAAATCACCTAAGTAGGAAATCTAAATGAAATACTAAAATAAGACTAATCCTGTTTCTATTTTGTCTGAGATTCCAAGGTGATAATGGATATCAGATATCAAAGCAAGGAGCTAGACTAAAAAGCATATTTTCAAAGGATGTATCCAAAAACCAGCATCATAGGAGTTATTTACTCTTTCAGGAACTTCTATTGAAAGGGTATAAGGAGATACGAAGAGTGAAGGAGTTTCTGTGGCAGAAGCAATGCTATGTATTCACTGCATAATGTCTTTCCCCAGGAATATGAATAAGGCATAACCTCCCAAATTATGTCAGGGGGTGTAAGACTGAGTATTGGCTAACAAAATTAATTTAATGGAGGTGGAGGGTATTTAAGCTACTTGCAGACACTGGCCTTACAAACAAACAGTGTGATCCTGTCTTCTCTTCTACCATAATTTTGAAGACTGCATGATTCTGCTATGATGGAAAAGGCCTGGATTTGGGGTTATCAGAGTAGAGCCAAAAAGAACTATCTGCTTTGCATCAGATGTGGTAGAAAAAAATTGGATACATTGTATTAAGCCACAGAGAATATGACACATTTATCACTGAGCCTATCACTGTCTGAATGAAAAAATTCCTTTGGAGCATTGCTGCCATATATGAATGCCAAGCCTTTTGTCAAAGGGCCTGGGTGGATGATATTACTTGATCTACTACAAGTTAGATGAGGAAGCCTCAAAAGAACCAACCAGCACTTGATTTGAGGAGGTGATTAGTCTGGTATACTAAATAATCTAAACATGCAAGACCGTGGCTGCGATGGCAAGGGAGAGTTTGCCTCTGGCTGGTATTGACCTTCACTCACAACATTTCTTGGGTCAACAAATGAGGGTGTCATGTCCGTGGCAGCTGGGTGTAGGGCAACACCCAAAAAGTAACTGCACTCCAATCTGATGACAAAGGCTGAGTAACTTGTTTCCCGTAGACCCATTGTGAAGCACTTGGTCAAGAAGTAGCTAAAAGCTACTTTAATTTTTGCATAAGGAGAGTGTTTATGGGGCTGAGGTATTCTATTAGAATATGCTGTAAAGCAGACAATGGGAAAATCAGGGAAAGTTGCTGATAGAAGATATGCATTTTCTGTATCACTGGGAATCACAGTGGAAGAGTTCCACCTAAGGGAGCCTCCACAGAGCCAACACAAGCCCCCTAAAGTGAAAGGGTCAGCAGTTGTCCCTCTTCACCCAGAGGGCCCTAAACACCTAGTGTAACTGCCTCTACTATGCAAATTTTGTCTCCTTTCATGACTCTATCTCCTTGGGCCCTATTAGCAAGCTAATAAGGGAAGCTGAATGGAAAGAGATGGAGGGATGACAGGACTCTTTTCTGCTGCAAATAACCTACATCTTTGAGCCTTTAATGAAAACATTGTAGATAAATCTATTGGCATTTCTTTTCTGGGCCTCACCTTTTTGTTTTTTAATTTATTTAAGTGTAATACCTAGACAGAATATACAGTAAATCTGTAAATACCTAGACAGAATATACAGGCGATGGCTCACGCCTGTAATCCCAGCACTTTGGGAAGCCGAGGCGGGTGGATCACGAGGTCAGGAGTTCAAGACCGGCCTGGCCAAGATGGTGAAACTCCATCTCTACTAATACAAAAATTAGCTGGGCATGGCGGCATGTGCCTGTAATCCCAGCTATGCACGAGGCTGAGGCAAGGAATTGCTTGAACCTGGGAGGCGGAGGTTGCAGTGAGCCGAGATCGCGCCACTGCACTCCAGCCTGGGTGACAGAGCGAGACTTTGTCTCAAAAACAAAAAAAAACAAAAAAAAACCCAAAAAACAAACTGTATGTGATTTTCTGGAAAAGGCAAAACCATTGCTATAATTAAAAATTAATGGTTTCCAGGCATCAGAGGGGAGAGATAGATAAGTATTTGGAACACAGATTTTTAGGGCATTGAACATACTCTATATGATACCATAATTGTGGATACATGTCATTATACATTTGTTCAAACCCATAGAATGCATACACCCAGAATGACCCTTAATGTAAACTATGGACTTTAGGTGATAATAATGTTTCAATGTAGGTTTAATCAAATTGTAACAAATGTACGACTCTGGTAAGGATGTTGATAATGATGGAGTCTATGCATGTGTGAGGGCAGAGGGTATGTGAAAAATTTCTGTGCCTCCCTCTCAATTTCCTGGTGAAACTAAAACTGACCTAAATAAATAAATACTTTTTAAAAAATACTGTAAATCAAAGTAATTCCCTACAGTAAAAACTGAGATACGCTGAGACACATTGGTGTCTATGACTCACCTGACAGACTCTAAGCATAGCCTCCTATGCCTTGTAATTTTCTGTGCCTAGAATTTGATGACATTTTATATCCCTTGATCCAGGAGTAGGCACCCGTTTATGTGAAACTTTAAGTGACTGCCAGAATAACAAAGGCCCAACTTCAAGTATATTAAATAAATGTAAACCCAAGTTAGAATATGTTTTCCAAAGTTAAGAATAGAGAACGATTGACCCTAAAGTACTTACAATTTTGATAGTTATTTACAGGCAAACTATACATTGCAAAGAAATTGTACTTATTTTTAAAAGTTAGAAATAACAAATAGCAATTGTTATTTTGTTTTTCCTGTTTAATTTACATTAGTATATAGTCCAGCAATAATGCTGAAGCTATGAAGATTTGGATAAGCATTCCATTGCATTGATTTTGACAAGTTGATATGCTCTAAGCAATCCAATAAAATAAAAATAATAAGCACTGTAAAAGCTACAAAAAATTAGTCATGGCGTAGGCTGAAAATCCATTTCCTGTTACACATTATCTCATCATCCAATGGAACTGTGACAAATTCATCATTTAAATCCAATTAATTAGCAGATTTTAGAAGCTACTGTGTTTTTAAGTATCTTTATATCGTAGATTATTTATATACATGTACTTTATCATGTAATCTACCAGAAGAAAAGTAAAAATTGCCTCAAGTAGTTTGAAATTTCCAAACTTAGCATTAGTCTTCCATGGAAATTTATCTATGGATAGAAATGGTATGTCCTGTTATTTAAGAACATTCTCTTAATCACATGTTGTAGCAGAAATTCAAAATAATAGATAGTTTTTTAAAATGTCAATTTCTGGTTTCAAAATAACCGCAAGCACAGTTGAATATACATGATACTTTCAGTAAATTATCAAGCAGTATCAATGTTTCTAACATAATATTTGCAAAGTATTGAACTACCTGGTTTCCTTTCAAGTAGTTTTGATATACATTTTATATACTTTTTAAACAAATATGCTTACTTTGTTCTGGTAACTATTCTTAATGATTGACATGTATTAACTCTTAACCTCACAACAAACTATGTGACAGGTACTATAATTATCCCCATTTTACAGATGAGGAAAGTGAAGTCCAGATTTAAGTAGCTTGACCAAAGTCATTCAATGAATGAGTGGCTGAGCCAGGACTTGAACAGCAGGCATTTATACTCCAGGTCACTTGCCTTGACAAAATGGGCTATGCTATACAAAACACAATGTGGTGACCTCTAGCCATCCAGTTCTCCCAAAAGGAAATATTTTAATCATTCATTATATTAACTTCCAAAAATAGTACATACACTTAATATGTATGTATACATATTCAGAACTTCTATCTATATACTTATCTTTCACTAATATTAATGTGCTTTGCCATATTCTGCTCCTTTTCAACACGAAATATATTTGAAGATTGTTGTATATTTTAATCTAATTTTTTTTAATGGCTGCAAAAATTTTACTATGTAGAGCCCTTACTTAATATATAACCAATTTTATTTAGATATTTTGGAGGCTCCCAATATTTTGCTGTTAGAAACTGTGCTGCCTAACTTTATTCCATGTAAATGAAAGTATATCTGTAGGATTCAAAGCTAGAAGTAGAATCACTGCATTGAGAGCTATGTCCATTTGTCCACTTTAAACTTTGAAAGTTTTTCTAAAAATGTTGTCAAATTTTCCTCTATAGAAATTGTACCGATTTTTATACCTGCCTGTATGATGATGATATCTGTTGTTCCAGATTCTCACCAACTCAGTAAATTATTAACTCTATAAATGTTGTGATATGATTTATGATTAAATGTTTTTGGAAGATGGAATTAAAACCCTTACATGATGTTATTCTGATAGAAGCCAATACCAGAGGAAGAACTAGATTTAGTTAGTCATCAACCAGTTGCTACTTTGAATCAGCCACTAAATTTCATAAAATTTAAAAGTTGATGTTAGAAAGAAGTCAAGAAGATGTCAAGCTTGTGCATGATTATAAACAAGGTTTTGCCAGGGTATTTAGTAAACTAAAATGTTTATTTAAAGCAACACCTAGATGTTATTAGATGATAAAAATAACTAATGATTTGGTGTTTCTTCTTTTGCACTTTTTGTATTAGAAATATTTTGAAAGGAGTATAAAATATAATGATAATCAGTGACTTGAAATTAAAAAGACTTGATCAAGAGGCAGGAGGATGGACTATGTAAGGATAGAGTTAACTTGCATTTAGACTGAGGTGGCTTTATGCTTGTCTCCAGTAATAACTGCAAATCTGAAACTGACCCTTAGCCAAGATAAAGATATTATATGCTGCTTAGTGATTCATAATATGGTGTTTAAAATTCAAAACTCTCTGAGAGCTACATTGTACTAGCTTATTGATGTTATTTGGAAATGTATAATTTGATTATTTTTACCTAGTGTAAATGGTTACAAATCCCGGATTTAGTGACATTGCCAACAATATATGAAAAACCCCATGATAAACATTTGTGTGGATCCCAGAAACAAATATATCTCAAACATACCTTGGTAGATTATAATCTAAAGATGAAGTACAGTCTTTGCTGTAAAAAAAGGACTCTAGGGACTGTACCTCGAAGTTTTCGGTACTCTTTGTGACATGAACTATAACAAGTGGTGGTATAAACAGACTGTGGACTACTCTTGTGTCAATCACTGAGTTTTGGCCACAAACAAATGTAGCCATCTGTTTGAACTGTGTTCAAATACGACAAATGCCAAGCTATAACCAATCCAGCTGTTTCTGTGTCTCACTTTCCTTTTCCATGAATGTTCTTCCATGACATAACCGCACTGGATTATCTGAGCCTACTCTGCCTCGAGGAGCTGTCCAATTCGCGAATCATTCATTGCTCAATTAATCTCTTTTAAATTTAATTTGGCTGAAGTTTTCCTTTTATCACCATCAGAGGGCTGAGAGTGTAAAGAAATCTAAATTTATTGAACTCCATAAAGGTATAAGCCCTTCCTATGAAGACACATGGCTATTTTCATTCATTGGACTCCAGTTACTGAGTGAGTTTATACATGCCCATTAATTGTTCAGCACAGAGCCTTCACTGATTACAAGGTGGAAGCACAAGGCTGCAGACATAGAAGCAAGGATAAGAGAGCTTCTCCTTGGAAGCATAGGGCCTTCATAAAGGGCCAGGAATAAACTTGCCAGACTCTATGGAGAAGGCATTAGTGTGGATAAAAATCTCCTGAGATGTGGAAGTCTGGATGCAAACCTGGAGAACAAGAGGTGACCCAAAATGTCAGCAGCTGGTATGTAAGCAGAGGGAAATCTCTTTTCATTTGCAAATCTAGAAACTGGAATTTAAAGCCTTAAGAGATCTGCAAAGACTGCCTGTGATCAGGATCCAAACCCTGTTAACGGAAAGTCCCAACCCTGCCTTCAAACCCTGAAAAGCGAGTCATGAACTGTTTATAATTAAACTGCAACAAAACTCACTCATTTCAACTATGGATTATGTTGACTCAGCCCACTATGCTGTCATCAGATAGATGAAGGAGTAGGAGGGGGTGCCCTTTACTGAGAGTAATATTACCTACTTCACTTTCTACTATTCTTTAAAATACAATGTTTAGCATCAAATCAATAATTATGACACACATAAAGAAATAGAAAAATACAATTCATAGTTTAGGAAAAAGAAATAGAAGCCAACCTATAGCTAGCCCATATACTGAAATTAACAGATAAAGCCCTTAACATGCCCATAAAGGAATGGGAGAGAATAAATAATAAAGAAGTAATCAATTAGAATTTTCCAAAATTGATGAGACTCTGCAACCCACAGATTCAAGATCCACAAACCCAAAACAGGAAATACACTTTCACATCATGATTGCAGTACTAAAAGTCAAAAATAAAGAGAATATCCCAAAATGGTCAGAAAAAATAAGATAGATAGATATCATTTTATGAAACAACAGTAGCAGTAAACATGATGGCTATCTTCTCAGAAACAATGAAGGTTAAATAAGGGAAAAATCGTCTTTAAAGAAAAAGTATCTGTCAATCTAGAAATTTAATACCAGTTAAAATACATTTTGAACCGTATTTTAAGTCTCATTATCAAGTATTTGGTGAGGAGGTGGAGTAAATAAAAAAAATGTACTCATTTTGAGAGAATGAGCACATTAAATTACCCAATCTTAGGTAGCTCATTAGAGCAATGTGAAATCTCGTTGCTGTAATAAACTCTTATTGCTATAATGACATATCTAAGACTGGGTAATTTATAAAGAAAATAGATTTAATTGACTCACGGTTCCACAGTCTGTGCAGGAAGAATGGCTTGGAGGACTCAGGAAACTTACAATCAGGGCAGAAGGCAAAGGGGTAGCAGGCATGTGTTACATGTCCAGAGAAGGAGAAAAGAGAGAAGGGGGAGATGCTACACACTTTTAAATAACCAGATCTCATGAGAACTCACTATCATGAGAACAGCAAAGGGGTAATCTGTCCCTATGATCCAATCATCTCCCACTAGGCCCCTCCTCCAACACTGGGGATTACAATTCAACATGAGATTTGGGCAGGGACACAAATTCCAACCATATAGAAGGCCCATAAAATGGGGTTCAATATATTGGCAATATTTCAGTTCAAAAATCTCATGGTATATATATTGAGTCATAATATGTTTATATCTTTGTTGAATTTCTATTCAAAAGTTTGTTTTTAACTGGGAAAATAAGTAGGGGGATCTAAGAATTCAACCAGTTAAGAAAGTAGTTTATTTCCAACTCAGAAGAAAAATAAGTTCACATTTTTGCATCATCAAAAATGACCTCATTTTGAAAGTGTTTTTAAAAGAAAATAGTTGCATATTAGTACAAAATGAACATACAGTTTCAAAAGGATTTCGAGAAATAATTGCATTCACTGAGAAAAAAGTAATACTAGCAATAGTTTAATATAAGACCAAGTGAGTAATCTTCCCAGAAGTAAACATGAATCTGCTACTACAAGGAAGCCAAATGTATAGTTGAAGAGACCATGCAGAATCCTGGCTTCCAACTTGCTACTTATCTGATCTTGGACAAATTACTGCACTCCCCTGTATCTAAATTTTACCTAACTCAAGATTGTTGTGAATATTAACTGAGTTAATATATGTAAAGTACTTGAAGTGTTTGACACATAGTAAGCACTATAGGAATGCTTGCTGTTTTAATTATTGCAAGCTGCACTGCTAGGGAAGTTATATCTCCAAAATAAATAAAATAAATGAATGAATATTCTACATCAGGGCATATTAATTCCTCTATGTTTAATTTTCTTTATAAACCAATAATGTTCAGTGCTGTTAAAAATATGAGACATGTTGAAAATTAAAATGATTATTAAAATTAAGAAAAAATGGTGGCAGGCACGAATATCTTTGCCTTTTCTGACTATAATATGATGTATTTTTTCAGATTAAGCATAATTTTGGAATTTAGGTTGAAATATATACCCTTTATATATTAAAGCAAGTATTTTAATAGAAAAGTTTATTTTAAAATGTATATTCAATCAAATGAATTTTTGGCATATGTGAACATGATTGTATAATTTTTCTCTTTAGATATATTTTATTATGACTTATGAAATCACCATTTCTAGAATAAAACTCTTGTTCAAGTTATATTACATTGACTTATGTTGCTAAAACATCATTAGGATTTTTGTATTAACGTTCATATTAAGACTAATCTGTATTCACTTTTTAACTTTGTCAGTCTTCTGATATTGATATAATGCTTCCTATTGAAAATAACATGAAAGTTTTCTTTTTCTTTTGCTATGCTTTATAAGGATTTTATTTACATTTTACTTATCAGTTTTTAATAGTTTTATAAAACTTCCCTGTGAAGCTTTCTGGGAATTCTTATTTTAAGAGAAGTAGGGAAGGGTGGATATATATTCAATACTATTTTTGTTACATTTTAAAATGTTTTAAGTAATTGGTAATTGATATGTTTATTCTTTCATTTTCTGGGTTAAGGTAAGTCATTTTAAATCCTGTGACATTTTCTGTATTAAATTCAATCCTTTGGTTTATTTCAGTAGGAGGAATTTTATTCTCTACATAGTCCCTTTTGTCATGTCGTTTTCATACTGCTTAGCACCCATAAGCTTCCTACACACTGCATTATACACATACCTCACTAGCCTGCAATCTCCAAAGATATGCATGTGCTTTTCTTTACTGGCATTTTATTTTTTCTCATAAGAGTAACCCCTGAAATCTGGGGAATATTATTTTTCATCTTATTACAACTATATGCTGATATGCAATGCCTGAGTACACATCATTTATTAGATTCTTAAAGGAGTTCATGGCCCAGGAATATTAAGCACTATGGACTTGGGACCAGTTCTTTAAAGCTTCTCACGTGAGTCATTGCACTAGCCTGCTAAGCAGGAACTTCCTTCAAGCTCATTCTTTTCCAGTTATCCTCCACTCAGCCACTAAACATTTGTATTTACCTTCTTTTTCTTTAGAGTCTTCAGTGATTCTCTACTGCTCTGAACTCCTTAGTTCAGCACACAATACATATGATGATCTGATTCATTCCTACATTTTCTGGCTTTTACCTTTCACATGCAGCCTTCTAAGAAGTTCATGACTTCATATGTAGTGTTTCCTTTCCCTGGAATAGCTTTTCCACTAACTCATCCCTTAATTAATACTATTCATCCTTCCAATGTCACATTCTTTAGGAAGAATTTCCTCTTCCAAGCCTAATTTAAATTATCTTATTTAATGTTTCTCTATTCATATTCCTAATATAAGCACCTACTACACCCAGGAACCACAGATTTTACGTTTTTTCCCATCAGCACACGAAATATTCTCCAAGATAGATCATATGTTAGGCCACAAACCAAGTCTCAACAAATTTTAAAAAATCAAATCCAGTAGAATAAAACTAGAAATCAATTCCAAGGGGACTTCAAAAACTATACAAATACATGGAAATTAACAACATGCTCCTGAGTGATCATTGAATAATCAATTAAGAAATAAAGATAGAAATTAAAATATTTTTTGAAATGAATGAGAATGGAAACACAGCATACCCAAATTTCTGGGATACAGCAAAAGCAGTACTAAGAAGTAAGTTTATAATGTTAAATGCCTACATCAAAAGAATAGAAAGATCACAAATTAGCAACCTAACATGACACCTCAACTAGAAAAACATGAATAGGCCAAACTCAAATCTGTAAAAAAATAATGATAATAACAATGATCGGAGCAGAACTAAATGAAATTGAGAACAAAAGAATAATACAAAGTGAATAATACAAAGTATCAATGAAATAAAAAGTTGGTTCTTTAAAAATAAAAGCAAAATTGATGAACTGCTAATTAGACTAACCAAGAAAAGAGGGAAGACACACACAAAAAAACGTAATTAGAAATGACAAAAGAGACATTACAAATGATACCACAAAAATACAAAAAGATCAAAGACTACTAAAACAACTACAGACTCACAAACCAGAAAACCTAGAGGATATGAATAAATTCATGGAAACATAGAACTGCCCAGGGTTGAACCAGGAAGAAATAGAAATCCTGAACAGACCAGTAATGAGTAGCGTGATTGACTCAATAATTTTACAAAACCTCCCAACAACAACAACAATGATGAAACAGGGTTAGATGGAGTCACAGTTAAATTCTACCAGTGTACAAGGAAGAACTGGTACCAATCTTTCTAAAACTCTTCCAAAAAATTGAGGAGGAAAGAACCCTCTCTAACTTAATCTACAAGCCAGTATCACCCTGATACTAAAGCTAGACAAGGACAAAACAAATTTATAAACTATAGACCAATATTCCCCATTAACACAGAGGCAAAAATACTCAAAGAAATACTAGCAAACCAAACCCAATATCACATCAAAAAGATAATACACCACAAACCAGTGGGTTTTATTCCAGGCATGTAAAGATAGCTTAACATATGGAAATTAATAAATGTGATTTATAACATAAACAGAATTAAAAACAAAAAACATATTGATTGTATTGATATGGAAAAAGTCATTGATAAAATTTAGCATCTTCTCATGATAAAAGTCCTCAACAAACTAGGCATTGAAGGAAATCACCTCAAAATAACAAAAGTCATATACAGCAAACTCACAGCCAATAGGGAATAGGGAATAATTAAAAGAATTGCCTCTAAGAATTGGAACAAGACAAGAATGCTCAGCTTCACCATTCCTATTCAACATAGTACTGAAAGCCCCAGCCAGAGCAATCAGGCAAGAGAAATAAATAAAAGATATCCATATTGGAAAAGAAAGAGTAAAATTATCTCTGTTCAAGGATGATATAATCTTATACCTAGAAGACCATAACAAATCCTCCAAAAGACTCCTATATTTAATAAATGAATTCAATAAACTTTCAGGTTTACTTGATTTACAAAATTTAACATTTCTATACACCAATAACAATCAAGCTGAGAACCAAATCAAGAATTCAATTCCATTTAAAATTGCTACAAAAAATAAAATACTAGGAATACATTGAATCAAGGAGGTGAAAGATCTCCACAAGGAAAACTACAAAACACTGAAGAAATTGCAGATGACACAAGCCAATGGAAAAATATCCCATGCTCATGGATTGGAAGAATCAATATTGTTAAAGTCACCAAACTGATCATCATATCTAAAGATTTAATGCAATTCATAAAAAATACATAATTTTTCAAAGACTAGAAGAAACAACCCTAAAATTCATATGGAACCAAAAAAGGCCAGACATAAACAAATCAATCTCAAGCAAAAATAACAAAGCTGGAAGCATAACATTACCTGAATCCAAACTATACTACAATGGTATAGTAATCAAAACAGCATAATATTGGTATTAAAGTAGACATAGAGATTAACGGAACAGAATAGAGAACCCAGAAATAAAGCAACATATCTACAGCCAAATAATCTTTGATAAAGTTGTCGAAAATATACACTGGAGTAAGGACCCACTATTCAATAAATGATGCTGGGAGAATTGAACTGCCATGTAAAGAATGAAACTTGTCCTTTATCTCTTACCATATGGAAAATCAACTTATAGCAAACCACTTATAAGGAGTTAACTCCCAAAATATATAAGGAACACCTATAACATAACAGAAAAGCAACATTAAACAATGGACAAAGGACTTGAGCAGCCTTTCCTTCAAAGAAGACATACAAATGGCCAACAGATATATATGAAAAGATGCCCTACATCATTAATTATCAAGGAAATACAAATCAAAACCACAATGAGGTATCACCTCACACCTGTCAAGATGGCTACTAACAAACCAAAAAAATCGGTGTCAGTGAGGATGTGGAGAAATTGGAACTCTTGTACCTTATTGATGGGAATAAACACTCTTCCAGCAGCTTTAGAAAAGAATATGGAGGCTCCTCATAAAAGTAAAAATAGAACTACCACAATATCCAGCAGTCCTATTTCTTGGTATATATCCAAAATAATTGAAATAAAAATCTCCAAGAGAGTTCGCACTCCCTTGTTCATTGCAACATTATTCACAATGGTCAAGACATAAAAGCAATCCAAGTGTCAATCAACAGGTGAATGGATAATGTGGTATACACACACAATGAGATAATATTCAGCTTCAAAAAAGTAGAAAATTCTACCATCTGTGGCAACATGAATAGACCTGAGGGACATTATAATAAGTGAAACAAACCAGTCACAAAAGGACAGATACTGCATGATTCCACTTATATGTGATATCTATAGTAGTCAAACTTACAGAAGCAAAAAATACAACAGTGGTCAACAAGAGCTGAAGAGTGGAGGAAATAGGGGGTTGTTCAATAGGCATACAGTTCAGTTGTGCTAGATGAGTAATTTCTGAAGACCTGTATAACATTCTGCCTATAGTTAACAATATGGTATCAGGCACTTCAAAATTTAAGAGGGTAGATCTTAGGTATTCTTACTACATACATACACCCACACATATACACTCAAGACAAACTAACTAAATAAATAAATGGACACAAGGAAACTTTGAGAGATGTTGCACATGTCTATTACCTTGGTTGTGGTGATGGTCATCAAAGTGTACACATTAAATATGTGTAATTTTTAAAATATGAATTATACTTTTTAAAATATGAATTATATTTTAAAAATATGAATTAGACTTTAACAAAGCCTTTGAAAAAGAAAGAACATAAACATTGGAATCAAACAAAATCATGATAATGTCATACATTTTTACAAATTGGTTTTACTGTCATCTATTAATATGTTAACAATTATTCTTTGAAAAAAATGATTATTTGGCCAAAAGTCTCTTTGAGAACCACTAAAACTTAACATATTATAGGTTACTATAGTAACAAAACTCTTCATTTGGTCATTGCTTGAGTTCCGCTGTATTCAACAGATACCCAACTACAGTGGCTTAATAAATATTGTTTGGAAAAAATAGGTCCCATCTATAGTGACTTACATAGGTTCACAAATTATCAATTTCCTAGATTCATTCTAAATTCTGCTCCACTGCTCTAATGATCATCATTACTTATAATGGGTACAATGTACATTATTTGGATGATGGTTACATTAAAAGCCCAGACTTCACCACTACAGTCCATGTAACAAAAGGTGCATTTGTACTTCTTAAATGTATACAAATAATTTTAAAAACTGGCTAGTCAGCCCGTCCTATCTGAATTCCAAGCAGAAAGAATAAGGAAATGCCTTTTTCTGAAGTCGTAAGTCTTCCTCTAAGGTTTTATTGACCGGAACAGAACTGACAACTTATTCTAGCTTATGGGAGGCTGGAAAATGAGTTTTGGCTAATCATATTATTGCTGCAATGAAATATGTTCTTCTGTTAGTAAAAAAGCTTGGTTTATTTGACATTGGGTGGGCAGCTATTAGTGACTTCCTTTATCAAAAAAACATTTTCTAACAAATGTCAAGGATATTAATACATCATGCATCATAATTTGAACAGTCCTAATCTATTAGAGTTTTCAACTCTTAGGATAATGGTGCTTTTAAAAACAAATCAGTGACTAACTCTGTGTACTACCATCTCCCACATAAACTCTTTCTCAAATTGTCAAGTGTGAAATATTATAAGGCATAATTTATAAACTCTATTGCATAGAAGCAAAGTAAAACCCTTGGAATAAAATACAAATGGAAACTTTTCTAGCATCCAAGTGCCTCTTTAGGATGAACAGAATGATTTGGAAATCAACTGAAAATTGCTAATAAATGTTATGAAGTATCTTTTAGAAATAATTTTTGCCTGTATTTATTACAAGTTTATGATAATGTCAATTCATGTTTTAAGTATATTTCTGACACTCCTTGTAACACTTTAATAACATAAAATTTAAAATATTCCGTACTTTTTTTAAAAAAGCTTTAGAATAATTCCCTAGAATCTTTGCCAAGAGTTGTGATACTATGTAACTTCTTTTTAAAGTGCTGTGGATGTCAGACTACCCTCTCATTCAATTTTGCATGCACAATTGTGATAATCCTCCCAGTTGTGATAACCTGCTTGATGCTGGTCTTCATTATTTCAGAAGTGTAGACATTGCTATGTTTTGTCCATCATTGTATCTTCACTATATGACACAGGAGATATTTAATGAATATCAGCTGAATGAATGCAATTCTTCAATGAATGAATGCATGTGAGACTCAAATTGGACCAATACAATTGCACAAAGCTAATTTCTCCATTATTGTCATTTGCAATTTTGACTCTTCCGAAAAAAATAAAATCTTGCTATTTGTTTTGACAATCAAAAAAATCTATAATTTGAATAACTACCACTGTCAGAGCATTGTAGTTATTTAAATTGTTTTCACTATCTGTAAAAGGGGAGTAATTTTGCCAATAACTTCATATTAGTTGGAAATAATGATAAAAGTTTCTAATTTAGTGGTTTATAATGAAGAATTAACCAGACCATCATTAAAATTTTAAGGTCTTTAGCTTATGAGTCATTATAACAATATATTATTTTTCTTATTCACTATAAAGCAATATTTTTATACCAGAGGGCCAGAAACATATTACTCAGTCTACAATTCAGAATCATTTCACTGCCCTGAAATCTTTTTTTCCCCACCAGTTATCTATAATGATTGAAATTTATTTTTTGTGTTCAGTCTATTGGTCCACATTCAATACTAAAAATAATTATTTTCTCCCCTTTTTATAGTAGCATATATAAAAAATACTTGAAATACATTATTACAATGCACTACTTTCAAAAGTAAGTAAGTAAAGTTGTGCATTCTGAAGACAAGTGGAATGAGTAGGCAGAGAAGAAAGGCATGAAATAATGCAAGTGGAAAAGAAAAGATAGGCCAGAGAAAATTTTTAAAATAGTTGCATTGGCGTCGGATGAAAATGGAAAAGACTGGTGGAAGACACTTGTCTGTTTTAATTTTCCAAATAGAAGTCAAATAAAACTTTCCACTTAAAAACTAAGACAAATTTTACATATATGCCAAAGAATACAGTCATTTCTGTCTCTTATTCCCTACCTTGAACTCAACGTCATATACTAGACTTATTGTCAGTTCAAGAGAAGATAGGAGCAGAGGAGCCAATTCAAAATTAGTTATTTAATCAAATGTTTTTGCTGAAACTTCACAATTATTAACATTCAGTATCTTCATTTATTGCATCTCTGGTAGTATTTAAATTAATAAATCATTCTGTTTATGAATTTTAACTTTTTACATAGTTGTAGCCTTCAAAATGCAGATAATACAAGCCAATTCCTCACTCTCTAAGAGATATATAATTGTGCAATCTGTCTTTTTGTTACCAGAATAGATATCAATATTATTCTGAAACTTTGTATTTGAACATTTTTATATAATTTTAAAATTTTGTTTCCTGAAGTGTCCATAAAGCCCTTGAATTGATGTGATTTGGAATCAAAACATTCCACTAATAGTTGCTTTTCATTTAATGGTATATGGAATAATCATTTCTCAAATTTTTCTGGAAACCATATTATGCATTAAGTAAGTTTACTATAAATACAAATAATCAAAAAAGACAGAAAAACATAAACATTTCTATGTAGCAGGGAAAAATACTAAACTTACTCAAGGTCTCTGATGCAACATTATTTAATTCCCAAAGACAACTTTAACTGTGAGACAGAAAAAATAACTACATGCCATAAAGCAGTCTGTCTAACCAGTGGTCAACAGCATGCAGCAATATTTACAGTTGAAAAAAACAACCATATATGATCACCCAGTGTATTTTTTTGTCAGTATAGTTTATCAGAAATTTTATCAGAACTAACAGTATTATTGTTGGAAATGGCAATGTATTTGATACAGTTATCTCCTGCCTCATGGAATTCACTTCATTTTGTGTTCTGTGACTAAATTCCATCAACTCTATTCTATGAATAAATATTATGTTCATTCTGGGGTTAAATCTTTTTTCTGGATCAATCTGAAGTCCAAACACCTGTGAAGTGACACATCAGCTGATCCATTACAAGAGATAATCAACCAAATAATTAAAAAATTGAATTTACGATAAACAAATTGGTTTTATGTTTGGCCAGGCAAAATCCTTTATGTGACCTCAGCAAACCCTATGTATGCTTTGTACTGAAAACCTTAAAGCTGAGCTTTCAACAATGAAAGTACTTGCTAAATGAAAATAGTTTTTACACCCAGATTTAGTCCTCCAACAGGGTAAGAAACTGGTCACCATGAATGTGCTTGAAGGTGGAAATAATCTTTGAACAACAACAAAATCAATAATTCCCAAACAACAAAATCAATAATTCCCAAACAATCTACTTCCAGTTTCAGGAAAATGTAGGTGAGGAAGTAATTACTTCTAATCAGATAGCTTAGATTTATTCTGGTGCTGCTGCTCACGAGCTGTGCATCCTAAAACAAATTATTCCTTCTTAGTTTTCTCATGCCCCAAAATAAAAATATGCTCTTTAAAGTATTATCTAATGCTTACTTCATAGTTGTGATGGAGCTATCAGAAGACAGAACATATGCAAGGTGGTTTTGAAAAAGGCTGGTACATGGAAAGTTCTCAAATTCTAGATGCTATTGTCTTCACCATAATTACAGTTACCAGTTTTTTCCAAATAATAAATGTTGGTAGTTGATGAGCAACTAACTTGTATTATGTTAAGTCTACAATTAGAAGTTAATAGATCCTCTCTGCTTACTCTGAAATAGTGGTGAAGTTAGAAATAGTAAGTCGTATTTGACTAATGGACCCATAAAGGCCCATTTAACTAATACTCACCCTCCTTCCCTCAAAGGAGGCCTCAAGAGAGTTGAAATCACAGGGTAATGAGCGCCAAATAAAACCGAAGCACACTCCAATATAATTGGATTTGAGCATCAAACTCTAATTTTAGGAATAATGTGGAAATGGGTTAGAATATTGGCTTATGTTAGAGGATTTAAGGAACTTCTCCACCTTCTAGGTCTCGACTTGAATCTTGAAAGTTAATTTGGCTAATAACTTTGAAGAGGGTAGATGATAAAGTGAGATGGCATGTTTATAATTCTTTTATTCCCATCAAGCAGGAGTTACTACAGATTGGTCATATTTAAAGACTCCACTTGGGCAATGGTTGTAAATCACTGGAGCCCCTGAATTAGAAAGCCATGAACAAAGATATGGAGCTCCTCTTTGGTTGAGAGAGGGACTAATGAGATTTTAGTGCAATTTTTCTCCCTTACTTGCTATAGTGGACTATGTAAGAATAAAAGAATTACAATACATATCTCCTTCTCTCCAAAGCTCATCGTATAATTTAGAATCACTCAAATTACAATTGCTGTATAACAAAAAACTTCAAAATGTAGTTTAAAACAATTATTTTATTGTCATGGATTTTGAGAATCAAGAATTTGGACAAGACCTAGCAGATATGGCTGGAAAGATTAAAAAGCCTACACTGACTTGACAACCTGGGACTGGAATCAGCCGGAGGTTTACTCACTCACATGTCTGGCAATTTATGCTGGCTGTTGTGGGGTTTCACATGGCTGGCTGAGATTTTTCACATGTGATGTCTGCATGAAGCCTCAACTTCCTCACAATATGGCTTTAATGGTAAGGGGGAAAATAAGCATGTATATTTATAGCAGTAATATTTTTCTTATAGGAGAAATCACAGTCTAGTGCAACATTTCCATGTTACTCAGGCAACTAGGAAGGTTTTCTAAAAGGGCCAAGGTAGGTTTTCCCAAATTTTCCACATTTATGAGTATATAAAATACTGATGCCACTTTGACATACACTTTGGTAGCACTGTGTACATCTCTTTTTCACTATTTTTGTTGCCATTATATTAACTCATTTAGTGGCCATTTTTCCTGTTAAATCACAGGTTAATGAAATCCAGGATCAGGAATATTATTTACTGTAATATTTGAACTGTGTAATATAGTGTTTCATATAGATGGTGGTAAATAAATGCTTGAATTTGAATGAAAGAGTAAACCACAAGTTACTAGAAACAAATGACTATTTTCTTGAAGCACACATACAGAATAGATTAATTTGTTATTTTTCTGAAATCCCAGGGGGAAAAAGACGAATTTAAAATACTGCCTTCAAATATTAGCTTGAACCAAAGAAACCTAAGCACTAACTATATATGGGCTGAATTAATGGCCTGTATAGTTTCTTGATGTTTAATAACTAAGCCATGCAATAATTGTTGCATTTTTATTTATTGTAGAGCTGTTATATTAGATCACAAATAAAAGTAATTACTTATTTAGCTATTAATAAATGCCCCCAGGATCATTGTCAACGTATATGGAATAAAAATGAAATTAGATTTCTTACCATATACAACATGTAAAAAATAAATTCCTGATATAATAAAGACCTAAATTTGTAAGATGAAATCAAGACCTCATTTTTTAAAAGAATTTCATAAAGAAGACCCAAGAACAATTACAAATGAAAAGTTAGACTGTTCTACACATTAAAATAAGACTTTTAAAAACAAAGACACTATAAAACTAAGTAAAAACTGAGCACAGCAGGTGAGAGATGTTATCTGTAATACAGGCAACTAATAAGGATTAGAATTAAGAAAATATAAAGCATACTTGTAAATCAATATAAACAAACACAAATACAAAAACTAATAAAGAGATTTTAATAAAACTATCAAAGATGGATAATGCCCAAATGACCAATAAATGTATAATAGCATGTAAGCATTAACAAGCTAAATTGTGATATCATTTCACAACCAAGCATTTGGCACACATTAAGAAGTCTGATAATATAAACTATTGAGAAAGATTTGGAGAAATTGTAACTATCGTTTACTTCTACGGAAGTTTGATTCAAGCTTTAAAAAAAATTCTAATTACCTGGAAATATTTAAACTCAATGACACAAGTAATTCTACTCGTAGATATATATGGCAGCAAAATCTTGTACAAATTCACCAAGATAGGGAAGCAAAGATTTTTTAATATCAAAATAAAAGAAACCACAAATCCATCAACAATATAATGCAGAAATAAATTAGGGTTGTATTAGTCCATTCTAATGCTGCTAACAAAGACATACTCCAGACTGGGTAATTTATAAAGGAAAGAGGTTTAATTGATCACAGCTCAGCATGGCTAGGGAAGCCTCAGGAAACTTACAATCATGGTGGAAGGGGAAGCTCATGTCCTTCACATGGTGGCAAGAGAGAATCATGAAGCATTTTCATGATTCTATTACCTCCCACCACATCCCTCCCATGACATGTGGAGATTATGGGAACTACAATTCAAGATGAGATTTGGGTGGGCACACAGCCAAACCATATCATTAGTCTAATAATTAGATACTGCAATATCACACAGTAGAAAAAAATGAATAAATTATGTGGAGCAACATAAGTGAATTTCCAGAATTTTATGTTGAGTAGAAATATACAACTTTCAGAAGTATACAATGATTTCATCAATATAAAATTAAAAAATATCCAACAATAATCAATATCTTGTTTAAAAATACAAATAAAATTATTTTAAAAATAGTGATAAACAGAAAAATTAGATAAATGATTAATCCAAAAAGGAAGAGCTATGGATGGGATTGGTGAGGGGTACCAAGTAAATGATGATGTTCATTTCCTAACTGACTGATGAGTACATAGTTGTTTGTTGTATTGTGATTCTTTTTCCTTATATGTATTTTATAAGAATTATTTTGTATCTACTCAACATTAAATAGAAAGTTCCAAAACAAACAAAAGGTATAGCATATACATATTTTCTTTTAATTGGCCTCAAACTTGTGAAGTCTACAACATGATTTCCATTATTATCTTCTACCAATGGAAAGAGGGTGTGTTGGTTTCCTGTGGCTACTGTAACAAATTACCACAAATTTGGTCACTTAAAACAACAAAAATTTATTCTCACAGCTCTGGAGGCCAGAAGTCCAAAGTTAAGGTGCCGGCAAGATCCCATTTCCTCTGCAGCCTCTGGGGGACACTATGTCTTGCTTTGTCTAGCTTCTGGTGACTGTTACCATTCCTTGGAAGTTTGTGGCCACATTATTCCAATGTCTGTCTTAGTCTTCATATCATCTTGTGTGTCTGTCACTTTGTCTGTTTAAGGATACACAATGATCTTAAACACAATCATATTTTGCCATATACAGTAATATTCATTTTTATACCATGTAAAGTCATATTTACAGATTCTAGAGATTGAGACATAAACATACATTTGGGACCACTGTTCTGTACATTACAGTGTGGGATATATTTTATTATCTGTTCATCTCTTTAAGTTTCATGACGTGATCCAAATGACTTGATAGATTATTTCAGAGTTAATGAAACTAAGTCAAGAATAACATCCTTAAAAATAGAAACTACTATTTTTTTCTTATACAAAAATGCTGTCTTAGAGCAAAAGGGCTACTGTACAGTATAGAACCTGATATTCAAATAGGACTTTTTGACAAAGAATGATTACTTTGTTGAACGATGTACAGATAACATACTAATTGTGGGAAATAGCATTGACTAGAAACATTTTAGTCTGTTAAATTGACCATTCATTACTACATTTAACAGTAGCAGAGATGCGAGGTTTAAACCTCATATTCCCTTGATGCTCCCATGTGATAGTCTATATTAGTTCCTAATAAAAATATTTCACACATTTTCCCTTGAGAAAAGCTTTATTACATAACGGTGCCATAAAGTTATGGTTACCAGAAATAGAAAGAGACATATCAGAACTGTTTTGGGCTGTGCTTCACTAAGTACAAAGGAAGGTAAAATTCAATTTGGGCCAGGTTTCTAAGAGAACATTACTGAGAAAGAAGTGTGAAAAGAAAAATAAAGAACCATAAAACATATTTTGACAGTTCTCCATGAAAAACCATAGTAGAGCAGTAAATGTCTGCCTCTTTATAAGGTGTCAGTATTTTACAAAATTCTATTAAGATAAAATACCCACATCAGAGGGAAAACAAGACAGTGAAAGGATCTTTTTCTGAAACAGAAAAAATCAGCATTAAATCATTGGAAAGTGTTGCAAATCCCATTTATTTTTCTCCACATCTCTTGTATATCAGGGATTTGTCCATTCCATTCAGAATTCAAAGTAAATACAGACTGTCTGCATTTTATTATATAATGCCTTGTCATGTTGACAAGTTAATAGGGTTGGTCCTGAGAATATTATAAGGAAAGAATTTCATCTTTTTCAGGGTGACAGCATTCTTTATTATCTAGTCTATCCCAAGCCAAGGACAATGAATCATAAGTGCTGGTATGCTAAAGCAAATTCTGCCATATACAGTGTGCTCTGCGCTCTTTGGAACCAAATTGGCAGTACTGAGAATGTCAATAACCACAGCTGGCAGCTTTTTGCATCTTTTCTACATTACCTTAGACAATTGTGATTTAGAAGAATAGGACAATCATGTTTTTAAGGGCCTTATAGTGGACATCACCATATCTGAATGACTCCTAGTACACTTTCCAGACCTTCGAATGCCTCTGCCTGATGACTGTTTCTCCTGGGATTTTAGAAACTGGTATTCTTTTGCTGTTCTTCCTATACAAAAAGCATGAAATACTGAGAAAACATTCTCCAAGGGCATCCCTCAAACTATGGCTCTTGAGAATTGGTGCATTATAGAGCAATTTTCTTGGCCCTTTGGACATTTGGACATTTTCCCAGATTTCCCCCATAACAGTAAGCTTCAATCATCTACTGGATAGCATATGGCCTTCCTCTCCTTATATTACCTTCTCAGCTCCCATCAGGGATCCTCATACTTTCCAATAAACTACTTACACTCAAAACCTTATCTCAGGGTCTGTTTTTATGACAATCCAAACTAAGACAGGCTTTACTTTCTAGGTGAGGACACAAGAAAAATCTTCAGAACATAAGAAAAAGTGAAATAGAAAGTAGAACAGAGATGGTTAGTACACAGATCTAACATCATTTCCATATCAGGTTTCACCACATTCTATATTTGATGGTTTGTGATGTAGTTTGAATATAGGTTCCTGCCAAATCTCATGTTGAATTGTAATCCCAATGTTGGAGACGGGACCTGGTGGGTGGTGTTTCAGTCGTGGGGACAGATCCCTCATGGCTTGGTGCTGTCCTAGAGATAGTGCATTCTCACAAGATCTGGTTGTTTTAAGTGTGTGTTTGCTAACCCCCAACTCTCTCTCTCGCTGCTCCTCCCACTTTGCCTTCTGACATGATTGGAAGCTTTCTAAGGCCCCACCAGAGGCTGATGCTGGTACTATGCTTCCTGTATAGCCTGAAGAACAGTGAGCCAATTAAATCTCTTTTCTTGTAAATTATCATCTCAGGTATTTCTTTATGCCAATGTAAGAATGGCCTAACACAGCTTGTAAACTAAATTTTTGTGGTACAAAATTTCATCACATGACACCCTGTTGTTCACTATGAGACATTCACAGTAATATAATTTCAATTCCTGCAATATTTCAAGTGCTTTCTAGACTCAGAGCCAGTATACACAATGAATTTTCTCCCCTTTTTTACAAGCTTGATTTTCATGAGATTTAACTTAAATGTTGTGACAGACAAAGTAATGGTCTACCAAATGTTCACATCGTAACCTTAAGAAGCTGTAAATATGTTATCTTATATGGCAAAAGGAGTTAGGAGATCTAATTAAGTTAAAGATTTTGAGAAAGGGGATTATCCTGGATTATTATATGAGCCTGATGTAACCACAAGGATGTTTATAGATGAAAAGGGAGATAGAGATGAATTTGATTATAAGAGGTCAGAATGATTCAATGTGAAAACTCAACCTATATTCAATGGTGCTGAAAGTGGAAGAAGGCAGCCATAAACCAAGGAATGTGGGCAGTGTCTAGGAGCTAGAAAATATGAGGAAATGGATTCTTGCCTATAGCAAAGAGAAAAACAGCCCTGGTGACACTTTGATGTTCACTGAGACATTTTTGGATTTCTGAACTTCACAAGTGTGAGAAAATATGTATTGTTTTAAGCCACTAAATTTGTGGTTGTTACAGAAGAAACAGGGCACTAATACAAATGCCAGTCTTTCAAAGAACCATTCTCTGATGACCCTATCTGGTAAAAGGTCAGCTCTGCCTTACCACCACCATTCCCAGCACCTCCATTATTCTGCCACATAGATCTATTGTCTGTTTCCTATGTTACACATATTGCAGTGTGTAATTTCTTACTATTGTAAGCTCCAAGTGAGCAGAAATCTCACTGGTCTTCATAATGTTTACATCTCTAGCCCCTAGAGAAATGCCACACACAGATGGGCATTGAATGGATATATATTTAAATGACTAAATGACTAACTGCAATAAATAAAACATTTAATTTTTTATCAAGTCTAGAACTGTGTTAATGGATTTTGTTAGAATTAAAATAATTTGGGTTTCTCCATCCCTTAAATTTGACAACAAATCTGTTCAAGCGTTAAATTTAGAATAGTCCATGAAACAAATATACAAGTGTTTGACAAGGACTGTGATCTTAATGAGCTAAAAAATGATTCAATACAGAAAAGCAGATTTGTGTCATAAAGATAATTCTAAAACCTTTACTCTGTTACATAAAACTAAGAACCATTTAACAGTAATATACTAAATGAAATAGACTTTGGTATTTTTATAATAAAATCAATCTACTAAGAGGATTTCCTGAGATCTCTTTATCAGGTTTCTACCAGAAAATGTTATAGACACAGAATGTTTTAAATAGTTGTAACCTTATGGAAAGATATTATATAGTATTTGTGTATATCAGTGTTGTCTTTAGTTTTCTATGATTATCAATTGCTATTTTTGTTGCTTTCTAATTTTTGCTAGCCTAATTTTATTAAGAATTATTTCCTCAAATGTTAATCATTGAGAGTTATTTACTCCGGAATTTTTTATGAGTCACACAAGAGTCAGGTGTTGCCTATGTTGTATTTCTTTCTTCCATGTAAATTGGTATTATTTAACTTGCAACATACCATCAAGATTAATAAAAGTATAGTTTTGTGTTCATAAGAAAGGTTTAAGAAAATTTTTTATTCCTCCAGGTTTGTTCTTTTCTAGTTATTTGCTACTACCAAACTTTGTTTCTACCAGAAATAAAAAATGAGTGTAGTAAATTAGTCATGAAGATATTGCCTTTGTTTCAACTAAATGACTTCTGGGGGTGATGAAAAGGAAACATAATGTAAACAATTCCCTAAAGAAAACAAAATACAAACTGAATTCATTCTCTGTAGCCACAGTGCAATATCTGTAAGCATTAGTTAGTAATCAAAGCCATAACATTTTTTGAATCACTAATAAGCACAATGTCCAGCAAATACTAGATACATAATACACATTAAAATGGTTTTTGCATTACTAGAATGAGTAACATGGATGTGAATTCTCATTACACAATTGTTGTAATTGCTAGAACTGTTTGTACAAGAATCTGGAGCATTCTAGTTATATTTTAATACATTTTAAGAACAATTTTAAAGTGTAACTATTTTTGTGGGGTGACAGGTAGCTGGAAAAACACTTGAGGAATTGTAGACAGTTTTGACATGGCATTACTCTCTCTCTGGGTGTGAGTAAGCCTGGGCACAAGCTGTATGTATAGTGTTAGCAGGGTAATTATACCTCTTACAGACAATAGTGGCTCCAAGCCAATCATGAGCTCACGTGTATGATCGCCTAATGTGCCTCACATGGTTACATAATGTGCAGAGTTGTGTGCCTGTGCTCCAAACCCGCTGAGTCATGCTATGCCAGAAAGCCACCTTGGCCTACTCCTGGCTAAACTGCAGTCATTTCCCTTGCACTCCACTCCCTAGGCCAAGGGCATTCTCCAGGCTGGGACACATGCCCATAGGGTGAAGCCCTGAATCCATAACCCACAACAATAATACAGAGAACAACAGGTCACTGCTAGGATCCCAGCTATGCTATTATTAGGGCCCAGCATAGGCCAGAGCCTAGGGATGCCCACCATCTCTGCAGGGATTTGTGAGTAAGGCTCTCAACCACCTTAATCTCCCATGAGACCCCTTGTAGGGCTGCTGTTATGTTCTGCCCATGGTCAGGGATAAAGGTATAACACTGTGTTCCTACAAGGGCACAGGTGCCTCCTTGGGCAGCAGTTATTATGTCTAAGGCTATTCGATTTTGCAACACAACATTTCTGATCTGATCAACCTCACCTGTTAACAGGACAAGGGCCACTGGAGTGTAATTCAGAGCCCAAGCAATGTGCTCTGCAAGAGTAGTAACTTGTGCTTCTATAGTTATGAAACATTACCAAGGGGTAGAACCACCAGGGGGCTCATTGCATTCAATAAAACCAAGAGCACAGCTCCTCCTAGTTATACAGGTGTCTGGCAATGTAGGGAGAACAGTGGCAGATAAATAAGGCCATCCCCAGGGACAATATCCAGTCCAGTCCACTGGTAGGTAAGGCCACCCTGTGTCCTCAGAGACCCATAAACTCCCAGGGGGCACAAAATCCATCAGGGCCTGGCCTTGGTGGGGCTGCTTGTTCCACCATACCTTCAGTGTGATGACATGTGTTATGTTTACACAGGCTGTGACAGATACCTATCCCACAGGGGTGTTACCCCAGTGTCGCTGTATGCGCTGCAGTGCATGGGCTTGGGGTATTACATGTGCCCCCGCTAGCCAGTCCCACCCATCATAAACGCTATGGGCCAGCCGTGGGGAAGGCACACTGTGGGTCTTACAGCATCCTTTGTCCAGAGCTTGTCCAGGCATCAGCCATGGGACCCCAGTCTCCAGCCATGTCCAGTCCTCTGAAGACGCTGAATGTATGTGCCAAGGCAAGCCTTCTGCAGCTGGTACTGGAAAGGCAGGGCAGATCTAACAGATGGAAACATTGGCCACCTCAGCATAGTTGTGGGCCCAGTCCAAATGCAGTTGGAGCATGTTAATCTATGGTCAAAATGACAGAGGAAGCACAGGTACTAACAGAGGTAAATCACATCCTTCAGGCAAAATAAAGGCTAACCTTTTATATTAGTCCATTTTCAAGCTTCTGATAAAGACATACCTGAGACTGGAAAGAAAAAGAGTTTTAATTGGATTTACAGTTCCACATGGCTGGGGAGGTCTCAGAATCATGGTGGGAGGTGAAAGGCACTTCTTACATGGCAGTGGCAAGAGAACATGAGGAAGAAGCAAAAGTGGAAACCTGTGATAAACCAATCAAATCTCATGAGACTTTTTCACTATCATAAGAATAGCACAAGAAAGACTGGACCCCATGATTTAATTACCTCCCCCTGCATCCCTCACACAACACGTGGGAATTCTGGGAGATACAATCCAAGTTGTGATTTGGGTAGGGACACAGCCATATCACCTCTCATCTCTGGATAACAATGCAGCCACCAAAGGCTTTTGCCCTGGGCAATGGTACCACACCTTTTCAGCTCCCCATGGTTCCTTTGAGTCCTGTATGTGTGCCAAAGTCACAGGGGAGCTCATAATAGGCCACACAGGCAGTACGTTTGTTCCTCAGAGGAGGGTTTCTTCCCTGGCCCATTTCCCTATGAACAGTCAACCGTGGGGGCCATGTATTGAACACCCAAGGAGTGACATGCGAGTCATACTGTAGGCCCTCCCCCCAGTGAGCTACAATAGCCAAGCACCGGCAGTGGGGTGCCTGGAGTGTCCATGGCCACAGCCAGGTTTTCTGTAACCCTGCCTTCAGGGGTGTTGTGACAGGCAACAACAGGTTACCATTTGTCCCCATACCTGGTGGGAGGTGGTCATCCTTGGTATGTATCTGCAAATGAATGGGGGTGGTGGCCTAGTGTAACAAAGCCTCCACTGGGGCTGGCCTATCTTTCTGTGGCTGTTCATTCAAGGTTTGGAGCAGTAGGTCCAGCCTGGAACTCCAGCCCCACCAAGATGGGGAGTGGCATGCAAGTGTAACCCATTCTTCAACAGGCTGTAATATCACTCATTCATACCTGCAGCTTGTGGGTTGTATGGCATTTTATGTCCACTTGTTGTGCCCATTGTTGTACCAGTTATCCAGTGAAATGTGTTTCACTATCACTCTCAATGGACAGAGGGCAACCATACAGGGCACGTAAGTGTTGTAGGACTCGAATGGTATGATGTTGGTCGGCCGCCCTGCAGGGGTAGGCGAACAAGCCTGTGGCCACGTCTACAGCTGTTAACACATGCATATACCCTTGTGACTTCAGCAGTGGCCCGATGTAGTCTACTTGCCACCTGGTCAAGGGCACTCACCGTATTGTTACTCATTGTGTAACACTGGGCTGCTGCCTCCATTTAGGGTATGCCTGAGCACATGCTTGGCATTTCTGACAAGCCTCCCAAAGGTCTTGCTTGGTCAGGGACAGACCCCAACACTAATTGACCTGTTGCATAAGTTTAATTCCCATATGTCCCAATTTCTGGTGTAGCCACAAGGCCACATCTCGTGTTGGTGCTGACTCTAGCCATTGGAACTTGGCCAAGGCATTTGCCTTATCATTGTTGGGGTTGCAAAAAAGCATATGGCCTGGCACATGATAAATAATTACCTCTTTCTGATGGCCCATTTTCCAGAGGTCTTGCCACATGGCCTGGCCCCAAATGAGTCGGTGGCCAACTAGCTACTTCTGTATTTTCCAGGTACTTAACCACAAGGTTAAGCTTTGATAGACTGCCCAGTTATCAGTACAGATTACCAAAGGTGTCACCTCCTTGGTGATCACCATCCATACTACTCTAAGTTCAGCCCATTGGCTACTTTGTCCACACCCAGTTTCAAACCATATGGTGTCAGTAGTAGACTGGACTGCAACAGTGGTCCAGGCAGCAGTAGCACTGAGGCAGAGCCATCTGTGTACCATGCCCCATTGGGAATGTGGGGATTCCCTTCCTTAAACAGTGAAGGCTCAGGGTCTAGTGGTGCCTCAGGCCCCATGGCCTTATCTTGCATTAGGAATACAGGTCTCAATACATTGGTTATTTTTAATATTGTTTTAGATATTGTCTTATTGTCTCCTTTGTTCTTTCCCTGAAAAACTAGAAACGATTAATTTACTGTCAAAAAAAACTATTTACAATAAAGAAAATATTTGAAACTATTATCTGAACAAATAATGAATATACTAAATCTAATGGCTAGAGGATATTAATTAGTAAATCAGTAGTAATATGTTTCACTTATAAAATACCTGATATTACATGAAATTTAAGATGTAAAATGCCTTGCATCATAAATTGATCATTTTAGTGTTGAATAGGTATGTCTGCTTGCTGCACTCATCAAAGGATATGAAGCACACTGATCCACAGATAAACGAGCTTAGACAATGGACAATTTTGAAAACATTGTCTCATCAGTGGGCTGGGGTTCATCCACCACTACTTAATATTATTTTTTCCTGACCCTTACAATCTTTGTTTATGTGGCCTTGCTTTGCTCTTAACCCTCTTTGTTCCTTTATGCAATTATGCCTTACACTCTTCCACACAGCACAGTCTTTTGTCAAAATGTTATCCAAATAATAGAATTCCATTTGCTTCCTCTGGAGTACCCACATCTGCAGACTGTCCGTGTATTTCTCACTTAGCAACTCTGTCTTATTCCCTTCCTTGCCTGGCAGGTATAACAAAGTGTTTTAAATACACCATGGCTTTTCTATTTCCATTTCAAGCATACACAGTTAAATATAAACTTTCTTAGAAATTGTCTTGATTTTAATGATCTTACCTGAAATGTATTACATATTTCACTTAATCATTTTAGCATATTAACAATGTTTTGTTATTCAATATTAAGGCACATGTGTACATGTATATATGCATTCCTTGAAAATCAATACATAACAAGCAGCATTACTTTGACAGTACAAAAAAGCATGGCAGAAATACATGAAGCATATTCTAAAAATTCATTAGAGCTGTTCTAGTTTCAGCTCCAACATGTAAAGATTTTAGAATTCTTTACTTCCATCCTTACAATAAAAAAGCTATGACTTTGCAAAGGCCCATTAAAGAACTAATGTCATAGGCCAAATGCCACTCCAAAATCTGGAGAGAGAGGGGCATCCAAAGAAATAAAGCAACTGAAAGTTGCTTACCTGGAGCAGAAACCTGTGGAAACAAAAACTTGAAGAAAAATAGTAATTTTGATAATTGATGGAGGCTGAGTATGGACTACAACGGGAATGGGGCTGTAGTCTTAGAATAACCTATATTTTGATGGACTCTCCTTCCAAGAACCCTTCCAGATTTTCATTATGAGGAGCCAAAAAGATCTCCTTGCTGTTCTGGCAGAATGAGGGAAAAGAGTAACCTTCTCATGAAATACTTCCAAAGTCTCCTCTAGACAAAATCCTACTTTTTACGAGAAAAAAAGTATGCCAGATCACAATTCTGAAACCCTATCTCAACTGGGAGAAAGGGATTCCTATCTACATACCCACAAAAATTAAAAATAAAAGAATTTTTTAAAAAACAAACAGATATTCTTCAGGGAATATTTAGATTAAATAAAAATAAAAATTACTAAACTATCTCAAAAAAGAAGTTGGAGTGATGCTGAGGAGGGGAGAGTAAATTATAAAAGATCTAATACTGAGGGTGGAAAGGAGAGAATGAGGAGACAAAGACTGAGTCACACCTATTGCCCAGTGACAGTGCCAGCCCCCACATAGCTTCCTAGATGACAGAAAGATGATCAGATATATGTGTCACCAAACACCAGAGCAAGGAGTAAGTCTCCTTGCTCACCACAGAGAAAGCCAATCACTGAGACGATGTGTATTGCTAAGAAATAAAGTTTTATTATATTACCAGTGACATCAGCCAAAGAGACAGGAGTCAAACCTCAAATCCATCCCCACTCTTCAACTAAGTTAAGTGTTTTTATAGCAGGGAAGGAAAACAGGAGGAGCAGGGTGAAGAGTTGATCAACAGGAAGCAGATGACCAAATGTAGGGTCAAGCACCTCATTGCAACTATGTGTGGTAAGATAGGAATTAGTAGGGTGAAAGGAAGAGAAATTGGCCAAACAGACTACAGGCACATCTCATTGAGTGTAGTGATCTAAAAGCCTCAGCTCCTTGATATCATACAGAAGGCCTGATTGTCAGTTTCCTGAAAAAAGATGTAAGGTTAAAATTGGGCTGGTTTCAGTCTCCCCTTTTACTTATCAATTTCTCCATCATGGCGAATAAGGTCATCAACTTTTTTGCCTGGTTCATGCTAGGGATGGGTATCATGGGATAATTGACTTAGCTAGAGTCCTTGTCTGAGTTCTAAATATTAATTTAAGGCCATTCAAGGATTCACAAGACCATGGCTATCCCCTGGAGGAGTCCCAGAGGAGCAGGTTTTACCCAAGCAGTGAATCCATGGCTTAACACTGCCTAACTTGACAGATGAGTGGGTGGTCAGCAGCACCGAGAAGGGGCTGACCCTGTTGTTGCAGACGACCTTCAGCCTGGTGGATTTCCAGGTCTTCAGCAGGACTTGTTCCCCGGGTTTCAGAGTGAAGAGGCACATCCATAGGGAACTGGAGTCTTTTGGAAGCAAACTCAGAGAGACTAATTAATGTGTTTCATAGTTTTTTTTATATATAATCTAGCTTGTTTCAGAGGAAGAAAAATCCTTAAGTGACAGGTATTCCACGAGACAGAGAAATGATCTCTCATACAACATTTCAAAGGGGTTAAGAGCCAACCCACTTCTGGGTGATACTCATTCTCGGCAGGGCAAGAGGCAAGATTTTTATGTGTAAGATTTGTTTTTTGGCATATTCTAGAAAGATTTCTTTAATGTCTTACTCATTCTTTCAGTCTTTCCAGAAGATTGCACTCTCCAAGATGAACATAGTTTTTAATTAATACTCAATAGCTGTGATAATTCTGGAGCTACTTGAACTACAAAAGTGGCTCCATTTTCACATTGGAGACAGGAATTATCTCCTTCATTAAAGGCTTTACTTTGATGGCTTTGGTAGCTTTCTCAGTCCTGATAGGGTAAGCCTCAATCAGGCCTGTAGAGGTCGAGTCAGTTGTTGTATCTAACGACAAAGGAAGGGGGTATAATGAGGCATGTTTGACTTCTTATCCCATCGTGGCTGGGAACTCAGTTGTAAGGTTTTTCTGGGGTTCTGTTGGCCACAAGTAGGTCCACTTAGTCAGTGGCAGAGGGACTTAGGATTTTATTTTTACTTTGTATTTCCCCCTCTTGGCCAAGATTTGCCAGAGTCAGCATCAATGGCTAAGGTTTTATTTTGTCCCATATCATTGCCAGGTGGTGTGGCTACCTCCCCCAGGTCTATCCTGGCCCTTAGTAGAACCCCTATGGCCAAAAGACTTATCCCAATTAAATGTCCTAGGTCAGACAAGAATGGAGATGGGCAGGTATTCATTAACCCTTAAAACCTTTTAAGCAACATAAAAGCCAAAACACAGAATTCAAAAAGTAAGTTTACAGAATTGATTTCTAGTCTTAGATACTGACTTGTAGCAATTATTTATACAAAACATAAGCACTTTGTTAGACTCATTTGAGTTAAGGAATGTAGAGAGGCAAACTTCCTTAATTTGTCAGCTATTTAGGCATTTGTGTGCCTGAACACAATTGATTTGGAGGGCCTGAACTAATTTTATCCCTCAAAATCAGCCCTTAAGATCCTCCATAATAACCTCTTCCAATGGGACTGGAGGGATTGAAGTTTTAGTTTCTGGCCCTGTGTCTCATTAAAGTAGTTTGATTGTCATCTTCTCCTGGGTTTGAAGAAGAGGCTTTGGCTGGTGTCAATGTTCAACATTTAGCAGGAGTTGGTGCCATTTTTCAGACCCAGGAGTCAAATCCTATTACAACACAAGGATTAGTTGATAAGATGTTTATCAAAGATGTTGAAAGCCTCAAAACATTTGCTCAAAATGGAATCACAGGTCATTACAAAATAATATTCATTTAACCAAAGTGATAATCAAAAGACTTTAAGAGCAATATAGAAATAAAATTACAGTAAAAGAGCACTCTATTGATAATGTGTGAGCAGAAACTTATCTTACAGCAAAGTAGTCTATCTACAATATAAATGATCAAGTATAATATAGGCACTTATGCTAAGAACAGAAGCCAATGTTCAACGAATATTTAGACATAACATTTAGAAATTAGTGGTTCAGTTTACTAATACTACAGAAAGCCCTATTATTCTAACACATCACAAATTGAACACTAGTTTCACATCTAGTAGTTATTGCCTGCAGCACATCAAACCATTGTATTAAAGTGGTTAGATTACTCTTTGCTTATGTCCAATTGCTAGCATTCTAGTAACAGAACTGTTCTTTAATTTTTGGCCAGGAAACTTAAAGCTCTTACGGCTCTCTATATTATCAGATGTAAACCAAACCAATCCATTTTTAAGTGGCTGGTACACTCTATCATTTATTGACAAAAGTAGCTTATGTTTTAAATGAACAGAAAATAATGAATTGTTGGAAATTATTAGGAAGCAAAATGACTATTCAGAGAACCAAATAAAAGCCTTCCACTAGAAACTAAACAGTTACTTTATGTATGTATATCCAAGTAAAACCGAAAGAAGAGCAAATAAATGTGAATTAAAAGCAAAAAACAAAGTCAACCTTAAATTTTCTTCTCCTTAATTTACCTTCGATTTGCATATTTCTTCTTTTTTTATTTTTTAATTTTTTAATTTTTTTTATTTTTTTTTATTATTATTATACTTTAAGTTTCAGGGTACATGTGCACAATGTGCAGGTTAGTTACATATTATACATGTGCCATGCTGGTGTGCTGCACCCATTAACTCATCATTTAGCATTAGGTATATCTCGTGCTAACCCTCCCCCCTCCCCCCACCCCACAACAGTCACCAGAGTGTGATGTTCCCCTTCCTGTGTCCATGTGTTCTCATTGTTCAATTCCCCTCTATGAGTGAGAACATGAGGTGTTTGGTTTTTTGTCCTTGTGATAGTTTACTGTGAATGATGGTTTCCAATTTCATCAATGTCCCTACAAAGGACATGAACTCATCATTTTTTATGGCTGCATAGTATTCCATGGTGTATATGTGCCACATTTTCTTAATCCAGTCTATCATTGTTGGACATTTGGGTTGGTTCCAAGTCTTTGCTATTGTGAATGGTGCCGCAGTAAACATACGTGTGCCTGTGTCTTTATAACAGCATCCTTAATTTACCTTCGAAGCTACAGTGTTACCCAGAGCTTTACACACACACACACACACAAAAAAAAAAAAAAAAAAAAAAAAAAAAAGATTAGTATCTTTAAATCTACCAACACCATCATACACTTTGTGAAATTAAGATAATCACTTCAGGCACATAACCAGTAAGCACCTTAGTGTTAATACTGTATGCAGAATAGCAAATATCATGTGAAACAAAGAAATGCAAGCATTTGTGAAATTTGGCTCCACGCTAAATCTGGCTTCATGCTCAACTATTTTAAAGAATTACCAAACTGCCAATGTATTTCTTCACAATATCTACTTCACCTTCATTTTTAACTATGAGCAATATTAATTAGCCAAATATCTCCAGTTTTCTATTAATATTTTGTTAACTTTTTAAATGTTTTATTTTCCCTGTATGTGCATGAAGGCAGACATACAGAAAAACAAACAAACAAAAAAAACTACTTATGACTTACACAGACCATCTATAACATGTTTGGGCCTTCAGTTTTGTCCTGAATTTTCTCTTCATTTTACTTTAGGATAAGAATTTACCAAGATCCTTTCTCCTACAAAATTATCCTCCTTTCTTTATAACCTTCCTTACCAAAAATACATTATCATGTATCGATAACTTTCTTCATCTCTCTCCCCTACTTACTGGTTCCTAGCTTGTTTCACAAATAACCTTTCAAAGTCCATTGTTTAAATTAACCTTTAGTAACTTCTCAACGAGACAAAGTTATTCTTTCAATAAGGACACATTTTTTTTGGCACATCTTATTTACAGGATTATGTGTAAACTAGAATTCTTTGTCTCAATAACCTTAAATTTCAGTGAAGACCTGGGAAGTGAGAAATCCTGAACTGTCAATCTGGTATTAGCATTTTATAGATGAGAATATTGCACAATTTTTAAAAAAGGTTTCCCCATGTCACAATCCTTTCTTAATTGGAAATGACCTAAACATTCACTAAGCATCCAAAAATAACTATGATTTTAAATTATAAAAGTTCACCTACAAACATTTGCCCATCTGCATGTACTCAATTTTTCACTTTTTAACAGTTTATCTAGATTACTTCTGAGAACAGATGTTAGACAAAGCTAGTCATCATTTCAAGTTGTTTCCTTGTTAACCATTTTTATAGCCTGTGAATATCAGGTAACAACCTTAAAGTTAAAGGTATTTTCACCAATAACTCAGAAGATTCAGCCGTTTCTATTAAATCAACAACATTAGTCTTATTTGTCAAAAGATAACACAAAGATCATTTTATTCTTGGCTGAGTTTACAGTCTTATAACCTTTGGGGCCAAATCCTACACCTTAAAATACCCAACAGAGAGAGATATAAAGTCCAGACAAAAATGTATGCAGATAATTCTGAAGACAATTCTATTTTTATTTTACCAATTATCTTAAAGCCAGCTTGTTTAAAGGTATACTTAACTTATATGAACTTGAAAAGTACTTGCACATATTTAATCTATGTGCACTCTTTTATTTATAAGCCAATTTGGTACCTTGTAAAAACAACACATAACACCCAAACATATAGGCACACATACAAAGATCAAATAGCTTTTACCTTGGAACTCTAGCCATGAGATACTAATACAAACTCATTGGTTTATGAAAGTGTTCACCTGGCTAAACTTTGTTTGCCTTGATAGATAATCTAATAAAGGCTGCAAACCAGAATTTTAGGTAAAGTGGTTTCCATGGAAGTTTGACTCTTTTCAAAGCCAAACCTCCCCAGACTCCAAAGAACACTGGAGCCAAACAGCACCACAGAAGAACATCATGTACTAACCAGGTCTGGCCCTGCTCAGAACAACAGCGTATAATCTGGATACATGGAATTCCCACCTGCTTTTTCATTCAACAGCAAAATGAAGATGGCATTACAATTCAAAGACCTTCCAAGATTAGATGACACCGGGTGTGTTCAGGGTGGTATGGCCTAGCCATGGCAAAAAAAACTACGTTCAGATCAACCCTGAAGATAGGTTGGATTTCTAGCCCAGCCTGCACTCTCAAATAGAACTCCAACCCCCCTACAACTACGTTGACACACACACAAAACAATCAACAAAATGCAACCCAACTGCTGCAGCAACACACAAGCCCTGAGAGTGTCCACAATGAAACGGTCGGGGTGCTTCCTCTCTCTGTTGGTTAGGCTTGTTCAACTTGCAAACAGAAAATCCTTTAAAATTTCCCAAGTTTTTGGGAACAGCAGAGCCCGCTGTCTGGGCCCACAAAAGACACTCACCTATCTAGATGTAGATGTTCTTCCAAGGCAATCAGGAACATTGCTGGGGTCCTCAGCGGCAGGGTCAAAGAGAAACAGAAACACACCTCTGGCCAAAAATGATGGGGCCAGTTTCAACTCAATCAGCAATATTATAATATATGGAATGAAACATGATAAATAATACATACACATTAAATACAAAAATATGTATTATATATAATTTGCCGTGCATCACATAACTATATAACATGTATATCTATTTAAAATATGCATACATATAGTTTTGTGTACACACATATATGTGAGGAGTTACTTTATGGAAGAGAAAAACAGTTTTATTCAATCATGCTTAAGTATGCAAAATAATAATAGTAATGAATACCTGTGTCTGGATGGACATAGTGTTTATAAAAGCCTAGCATTTAAGCCATGTTATGTCTATTGCCATTCCATAAATGCAGTCATTGAAAATTGCAAAATAGATAAAAATTTCTCATATGTAAGGAGATGAGGTCTGTTGAACTGTGAACTGTGAAATAACCTCTTATATTAAAAACTGCTTCCAAATAGCTATTATAAACCAAACATTTTTAGTTATAATATTCAAGCTGCAATAGGAATCTCATTCTCTAAGTGTTTGCTAGCTTTGGTATCAAATTCAGAGTGATGTTCACTGCCCTTATCTATTACTTTTGTTCTACACAATTATAAAATTGTTTTTAAAAATATTATTTTCTTACCTAATGCCCAGTGTTACAAAAGAACGAATGATGATAACAAAATTTTCCTTTGTGAGACCAACTTAATTTAATATTTAAGGTTTATTTTTAATTATATTTTAAGTTCTGGGATACATGTGCAGAACGTGTAGGTTTGTTACATAGGTATACGCGTGCCATGGTGGTTTGCTGCACCCATCAACCCGTCATCTACATTAGGTATTTCTCCCAATGCTATCCCACCCTTAGCCCTCCAGCCCGTGACAGGACCCAGTGTGTGATGTTCCCTTCCCTGTGTCCTTGTGTTCTCATTGTTCAACTCCCACTTATGAGTGAGAACATGCGGTGTTTTGTTTTCTGTTCCTGTGTTAGTTTGCTGAGAATGATGGTTTCCAGCTTCATCCATGTCCTGCAAAGGACATGAACTTACCCTTTTTTTACAGCTACATAATATTCCATGGTGTATATGTGCCACATTTTCTTTATTCAGTTTATGAACAGACACTTCTCAAAAGAAGACATTTATGCGGCCAACAAACATGAAAAAATGCTTATCATCACTGGTCATTAGAGAAATGCAAATCAAAAACACAATGAGATACCATCTCATGCCAGTTAGAATGGCACTCATTAAAAAGTCAGGAAACAACAGATGCTGGAGAGGATGTGAAGAAATAGGAACACTTTTACACTGTTGGTGGGAGTGTAAATTAGTTCAACCATTATGGAAGACAGTGTCGCAATTCCTTGAGGATCTAGAACCAGAAATAGCATTTGACTCAGCAATCCCATTACTGGGTATATACCCAAATGATTATATTTAAGGTTTTATAACCAAGCACTTACTCACTGTTTTTCCTTGTATGAGCATCTGCAAGCTAAACAGTGATGACAAAGGAAGTAACTCTTAGAAAGAATTAATGTTGTTTCTCTCTATTGTTTCTGTCACAGCATAAGCGAAGCAATATTTACAAATATTTACTCAACTTTTTGGGAAGAAGGAGACAACTTCTTGGCAAGCAACTTACATTTTCATTTAAACAAGTGGATTTATTTTAGCTCAATTCTAAGAATCTTTTCCTGAAAGATAAAGTTTTTATTTAAAATTATATAAGTAGCAGAAATAGCCAGTATAAATTTGAGTAGATAATTATATCATCCACCAATGGGAGAATAAATACATATGATATAGCTATAGCACCGTGGAAATTTCTACACACAATAAATAGAAGAATATTAAATTTTTGTGAGAAACTAAAAAAATGGCTAATCGAAAAACAGCAAATCGCAGAGTGAAATATACAGCATAGATCCAATTTTTCAAGAAAATTAAAATGTATGGGGAAGACTATATAAGTGAATATATGTTTGTAATTGATTGCAAGAACATATAGAAAGTTGTGAAATTATCTCACAGATGGTGAGATTGGCAAGATGGGGGGACAGGGATACTATGGATATGATTTCCTCTGACAAATTTAAAGGAACTATTAAGCAATAGAGAAAATAATAGAATATATAAAAGTAATAATATAGTTGGCACCAAGTTAATAAAATGTTTTATTTTTCCTATTATCCTTCTTCAGTAGGATACAGTTTATTGAAGTAGTTTTATGTATATTCCTAAATGCATGTCTATTTAAGCTAACTGAACATTTGAAATGATGATAAATTTTTAAAAAATTATTTGGCAAATCAGAAAGTCAAGGAAAGTATTAATATAATCAATAATGTAGAGAAGTAAAGAATTAGCTTTAGCAACAATATAGGCAATGTGAGATTATCTCAAATACATAGCTTTAAAAAACTATCATGACTTAAGAGGAAGTTCCTTTAAATGACTATTTCTTTTTCTGTTAGCTACTGTTGATCTATTTTAGCCATGGTTTAGTGAAGTGATGTGGAAAGACTAGTTTTATATTTAACAAGAACAGGTACAATAAAATCATTAATGTTATACTCTACAATACAGACATTTCTATTACTTTCACGAACATAGCAGAAAACATTTGTTATTGCCTATTTGTGCTCAGTAATCTTCCAAAATATTTTTTCTGGAGAATATTTAAGCAGAAAGAAGCTGTAGATATGAAAACCAGGGGGAATTGTAACTCTTTTTAAAAAGAGAGCTACTGCAGGGCTTATTGGATCATACTTATAATCCCAGCAACTAGGGAACCTGAGGGAGACGAATCATTTGAAGCCAGGGGTTCCAGACCAGCCTGAGCAACACAGTGAAACACTGTCTTAAAAAAAACAAAAGGTTTGTGTATATATTTTTTAAAAAAGGTTTGTTTTGTTTTAATTGGCCAGGTGTGATGGTGCCTGCCTGCAGTCCTAGCTACTTGAGAGGCTGAGGTGGGAAGATCACTTGAGGCCAGAGTTCAAGGCTACAGTGAGCTATGATCATGCCACTGCACTCCAGCCTGGGTCACAGAGCAAGACCCATCTCTAAAATCAAAAAGAGAGAGAAAGAGAGATATAATTGTAGAATGTGTAAAGAAAAGCCCTGCGAAAACAAGTCTGTTAATTTTTCTAATATTATTCAATAACTTTCATAGATATTTAAATATTTTTGTAACTGTTTTATATAATCATTTAAAACAATTTATTGTTTATTTTGCTAAATATAGATAGCATTTTCATTTTTAAGCATTATTGCTGCCAAAATTTGAAATTCTAATTAACTGGCTAAAATAAACGTGTTATAATTAACTGGCTAAAATAAACGTTAGGTTTTTAGATCTGGTTTATAAATACACACATGAGAATTATTCATTAACATTTTATTGTGGAAATGGTTTCATATCTACAATAGTAGAGATAATTGTATCACAAATTCCCATGGATCAGTTTTAATATTTACTAACCCTCTAATTTCTCTGGAATATTCATAAAATCACAAACTATGTCATTTAACTAGTAGATTCTTCAGTGTATATTTCTGATATAAATCTTTTTTATATATCACAACCATGCCACTATCATACATAGTAAAATGGACAACTCTTTAATATTATCTACTATCCAGCCCATATTCAAGTCAATTGTCTTAGATATAACTTAATTTATCTAAATAAAGATTTAGAAAAGCCCATACATTGCACATGGTTGTTATGATTCTAAAATTTCTATTATTCTCTATTAGTCTCCTCATCCCTCTCCCTCAATCATCTCTTTTTATTGCACTCCTTTGTTTGAGAACTCAAGTAATTTGGTGTGTATTAAGATCCACATTCTGGAACTTTAGCATTAAAAATGCATTTTTCTTTATCATATTCAGAGTTCTTTTGGATCATGTTTAACAATTGCTTCCTTTGGACCTCATACTTGCAATCCAGGTTCCACAATAAAGAATCAGGAACAAACAATTTTCTCATTGTCATCTTAAACATTTAGCTTGTTTGCATAATTTCATATACTTTTTGCTTATAACCACACCTAATAACAGTTTTTTATAATTGCTCAAATGTCCAAAGTCATTATTAAGAAGATTATGCATAAATAGGTGACAGGAACAATATTATTTAATATTGTCTATGTTCATAATTGTCTGTGGCCTTTATACTTTGGCAGGATACAAAATCTTTGCTTCCTTGAATATCTTAAATTGCTCCACTGTATTCCATTTTAAAATGTTATTTTCAAGAAATCTTGTACCTATTTGCTTTTTCCCTGTATAAGTAACTTAATTTTTTCCCCTGGATTCGAAATGTCTTTTTAAAAATCTTTGACTAGAGTAGTTTCAATGGTTTATACCTTAGCATTGCTAATCTCAGCTGAAATTCCCATATAATATTGTACTCTTTCAATACATAGGCTTAAGTAACATTTTGTTTCAGAAATGTTTTCTTTAAATTATAATTGTTAATCTTTGTTCTATTTCATCTAATTGTTTTTTACTTCAGGGATGCCAATCATATTGTATTGGATCATCTTCACCCGTCTACTTTTTCTAATTTTCTCTTGAAGATTTCTTTCTTTTTTCCCTTTTAACTTCATTTTCATTCAGAGATATTGTCATGGGTAATATTTCACAATGATTCCTCCCTTTGGAACTCATAAATGTGATCCAGTTCCCATAATAAAGAATCAGGGACAAAAAGGAAAAAGAAATGTTAGAAATAGGGGAAAAAATTATGTATGTTTCTACAGCATCCCTCACTCTCTGTTTTCTATTTTCCCCACTGCATCTCAACAATCTGTCCAATTATGAACTCCCTTTATATTCACATATATTAAGTTTTAACACATTATTGAGTTGCACAAGCCATTCCTTTAGTCCTTTATCACCTCTCAATATAGGAAGCAGCTGCTTCAATTGTTCATTCCAATTTTTTATTTTCCCTCTATTTTGTGGGTAATAAAGTGTGATGTTTCTCAGCCCATTGCCATTGCATCTGCAATAAAATGAGTTCCTTGATCAAATGCTATGTAAGCAGAAGGTTCATTTTGAACTATTTTCTGCTCTAGGCATTTAACGGCTTTTTAGAGGCATTTCTTTTTCAGTTCATGGGTGCATAAATCCAAATCTAGATTGAGTGTTGAACCTGATCAAGGCCCTTTGGTGTCCACCATAATGGGTCAGTGTAATCCCCCTACAAGCTGTGGGTCAGCCTCGATCTGCTCCAGGCTTCTCAATCTCTGATGGTGCTGTTGACAAACAAGGCAATTGTTAGTAATACCATGAGCTTCTGAGAGAGACAGTATGAAATAGTTTTTTTTTTTTCTGTCAGTTAGTTTATTGCTTCATGCCTCTGTGGCCATTCATCTCATGTATCAAACATGAGCATTCACTTCTTGGTTTCAGTCCCTCTTTTGCATTTGGATGGGGTTCTTTTGATTCTCTTGATGGTCATCAATATGCCTCATATTGATTTCTTAAATCCTTAAATTTGTCCATAATCTAGCACCTGACACTGAGATTCCTTTTATCTTCCAGTTATCTCTGGCTCATTTTCTAAATATATTATTAGTTTATTGGTTATTGCCTTTAAATAGTAAAAACTCACACCATATCATTATTTCTATAATTATGTTTTATCTGATGGCATAAGAAATGCCTCTTAATTTTGTCCATTAAGTGAATTGATCATTTCCCTCTTTTTTTTTTTTACATGTAACCATCAACTAGTCACAGAACTGATATTTTTGAGATTGAGTAGCAACGCTACACTCTTGAGACAACATCTGCGAATGTTGTTGTATATTTAGTGTCCTCAAATAATTAATTATTGGAAGGATCCTGTTTAGCCAGTTGGTTAGGTAAATCCTCAGGAAGATTCAAAGAAAGACCCAAAGACATAGCAACTACATGTTCATTTGTTATTGCTACCTTTGTTGGTAGAAATTTTTGCACATTCTTGAATATACCATTTCCATTTAATGAGGAAAGCCGGTGTATAGTACTTCTCTCCCAGTTGCAATGATGGTATAATATAACCCAGGCCATGATGAGCATCTCAGGCCTCAAAATAACTGTATGCCATTCAGCAATAGAAACACTTTCAATTAAAGCCCAATAATCAGCTAACTTTTCAAATGATGTGTACCTTGAAGATGTATCAGATTATTTCCTAGTCCAAAATCCCAGCAGCTGCTGCTGGGTGTCAGTAACAAACTTTTTCCAGACTCCAGTCAATGTGGCTACACAATGCAGGCACTTCCAAAATCATTTAACTGTGCTGGTTGTGAGGCCATAACGAGCTTGATTGCATTCTGGCTTTTTGAGGCACAAAGGAAGGCTGTTCTGCTCAAAGCTCCATTCAAAATTATTGATTTTCTTGGTAACTTTATGAATATAGGCTAGTAACATTCCCAGATGTGATGTGTTTTCTCCAGAAACTAAAAAACAAAATCACTCTCTCTGCCTTTTATTTTGGCATCTGTCAGAGACAATAACTTATTTTTTGTTGTCTGAAGAATATCTCCAGTTGCTCCTGTGCAAATGGGGCCTAGGATATTTTCTATTTGCTGTAAGCATTGTACTTTAGTCAGGTTGATCATCCTCTGGTGGTCATATGATTATCAAGCATTTGTAATTCTTTCCTAGCTTGGTCTCAAATTGAGACAGCAACATTATGGCATCAATATAATGGATAACAGCTTTTTTTTTAATTTCAACTAAATCAAATCTAAGTCTCTTCTTTACAGATTTTTGTATAAGTAGAATAATTTATATATTCTTGTGGAACATAACACATGTGCACTAGAGGCCATTCCACATGAATAAAAATTGAATTTGCCTTCTTTTTAAAATATAGATGGAAAGGAAGGCACTACCTAAATCAATAATCAAATGCCAATTTCCTGTACCTTGCTGCACAAGCATGAATTGTTGATATCATATTGTACACAGCTAATGCTACATGAAACATCACTGCATTTAGTTTTCTATAAACTATAGTTAAATTCCAGAATTCATTAGCTTTTCTTACCAATCATATTGAACAAGGAACTGGTGAGTACTAATATCTGCATCAAATAGACCTTCAATTAAAGTGAAATTTCCTTATGCCCTCCATGTATTCTATATTGTTTTAAATGAACCACTGTGTGGGCTTAGGCAATTGTAAAGATTCCAATCTAGCATGCCCAATTAAAACAGGATGAAGAGAAGATGTGCACATTCTTTTTCCAAAAGTTTGGGCAAGGGAAGCTTTTTTTCCATTTGGATATCATATTCATTTCAATAATATATTCTAGTAAGCATGAGGCAATGACCATAACATTCATTCATAAATTTCTACTTTGAGCCATACTTTTACCTGAAAGTTGTAATACAATCAAATTGCCACATCCTGCTGATTCTATTACATAACTTTTTAACTTTTTCTTATTGATTTTAGGTATGACAGTACATTGAGCACCTGTGTCCAGCAATGTTATTAAAGTTTCTTCACTACTCCCAGGCCATTTTACCTATACAAATGCAAATGACTTCATGTCAGTTCTTAATGACTCAATTGCTGTGTCTCTGAGAAATATGGATTAAGCGATCTTTACAGTTTCCTCAAAAAAGGGACTTCTGCATATTTTGAGCTAATTTTCTCTCTCCATTAATTTTATTTTTCAGCCATCCAAAGGAATGATTTATGCAGATGAAGCAATTAGTTTCTTCTAAGCTCAAGGAGACCAATAGAGTCTATAAAACATTGTCTGAAGAGTTAGCTCTATAAATAAACTGCATCTTTTTTAATCAGTTTTCTCTCTAAGATTTCAGAAAGACAGTCTTGTTTACAGGACAGCAGATGACATTTTTTAATGGTCAGGTAACAAAATGTAGCAACCAAGAAAGAGCAGTGGTGAACATTGCAAAGACTAGGATCAGAATTTTTTGATTTCAGTAATGATTTATTTGAGATTTTTTTCCCCAAAATTATTTTACTTGCCCTCCCCTAACATACCTATAAAAAAATCAATAGGTCTATTAGTTTAGTACTTCCAGTGGAATAACTTTAAGCCTCTGAATAAAGAACTAATACCTGCTAGATAGAATGCAAGACACTGAGCTTGGATTAAGAGTCTGCCATGTAGAGTGGAAATTGTAGGCATGATTGTCCAAGGTAATATATAGTTAATATATATAAAATGAAACCCCACTTATCTCATCACCACTGGAACTCAGAAAGATGGTACAAATGAGAGTAAATGAAGTTTTGTGTCACCCCAGCATCCTTGTAGTCCTGGTAATTGATGCCAACAGGGGAAAATCTGCTAGGGACAGAAAGCAACATACCCACCTTCTCTGTGGTTGGGGAATGGTGGTAGCAGTAGCAGAAAGGAAACAGGGCAGCGAAGCATAGCATAAAGATCTTTTATAACATTTCTCCACCAGTGCAAATATCAGCATATGCACACACATGCATGCATATATAGTTATTACTGTTTAAATTATACATTTGTTCTACTTTAGTAATATATAAATTTTTAAGATATGCGCCAGTAACATAGAACATGTAGAAGATAATAAAAATAATAAGAGTTCCAATATGTTCTTCCACATCCTAGTGACTCCTCTCCAGCACTACATGGAGCATCTGTATCTCATTGGAGACCAGCGTTATAAGGAGGAGAGGCTAAGGTTAGACTCACTTATATTCAATTAGATGAAATAATTCCCAGCTTTTAAAAGCTTTATAAATGTAACTATCCATGTAGACTTCTAACATTTTATTTTTTCAGCATTTTCAATTTTTCATATGTTTTTATTTTACATAAACCATTTTCAAAGCCCTAAAATAATTTTAAATTTAGAGGTTCAGCTACCCTGGCAATTTTGTTTTTCCACAGAAAACATCAAAAATAATGAGGTCATGAGGGCTGTTTCAAAATTAATACAATTCTCTCATATCTTATTACTAAGTGAAAACCAATTTACTCTATAGATTGGAAAACAGATTTTTCTTAAAATAAACCTATAAAATTAAGGTTGAAATTTCTGTTGAGAGGGAGATGGAGGAGAAGGGAGAAAGAAGAGAAAGAGACTTCTTGCCCTTGATCATATAACTGTGTAAACCCTAGACTATATCACCATTAGGTATTTGGCTATAGTTTACAGGAATCTTTCATCTTTTTCTCTTAAGCAATTTGATCCTATTAGAAATCTGATTTTCAGGTTACCAATGAAGCCATCAAAAGAAATACCCTCATAGGTGTTTTGTTTATAATGTGGGACACAAGAATTCATTTCCTCACAATTAGTGGTGATATTCAAAATACCTAATTAGTATGGTAATATAAATTAAATATACATTGAAATAGAAATAATTTTAAAAAGTATTATCTTTTATTTTCCATTTTGTTGACATTTTAGAAATTATTGGTGTTTTTTTTGTTTGTTTGTTTCATCCTGTTTTACCCTGTGTGATAATTCAACATAGAAAAACCACATTAGCCTCTTCCAGTGAATTCCCAATTAAATTGAGGCCAGTGAGCATGGTGATTAAGACTATGACCCTTGCTGTTGAAATACCTAAATTTTAATCCTGGCTCTGCCAATTAAGGTTCAAATTACTTCTCTGTTATTCAGTTTTCTCATTCATAAAAAAGATATTAGTAATAATTATGCACAGGCATTTCTAATGTGTCATTATAAATGTTCCTGAAAGACTTCTACCCTAGAAAAGAAATTACATTTTTACAGGTGTGAGCCACTGCACCCAGCATGATTAGGCAGTTATGATGGGTATGGGGTCTGGTAACATATTGTCCAGATGCAGTGATCTGTTAAGTTTCAGTTCCTTGATGCTACCTGGGAGGCCTGATGGTTGGTTTCCTGAGAAAGGAACTCAGATAAGATAAATGTAACTTTCTAAAGTTTTAAGAGTGGGAGGATCAATTCCTATGTTTATTCAAATAAACCATAAATGTCAATTCTAGGGGACAATTGGGCCGGTTTCAATATGGCAGACGGGAACATGCAGATGTTGCCCACACTCAGCCAGATGACCTGAGGGTGTGTGTCTGTGTGAACTTTGAGAGAATCTGTGGCAGCTGGGTGGGAGATGGAGTAGGACTTTAGGAACTGTTGATGCAACTGGAAAATGGTGGTAATATCTGGATGAGAATATATGTATTAGTCTGTTTTCATGCTGCTGATAAAGACATACCCAAGATTGGGAAAAAAAAAAAAAAGAAATTACATTTTAAAAAATGGGGCTTATGGGGAAAGTAGGATTAAGGGCACCTCTCAAAATGTATGCAACTTAGTGATAACAGCACTAACAATAATTATGATTAGTACTTGGGGAGATGTTTAGCATGATTGGAGACAGCCTCAGCAGATAATAAAAATGCACCAACTTCCCCGTAAAAAGGTCATCATTCCTTAATTTGCCAATCACAGGTACACTAGCACCTATAGGTGATTCAGTAACAGATGTTATCTTTTTAGTTGTTGTGACCCTGAGAAGCTCCAAAGGTTCCCAGGGAAGAAGATGGGACTTCAAAAGAAAAAACAGAAACATTTCAATCAATTGAGAAATGTATCAATACCGTAAATACTAGTGCAGCTATTTCAACATACCTTATGACTCTCAGCTGTGTAAGCAGCCATGGAAGTATCGAAGTTGTTAATAACTTGCTTATAGAGATTATGTGACAGAAATGTTTATGCAATATCATTAATATAATTTTAAATTAAAGTTTAAATTATGGAAGTAAGAAAAATTTTCATATTCATTTTCAAAGCTATTTTATATAAATGAAGATTACATGCTAAAATCCTACACGTGCTTTAAAAAATATTTTCTATGGTCTTATCTTTACCTTCTATGTTTAAATATTTTAAATACACATATTACTGCAATCATACATGTATATAACTTTTATATAAAGGTACATATTGACAGTGTATGCTTTTTTAGTTCTCAGTCAATAACTTTGTAGAATACTACGCTAGGCAGTGTAAAATAGTACAAAGATTAAAATGCAGTTAATACTTTGGGGAGTTAGCTATGTTTGAATTTCTAATCCAAACCATGCTGATAATCTATAATCAAAATGGAGGTTGATTATAGATTATGGTTTTAGAAATACCCTTCAATACTAAAAACATTTTGGAATAAATGTGTACCCAGAAAATTTTGTGTATCATTATTAACAAATTTTATCTATTTTGTTTTCTTTTTCTTTCTTTTTTCTTTTTCTTTTTTTTTTTGAGAGGGAGTCTTGTGCTGTTGCCCAGGCTAGATTGCAGTGGTGCAACTCACCGCAACCTCTGCCTCCTGGGCTCAAGCAATTCTCCCACCTCAGCCTCCTGAGTAACTGGGATTACAGGCACACACCACCACGCCCAGCTAATTTATATATATATACGTGCATATATACGTGCATATATACGGGCATATATATGTGCATATATACGTGCATATATACACATATATACGTGCATATATATGCATATATACGTGCATATATACGTGCATATATACGTGCATATATACGTATATATAGTACATATATACGTATATATGCACGTATATTAGTATATATACGTGCATATATACGTGCATATATACGTATATATACGTATATATGTAATATATACATGCATATATACGTATATATTGTATGTATACGTATATATATTATATATATATATTTGTATTTTTAGTAGAAACGGGGTTTCACCATGTTGGCCACGGTGGTCTTGAACTCACCTGCCTCAGCCTCCCAAAGTGTTGGGATTACAGGCATGAGCCATTGCGCCCAGCCTAAATTTTATCTATTTTCTATTTAACATAACTTTACTCTTCTAGAGCTTATGCAATGATTATAATATTTGAATGAAAAAATGTACCAACAATAAATGAGTCATATGTAAGTAAAGATATCAGCACCTTCAGTGCCCACTAATTTCTAATTCCTCTTTCAAATGATAGCAAATTAATATGTAACACAGAAAGTATATACCAATCATAGAATTCTACAATTTTAGGGATTAACTTGATTCAATTAGCATCTGAGGAGCTCTTATTTCAAGGAATAAAAACAAACTGAATAATTCCACCATTCCCCAACCTCCCCCTACATAAACCAGCAGTTCTTACATTTGGTGTTATATACTTTAATTACTTTAATGAGTTTGAAAAATTAATTTTTCTCTCAATTACATCACCTGTACCTATTGAATCAATATGGAAAATCTTATTGTTTGCATATAATCAACAGATACCTTTCCTACCACCCTATAGTTACTTGAACAGAACTATGTCTTATGAAGAAAGCAAAAAAAAAAATCCTTGTTACTGGAATTATCTTCATTTTTAGCAAATTCATATAAACATGTTTTTATTTCTTTGCAATATTATCTCCAAATTATTTTGAGAGTAAAAATGCAGATGGCAAAATGATCATCAACCTCATTCTACGATTCTACCTCACATACATATTTAATTTTCTTAAATTTCAGTGAATATGCCTGAGAAGCAAAGAAGGAAAGAAAAGAGCTGAGAGATGGAAAGAAAAGGAAGACAGGAGGGAGATAAATAATTTACATTGTACAGATAATACCCTTCTCATTTCCCTTCTCATTACCTTGAATTAGCATATGTCATAGAGAGGAGGAGGAGATTGGAGACAAGACTCTCAGTTGGTCATTCTCAACTCTCTAGTGTAAAGATTTTTCATAAATAAGCATGATTCTAGTGTTTTAAATGTGAATTTTTATACAAGCTGAACTCAAAATACAATGTAATCTTTATCTTGAGTTGAGCTGCAGAAGCAGCAATACATTCCAAAGTTTTAAGACCAGCTATTTCATTCTTTAGAAAATATGCCATGTGCACAAACTACATTTTACAGTGGATATAAAGGACTTTCAAGGGGAACGTTTGTGATATGACATGCTCTTGCACAGAGGCTATACAAAATACTCCCCATATAATCTGTGACTATGTTGTGTGTTGCTGTTTAGAACAATGTGGTCAGGATGTCAATCAATCACCTTGGAGTCAGCACAGTGGCTCATACCTAGCTCTGGCTCATGGTCTCCATCTTTAAATCATAGCTTCTCTAGTCCTCCTTTTGTTGGCTGAGTTTTAATTCCAAAGAAATTATCTGATGTTTGTTTGTTTGTTTGCTTGTTGGAGTATTTTTTTATAGTCTTCTAGTTAACATTCATCACTGCTATAAGACCTGAGTCCTTGCATATTTGAAGATGTCTTTCTATGATCTTTATATTTGAACATGAGTTTAATCAATGGATAAAAATTTCTTGGAACACGTTATTTCCCTAAGAAGTTTGAAGAATTTCTCAACTGTCTTCCAATGGGTATTGTTGTTTTACAAAATTTCAAGGCCATATTGATTTATTAAACTTATGAGTAATTTGATATTTTTTAACCTGTTACTTATAAAATTATTTCCTTATCCAAAGACCGACTAACCTCATTTGAATATATATTAACTTTATTCTTTTGAGTGAATTTTGATTGTGACATGATTAATCTTTCTGAATCTAGATGTAGTTTTTCTTTTATAGGAACAGTATCTTTTTCTTCGTGTATCACCACTGAGCTGGGGAGTTGGGGATAGGGCCATGGTATTTTAATATATTAAAATGCCATTAAAGCTCTCTTTTTGAGATTCAGCTATTTTTTTAAATTAAGTATTGCTCTGGTTGCTGTAAGCTTTTTGTTAGTTTCCAGAATTCTGAAAGCTAATTCTTGTCATTTTTGTCAGTTTATTGCTTTTGTGAAGGGACAGACTTTTGGAATTCCCTACTCCATTTTTGATGACTCTCTTATATTGTATTTTTGTGTAATTTTTCTCATCCCATGTATTTGATTCTTTTCAGAAACTCTATGAATGTGTTGGATCACTTATTCTATGGCTATAATTTCCTTTATAATCTTGTTAAATTATTTCATGTTTTGTTTGATTCCTTTCAAACCTACCCTTCATGCTCTGTTTCATGTAATGGAAACATTTTTACTTCTGCATCTAATATGATTTTATTTTTATAATATTTTTTATTCTTTGGGTTTCATTTAATTGACTATTTCTTTAAATTTCTTTAGTTTTCACTCACTAATTTTATTGGCATTTTAAAGTACTTATTTATCTGACATTTCTTTGTCATGTCTCTTTTTTCTTTTGTATAAAACCTTTACATAGGTTTTAGTGATTTTTTAAATTGATTTTTGTTTATCTTTGAATGTGTGTGGGTGGAAGTTGTTCTTTCTGGCCAGCTATTTCCCAAAACAAAAGCCTAAGTTTTGGTCTTGGTGATAGGAGTTTGGGTAGAGTTCTGTTGTTCTGTTACCACTGAACACTTTCTGATGAATGTCTACCCTGGCGTATGAACTTTTCATGCCTTATAATGAAGCTCCCACATTTTAATTTTTATGTAATAATTTGTCTTTCAAATTTCTTTGGCTCTCTAAATCAGCAACTGCAAAACTGACAACTAAATTTTACCTTTACTCTAAATCATTACAGAATCTATTCTGGTGAAATGGCTTCAATTCCAATGTCTTCGTTTAATTTTTCTTCTCTTGCCACCTTTTGTTGTTACATAGGACTCATGAATGTTCACACAGTCCTTCGGAGCAATCATATAATTGGAGTTTGAGTTTGTCCACACCAAAACTCAGATTGAAATTTGATCCCAAATGCAGTGACATTGGGAGATGGGACCTAGTGGGAGGTGTTTGGGTGAAAGGGGTGTGTATCTTATGAATGGCTTGGTAGTGGGTTGGTTCTTGCTGTCTGAAACTGGATTAGTTCTCATAGGAGTATTCCTGCAAAGAGTGGTTATTCTAAAGCCAGGAATTTAGCCCCTACGATTTTCTTTCTTCGCATGTTTCCACTTCCCTTTTGACCTTCTCTGCCATGTTATGACACAGCACAAACTTGCTATAAACCAGGGCTATGCCCTTGAAGTTTTTAGCCTGTAGAATTGTGAGCTAAATAAATCTCTTTTCTTTATAAATTAGTCTAGGACATCCTGTTAGGTCAACATAAAATAGACTAAGACACTTAGCAGACAATGATTGATCCAACTTCTTTGAGTATCCCACTTATCAGGAAAACTATGAACTCTACCAATTTATTCCCACTTGGCAGTTATCCCCGTTGGCATTAATACAATATTTGATTGGATAAGCCAGTGCTGCTCTGTTTATTGTAATCTGGAGTTGAAATTATCCACAGGTTCCACTGAAGTTTTCTTTTGTATTTGTACATATTTTTATTGTTTTGTGTTTATTTGTTTGTTTCAGACAGAAAAGCAGAGTGATGACATCTTTGAACCATCAGTTTTAACTAGACAATGTTCATGCCTTATTATTTGATGGTTTTTGTTTGCTCCCTTTGTTTTGTTTTGTTTTTCTCTTGAAGATGAGGTGATTACGGGTAGAGCTATTTGAGAAAAGAACAATGTATTAAATTGTATTTAGTTGTAGTTCTAACTTTTTATGTGATTTTTTTTGCCAACCTTTACATGGTTTGTTTGCTTGTTTTCTTAGAAAGATGGTATGATAGTATGACTAAGATCCTAGACTCTGGTACCAGATTCTGGGTACAACCATGCCTTCCACTATTTTCTAGATATTACGTATAACTTCAGATAACTTATTTAATCTCTTTTATGCCTCATTTCCTAATCCAAAAATGAGAATAATAATAATATCATTGCACAGGACACTTAGGACATATAAATAGCTTAATTAGTGTAAAGAACACGCTTGGAAGTCTAGAACACACAAGGGGCTTTATGAATGTTAACTATTATTTTTATAAAATCATTTTCTATACTTAGGGACTAAATTAAACTAATATAGAAATTATAAATTCTGTTCCCATTTAGTAAACATTTTATACAAAAGATATATGTTTAAATAAAAATATCACAATTTTACTGAGGATGAAATGGAGCCTAAGAGAAGGTAGGGTTAGTAAACTAAAAGGAGCAAGAGTTTCCAGTCAAACCTTAATCGATCAGTTTCCAAAGCTTGTGCTCTTCACTGTTTCCCAGGAACAGTCAAAAATAAATAATAAAAGACGAGATGTTTATTGGTTGATTCACTTCCTCAAAGCCACAACTTACCAAACTGTAGAACACTAATTTGATAATTAGTATGCAATGTCTGATTTTGTTAAAATGTCTTTTGATATTTTTGGAGCTATTACAGTAATATTATTAACATGTCATCAGATTCAATTAGCTAGTCAGTCCATTAGGAAACAATACCAAAGCATTAATGAAAGTAAATCTTCATGTGTGATTTTTGTTCAGTAGGGCACATCTTTTCAACCATAGTAAAAAGGGTATTTCTTTCAACTAGCTGTTCAGACTCAGAAAACATTTTCAATTTGTCCCCTTCTTTCTCACCATCAAGGAGTTCCTAAGCCAGGTCATTTTTCTTTTTACAATTTACATTTTTTAGTAATTCATTTTAAAAGATTTATAAACAATATAAATGTAGAAATACAGAAATGTGTACAGATAAAAAAATCAAAGTCATGAACACAATGGTAACACTGATATATATCAATGTTATATCAATTTAAATATCTTTAAATTATGTTTTCTGTCTGTAAACACAAGAGTAATTTATTTGTTATGCAATTGAGGCCAGGGTGAAACCTCCACAGACCCAGAGGACAGAGCATCAAGCCACAAATGATAATTCTCAGGCCCTGATATTTAATAATTTTTTCCTGATGGGTTGCAAACTTGCTTCAGACCAGTGATCCCTTAATTCCTCTCATTATCTCCCTTTTGGAATAGGAATGTCTATCTTGTGCCTGTTCCATCACTGTATTTTGGAAAAAGATAACTTGTTTCCCAGTTTCAGAGGCCTGTGCATAAAGAACAATTTTGCCCAAGGATGGACTATAACCAGAGTCTCATGTATATCTCATTTAGGTGATGAGACTGGGGAATTTTTGAGTGGATATTTAAATAAAATTTTGGACCTAGAGTTTGTAGTGGAGAATGGGTTAAGATTTTGGGGGATGTTGGATGGTGTGAATATACTTTGCACATGGGAAAGACATGAATTTTGAGGAGCAAGATGGTGGACAGTTGTGGGAAGAATTGTGTTCCTTCTACCCCCAAAACTATGTTCTAATACTAGCACTCAGTACCTGTGAATGTGATCGTATTTGGAAATAGGATTTTGAACAAGAAATCAAGTTGAAATTAGATTTGGAGTTGTCCCTAATCACATGACTACCGTCCTTAAAAGAAGAAGAAATGTACACACAGAGAAACATACAGGAATGATAATGTGAAGGACATAGGGAAAACACCATGTAATAACGGAGGTAGAGATTGGAGTGATGCATCTATAAACTAGGGAACCCCAAAGATTGCCAGCAACCAACAGAAGCTAGGAGAAAGGAATAGAACATATTGTCCCTCAGAGACTCCACAAGGACTAACCTTGCCCATGACTTGATTTCAGACTTCTAGCCTCACAAATGGTGAAAAATAAATTTCTGTTGTTTCAAAATACTTGGTTTGTAGTATTTTGTTATGATAGATCTGGGAAAGTAATGCAAATGTCAAATTATACTGCTACAGAAAGATCAAGAAAGTTAAGGAAGGGAAGTGACTATTTGGTTTAGCATGCAGGTAATTGATAGGAGAGTACATTAACTGAAGGGTATAACATTTAATACCTAAAAATTTCATTTTGAGTAAAGGAAAGAAAATATTGAATTTACGTATGTCATTAAAGCAGCTCATCTAGGAATGAAATAGGAGATAAAAGTGGTAATTATAAGGGAATGTGGTCAAGAAAAGCTCTTTAATGTAGATTCTTAGATATGTTTCATTACTAAAGAAAAAGGGAAAAAAGAATGAGATGTTGAAGACAGGGAAAAAGAGGAATGATTGAAAGAACAAGTAGCACAGATCAAAGAGTGGGTTTTAGGATGGGAAAAACCACTGTAATTGAGACAATAACAAACAATGAAAAGATGGGTAAAATGCACAGAAATGTCAAAATTCTTGGCTGATGGTTTTTAATTTTGCAGATACATTGGAGACAACATCACTTGCTAAGTATGAGAAGGAAGGTGTAGAAGAAAGAGATCTGAAGACATGATGAGAATTTTGGAAATAGGAAGTGATTTCAATTCCACATGGAAAGAGTGTCTGGTAAAGTACAAGAATTTTTAAGGAGGACCTGTCAGCATAATTAAGTGGAGGTACATTGATTGATTGATTTTCAGCAATGCTCAGTAGTTTGATTGTAAGACCTCAAAACTCAAAGGGTGAACTGACTGAATAAAACTGCAAAACTAAACTGATGAAATAACAAAGGAAAGAAGTATAATACAAGGGTAAAAGGGCTAGACTATGATGATCTGAAATTGGCAAGGAAGAAAAAATATCTCAACATGGTAGGAAACAATCAACATGCTAACACTAAAAATGTGAGAGAACTGTCAAGTAGAAGATTGGTGTCAGAGACAGAAATCTGGAATTTTGACAAGCTCTTCTTCCCCAAAATAACTCCTCCACAAGCCATCAACACAACCTGAAATTTTACCCTATTATGCTTATATTTGGGAGGCCTGTTATAATAAAAATTCAAGTATGAAATATACCACACTAAGTGCCCTGGAGTTGTAGGAGAGAAAAAAATAATCAACACATGACAAGTATCCATTCTCTTTATAATAGTTAGCAAATAACTGGGGCATATTGCCAGTAGATATTCTAAGCAAAATATGGGGAGGAAATAAGGTTTAGAAGAAATATGATTTTCTAAATATAATAATTCATAATAAAATAGACAAACTTATTGGTCATTAGGAATAAATAGTCAGCAATAGCATTAGGAATAAATAGTAATAGTAAGCATAAAAATGATCATAATTTGTATTATACTTATGTAGTCAAACCAATTTAGTTTGCTGTTATCTAAAACCTGTTAACATCTTCTATCAAGTTGTCTATCATGCTTGACTCATACGTTCTCATACATTTGCATAAGTGCATGCTTATACCCACTTCCAAGTTTTAAATGCCAGAATGTAGGCTCCTACTCTAACAGTCATTTTCTGATGTTCTACCATTTCTTTTGCCCTCTCTGCTCCTTCCCTCAGTACTCTAAGGCTAAGACTTTTGGATATCTTATAGTAAGAGAAAAAGCATGAGGAAGAATTAGGAAATCAAATAAATAGGTTCAGATAAGAGCAGGATTCAGAATCTGGGCTACAACAAGCAGATATTCCACCAAATTGTTTTAGTCAGAAAATCTCATCTTCAGGTATGATCTCCTCAACCTTCTCATTCTCTAAGGCATACACTTTTGTTAAGTCTTTCTTTTTGAAATTTCATTCAATTTTCACACACAATTTTTTTTAAATTGGATACTGGAGATGACTGTACTTTTACTTTGTATTTATTTAAAATATTTTCAAAATTTTATTTTTTATTAACAAATAATAACTTTACATATTCATGGGGTACATATTTTGATATGTACAATGTATAGTGATCAGTTAAGGGTAATTAGCATGTCCATCTCAAACATTTACAAGAGAAGTTGGAACAATCCAGAATCAGTGGGCACCACATTCTCTTACACAGTTAAACACTCATTTTTCTCCATACCTTCCTATTTCTTTTTACATGTTTTTTATTTATTTATTTATTTATTTATTTATTTTTATTAGTAAGCTACATTCAATCATATTTTAATCATATTTTTAAAAGATAATACATCATGAAAAAGTAGAATTTATACCAGGAATGTAAGTATACTGTAACATTCAAAAATCAATAAATGCAATTCACCACATAAGTGTATTAAAAAACAAACCATATGGTTGTCCCAATAGATACAGAAAAGGCATTTGAAAAAGTTCACCTTCGGGCCATGATAAATATAGTCAGCAAACTAGGAATAGAAGGGAACTTCCTCAAATTGATGAGGGCCATCTACAAAGAACCTATAGATAACATCATTCATAATGGTGAAAAACTGAATACTTTCCCACTAAGATTGGAAACAAGGTAAAGGTGTCCATTGTTACCATTTCTTTTTTTTTTTTTTTTTTTTTTTTTAGTATTTATTGATCATTCTTGGGTGTTTCTCAGAGAGGGGGATTTGGCAGGGTCATAGGACAATAGTGGAGGGAAGGTCAGCAGATAAACATGTGAACAAGGGTCTCTGGTTTTCCTAGGCAGAGGACCCTGTGGCTTTCTGCAGTGTTTGTGTCCCTGGGTACTTGAGATTAGGGAGTGGTGATGACTCTTATAGAGCATGCTGCCTTCAAGCATCTGTTTAACAAAGGACATCTTGCACCGCCCTTAATCCATTTAACCCTGAGTGGACACAGCACATGTTTCAGAGAGCACGGGGTTGGGGGTAAGGTTATAGATTAACAGCATCCCAAGGCAGAAGAATTTTTCTTAGTACAGAACAAAATGGAGTCTCCTACGTCTACTTCCCTCTACACAGACACAGCAACAATCTGATTTCTCTATCTTTTCCCCACATTTCCCCCTTTTCTATTCGACAAAACCGCCATCGTCATCATGGCCCGTTCTCAATGAGCTGTTGGGTACACCTCCCAGACGGGGTGGCTGCCGGGCAGAGAGGCTCCTCACTTCCCAGACAGGGCAGCCGGGCGGAGGTGCCCCCCACCTCCCGGACGGGGCGGCTGGCCGGGCGGGGGCTGCCCCCCACCTCCCTCCCGGACGGGGTGGCTCCTGGGCGGAGGGGGCTCTTCACTTCTCAGACGGGGCGGCCAGGCAGAGAGGCTCCTCACATCCCAGAGGGGGCGGCGGGGCAGAGGCGCTCCCCGCATCTCAGACGATGGGCAGCTGGGCAGAGACGCTCCTCACTTCCTAGACGGGATGGCGGCCGGGAAGAGGCGCTCCTCACTTCCCAGACTGGGCGGCAGGGCAGAGGGGCTCCTCACATCCCAGACGATGGGCGGCCAGGCAGAGACACTCCTCACTTCCCAGATGGGGTGGCGGCCGGGCAGAGGCTACATTCTCGGCACTTTGGGAGGCCAAGGCAGGCGGCTGGGAGGTGGAGGTTGTAGCTAGCCGAGATCACGCCACTGCACTCCAGCCTGGGCAACATTGAGCACTGAGTGAGTGAGACTCCGTCTGCAATCCCAGCACCTCAGGAGGCCGAGGCTGGCAGATCACTCACGGTTAGGAGCTGGAGACCAGCCCGGCCAACACAGCGAAACCCCGTCTCCACCAAAAAAATACGAAAACCAGTCAGGCGTGGCGGCGCGTGCCTGCAATCCCAGGCACTCGGCAGGCTGAGGCAGGAGAATCAGGTAGGGAGGTTGCAGTGAGCCGAGATGGTGGCAGTACAGTCCAGCTTCGGCTGGGCATCAGAGGGAGACCGTGGAGAGAGAGGGAGAGGGAGACGGTGGGGAGAGGGAGACGGTGGGGAGAGGGAGAGGGAGAGGGAGAGGGAGAGGGCTAAAGTACTTTCATCTCAGGACTTCTCAGATCCTTTTTTTCCTTCCTATTTCTTAATGTGAAAAAATACTGCTAGACTCTAGGCTTCAAGAATAGAATTCATATATAACTGCTTCATTGCTATACTCCCAGTATCTGGCATAGCACCTGGAAAGAAGTATGCTAATACATAGCTAAGAAATGATAGACAATGAATTATCACTGATCCCTCTTGTGGTCAAGGGAGATTCTCAGTAGGTAAGGCAGATTGAGAAGGAAAGCCATGCCCTGAATGCCTCCCTTCCTCTGAAAGGAATAAATTTTTAAACTTCTTTCATTATATCTAATTCCATCATTATCCTTTTTTTCCTTGTCATATCCCCTCTACTTTGTATAAGCCCAATGAAGGCAAAACTGAAAAATTAAAATGTTTGTTGTAAGTATTACAAGGAAAGCAACAGTAAAATGAGTGTATTTCTACACAACTAAGTAATTTTTCAGCTTCAAAAATCTGATCAAAACATGCTTAATTACCAAACCACCACATAACCTATTTTGTAATTTTGAGTAAGCAGGTGTGTCATATGGAGATATATTTTTAATGTCTTTCTAATTGCATTGGGAAAGGAAGAGGCTTTCATTTGTAACAAGCAATTTCTAGATGATGAATTAGAACAAAGAAGTAATCTTTCAAAAGAAAATAGTTAAATTAAACCATTGGAATTAGTAAGCAGAAAGTGCTAATCTTATTGACTTTGCCTATGATTTATCACATATTTTCACAGGCCTCTCAGAAGAAAAGGGAAATAACATTTGATAATCATCATGGTCTGCATGCATTTACTTTGAAGCAGGATTGTGTCAAGGCTGTGATAATAACTATCAGGTTGCTTAAAATCATTGTTATACACTAGCCATTTAGTCATAATAACTGTAAGAAGGAAAACACTATTTATCACTACACACCTTAAGTCCACTTGTCCAATCATCACAGCAGGTTCTTTGAAGAGTATATTTTAAACTGGAAAACTAAAGAAGGCAGAAGGGCCAGACACAGTGGCTCATGCCTGTAATCCCAGCATTGCTGGAGGTCCAGCCTTTTGGGAGGCCGAGCTGGGAAGATTGCTTAAGGCCAGGAGTTGGAGACCAGGCTGAACAACATCGCCAGACCATGTCGCAACAACAACAACAACAAAAAATTTAAATTAGCTGGGTGTGGTGGCACTGGTGGCACATGCCTGTAGTACTAGCTACTCAGGAAGCTGAGGTGGGGAAGGATCACTTGAGCCAGGAGTTGAAGGCTGCAGTGAGCTATGATTGCACCACTGCATTCCAGCCTGGGTGACAGAACTAGGAAAAAAAAAAAAAAAAAAAGAAAAGGAAAAAGCAGAATATGTACAAATCACAAGTTACCTTCTCTTGTTAAACTTGTTGATCAAATCCCTTTCACCTAAACATGTTTAGATGTAATACACAATGATAACTAGAGGGAAGAGTGTTTCCTCCGGCCTGCTGTTGTTGAGGGAAGTCTGTAGAAACTATCATATAATTATACTGTAAATGAGATTTCTTTAAAAACTCATTTTTAAATGACAAGAGAGGTTCAAACAGTTCACGTATATCCAGTAGGTTGCTAAATATATATTTAACCCTAAATTTATACACATGCCCCCAGGATGCTAACAAAGGAGTTTCGGCTCTGGAACCTCTTGCTAAATTTCCTGAGATTGGTCTAAGCACAGACTATGTCCTTCCAGCTTGCAATCCACCGAGCACTTTAGCTCACTTATTCTCAAGCAAAGCTCAGAAATCAGGTCCTGCCTGTCTTCCCGGAAAACCCAAGTATTTGTTCAGTTACGGTATTCTCATCAGTGTGTCCTCATGGTCAAGCCCTGAAAACTAAGGCACCATATATCCAGAACCCTGTAACCAAGAGCGTGTATTCACAGTGCTTACTGGCTACGTTCAACCCAGGGAAATGTAGAGATCTGTCTCGTTGTCGTGTTTCAAGAAAATGTACTCCTTGGGATTTGCGATTTACCCTTAGTGTGCTATGACATTCCAACCTGAGCAGAATCCTCCAGGAGAATCCAGAGTCTCCAGCTGCCTGCTGGGAATGGGGTCAGAGGGACGGATTTCTAGTGATAGAGGTACAGGAAGAGAGAAAATGGGTGGATATGGAAAGTGGGAGCGAGAGGAAAAGGAATCTGAGATGAGAGAATATAAACACCAGAGCAGAAAAGTTGAATGAAATTCAAAACCCAGGGACACCTAAAAACGTTTGCGGCTGACTGTGCCCACAGCCTGCAGCAGTCTACACTCATGCACTCTCCGAAAAATCAACAGGATCTTGCCCTTGCCTCATGAGTGAATGGTTAATTTGTGCAGGAAGGAATGGTCCCCAATACATGTTTGAGAACAGGGACCTCAGCAAGATATCCTGAAGTTAAAAGAAGGCAAACAATCTTGGAAAGATTTTAATTACAGCTGAGGGAGTGCAGCCCTCCCTTGCGCGGGTCAGCTTGCCAAGCTCCAGCTGCTTGCAGCGAATGAATGAAATGCGAAGGGCGGGATGGAGGGAGCGAGTGCAATCACAGCCAGCGAAGGGGATAGTCAGCTCCGCGGCCCCTGCAACGTCACCGAAGCGTGGGACCCCATGAGTATAAAGAGAGCCTGTAGCGCAGGACGCTCAGTTCTCCAGCCTGTGCCGGGCAGCTGGCACCCTCCCTACGTGTGATGTGACTCGATAACCCTTAATCTCGGGAGGATCTCATTCTTTCTGCCTGCCAGAGCCGCAAGCGCCTCTGAGAAAGTGCAGCTGTTGCCCCTTAGCCCCAGCTGCATCCCCTAACCAGCAGGGATTGCAGTATCTTTCAGCTTCCAGTCTTATCTGAAGACTCCGGCACCAAAGTGACCAGGAGGCAGAGAAGAACTTCAGAGGAGTCTCGTCTTGGGCTGCCCGTGGGTGAGTGGGAGGGTCCGGGACTGCAGACCGGTGGCGATGGCCACTCTCCCAGCAGCAGAAACCTGGATAGACGGGGGTGGAGGCGTGGGTGCAGACGCCGTGAACCTGACCGCCTCGCTAGCTGCCGGGGCGGCCACGGGGGCAGTTGAGACTGGGTGGCTGCAACTGCTGGACCAAGCTGGCAACCTCTCCTCCTCCCCTTCCGCGCTGGGACTGCCTGTGGCTTCCCCCGCGCCCTCCCAGCCCTGGGCCAACCTCACCAACCAGTTCGTGCAGCCGTCCTGGCGCATCGCGCTCTGGTCCCTGGCGTATGGTGTGGTGGTGGCAGTGGCAGTTTTGGGAAATCTCATCGTCATCTGGATCATCCTGGCCCACAAGCGCATGAGGACTGTCACCAACTACTTCCTTGTGAACCTGGCTTTCTCCGACGCCTCCATGGCCGCCTTCAACACGTTGGTCAATTTCATCTACGCGCTTCATAGCGAGTGGTACTTTGGCGCCAACTACTGCCGCTTCCAGAACTTCTTTCCTATCACAGCTGTGTTCGCCAGCATCTACTCCATGACGGCCATTGCGGTGGACAGGTGAGGAGAGGACAGACAGAGAGGAAAGAGGGAGAAGGGAAAGAAAAGAACTGGGCGGTGGGATAAGATTACAAAGGAAATAGTAACGTAACGGGGTCTATAAAAGTAAAGAGACTAAGAATTTTTGCTGAAAGGAGGACACTAACCCATTTGTAGCCCTCGAGTGGCTGAACAAGTTTCTGCTTCCGTGGCCTCCAACACTCAAGCTCTAAATCATTGAGCCTTATTAAGGATATCTAGAGGGACTGAAGAAGGTGAATGAGGGACAGGTGAAAATGCCCTTCCAAGTAGGGCAAACTTAGCTAGAAACGTTTAAGTACCAGCAAACTTTCTCAAATGACTTTTGAACAAAATTTATGTCATCTGTAAAGTGCACTTTTTGGCCTTCCTTCTCTCTGTCAGTCACTATTCTGGCAGAGAAATGGTAAATGAGTCGCCCCTCCACCCTTCCCTCTTCTGTCTGTTCCTCATCCTCATCCTTCCCTATTCCCTAGTCTTGCCCCAAGGCCAACACTGGTTTGGTCTCCCAGTCACCAAGAACTAGCAAAGACCACACACACTCTCCAAAAAACTACTGTAAACTAGCAGTTTCCACCACATCTCAGATTAGATTTAATTTCCAGTAATCTGCAGAGGCTATGAACTGAGTAAACCCTGTGTCTGCAAGTGTGTAACCAAATTTTTAAAAACTCTATGTGCCTTTGCCTTCTCATATTGAACATTATGAAGTATAGGTATTTGTGGAAATACAATGGTGAATCCCTACCTGTTATTGAAGGCTGGCTTCACTTTAATTCAACTTTGTGGTGAAAATCAATAGCAGTTGATTTCAGTCTCAGCTTTGTGAAAGGCAGTTGCATGGGGGATACATGAGGGTGATTTCACTTTAACTTGAAGTCTCAATGTTCTTATTCATGCAAAGATTATTTTTAAACATTAACAAACATATCAAAATAAAATGGAGATAAATATTAATTCTTATGACATTTCAGTTGCCATTATAATAAAAAAATAAGAAAAAACAGGTTATTTCTGTAAGTTCATCCTCTGTGTTTACTATTTTGAAATACTGAGCACTGAGGTATTAGTAACATATATCTCTAGAAAATATTTTCATGTGCCAGGCTCAAAGGATTAAATTAAAGGAGCAGAGGTTAGTAGCCACTAACTAGAATAAATAAACACAAAATCACACTTTTTAAAAAGCCTCTAAAATCGTCAATCTTCCCTTTCTCCTTTATCTCTGATTATCCACACATATGCACCCCTTCATTACTACTATGTATAGGAGTGCAAAGAATGAAAAAAAAATCAGACTCCAGTTGGGAAATAAGTGAAATTGCCTCTAATCTTACTACACCAAGATAGAAGTTAAGTGTTCCTTTTGTTTGAGCAGCTTCCTTGCTTGTTTTGCTTTGTTTGTTTTTCTTTTTATTTCTTATAGTATATGTTTTTTGATGTTTTGATTAGGGGGAGAGGTATTAGCATATAATGTTATAAAATTCTTACAGTCTTCTTGAAAGATTAATCATGCAATATGAACTTTGAAGAAAATTTTAGTGCATGTGAAATCTGTATTTCAATTTGAAGGGGAAAAAAAGGTTGTATTTTTCTCTTTCCAATTTCTTCCTGCCAACATTTATGGGATTGTCTTGGAGTTATTTTAAATAATCATTTAGTGCTATCTTATTACAGTCATTGGTTTGAATTAATGAATACTTTACTATTAATCTTTACTATTTCTTTGTGTAAAGCATTAATCATTAAAACTATTAACAAATTTAGAGTATACAATATGCTATAAAATCTGAAGCATACTCAGTTCGAGTACTGAAAATCTCTTTTAAAATTATTATTTAAAAGAATGTTCTTATTTGAGCAGACAGTTGATTAAAAAAAAACAGAAATACAGAAATCTTGTTTAAAATAGTTTTTAGAATCAAAAAGTATACAAAATACAACAATTATTAAAACTCTCAATAGATTACCAGTCCAATAGTTTACCAATCTTTCTGCATTGGTGTCTTATCAAACATGAACTGTAAAAACTGACCCTGTGCTGTTTTCAGTCATTTTATAGGTTAAAGAAAACGCTTCTGAGGTTGACACCTGAATGATGTGGTATTTTCCATCATTTTATAGGATATATTTTATAAGTTAAAGAAAACCTTTCTGAGGTTGACACTGAATCATGGTGCCTTCTGCATGGACTTACTGACTCATTTAGCTAAGAATATAGTAAACAGTATATATTTCCCAATTTAGACTACAATTGAAGTGTGAAAACTTCAATTATTTAATTTTGAGTGTTTTCTATCCCCACTGAATATAAACTGAATTATATCAACCTAGCCTAAATGGAAAATATATTCAATTCGCTTTGTTCCTGTGCCTAAAATCAAAAGACCCGTGATCTTGAAAATAATTGCAACTTTGACTTGGGCACATATGGCTTTTGTTCAGCTGTAGCAAAATGGTTGCAGCCTCTTATGACTCTGAGAAATGACAGATATTCCCTCAATGAACGCCTGTATCTTACAAATGGAGAACCTTAAGCTAATGGTCACACAATTGTTATAATAAAAGGCATTGAGTTTTCCTTGAAGTGTTCAGCACTCATTTTGTACTGGAAAAATTACTTACTTTCTATTTTCACGATTTAAATAATATTAGTAAGTTTACTAGATTTGACTGTGAGATCACCAGTTCTGGTCTTATTCTGAAGCACATTAACTTCTGATTTGCTACAAAGTCCTGCGAAACTGTTTTCTAATTTGCCAGAAATCCATCTTCTAGTTCTACACATTTCCTTCTTGCCTAGAAGTCTACTTTACCACTACCAGTACCTGTCTCCTCACCCCTATACCTCCAACACACACACACACACACACACACACACACACACACACACAAGATAAAATTATTTGTCAGTGAAGAGTTGCTTTTCTCTCCACCATCCTTCCCCAATTTGCCATTTTGAAAAATAACATATAAATGTAACACTTGCCTCAAAGATGATAAGCTTTTCCAAGATTATGCAGTACAGTCAAGATTCAAATCACTGCAGTTAGCTCCAGGGCCAGTGATTCTCTTCACCTCTACACTATTATGACACCTAACAAGTTGTGATGACTGCAGGGTTTGATTAGACAAAGTCATTACCTTTAATCAAATTAGAATTTAGTACTAGTTTAAACTGTTTATCTTACATGTATATATAACATATCTTACATATATATATATTCTATGTTTTACTTGAGAAAGTAGAAGGTAGAAAATTATTAATAGAACAGTTATTACAATACAAATATTTTGATTTCCATTCATTTACGGCATATAGTACTTGATGTATGGTCATATTAGAAAATAGTTACATATTTTCTTTCATTTTCTAAGCACATGCTTTGAGATTAGGTTAGAAATTATAGGAAGTTTTATTATAACATATAGTAAATGAAAATTTCAGGGCATATGATCCAGTATTGATCTGAGTATTTAATTAAATATTTTTTTAAACCACATACACTGTTTCTTGTAAACCTTAAGGGAGTGTGTTAGTCTGTTCTCACATTGCTATAAAGATATACCTGAGACTGGGTAATTGATAAAGAAAAGAGGTTTAACTGGCCCATGGTTCCCCAGGCTATACAGGAAGCATAATGGCTTCTGCTTCTGGAGAGGTCTCAGGAAACTTACAATCATGACAGAAGACAAAGCAGGAGCAGTAGTCTTAAATGGCAGGCAGGAACAGGACCAAGAGTGAGAGAGGGAATGTGCTACACACATCTGAACAACCAGATCTCACAAGAACTCTATCAGGAGACAGCACCAAGAGCATGGTGCTTCACCATTCATGAAAGATCCACCCCATGATCCAATCACCTCTCTCCAGGCCCCACTTCCAACATTGGGGATTACAATTCGACATGAGATTTGGGTGGAGACACAGATCCAAACCATATCAAAGAGTAATTACTGTTTTATCTAATTGTTCAAAAGCTTTAAGAAAGATAGCAAAAAAGTTGTTCTGTAAATCCAGTGGCATACCTTACATGAATAATTATTAAAAGGAGCGTTCAACAAAACTGTGTAAGAATAGTAATGGCCAAGTAGATAAAAATTGGTCTTCTATGCTACCCTTTGTTGTTTTTAATTTATTTGGTAATCTTCTATTTCACTTTTACATAAACCTAATTTATGCAAAGTACTCAAAGATCCTCTAGGAAGAGCTTTTGAAAATTATTCTGAACGAATAAAAATATAGAGTCATGAGAAATACTGAGGTCTTAATCTAGTAACAGATTATCTAAATGTATTGTGGTAAATTTTGCATCATTACCAACATTATAGATATGAACTCTGCTAAATTTTTAAAAAATCCTTTTTCGGTCTTTAATTTGAGTACCAAGTGCAATATCCTTTCTCTGCACTCTAGGAAAAGTCACTTTCCATGCAGTTAATACTCTTTATTAGTGTTATAGTTATACTTGACTCACTATCACTAGTTACCGCAAATGATGAACTTTTTAGCCTAAGATCAACTGTTACATATTTTTGAATTATTTACAAAATAGTAACTAAAACTATGGTAAAATTAACTTTCAGGAAACTTATCATAACTGTTTGGCTCTTTCTAAAATTTGTAATTCTCATTCAATAATTTTAAAATATCCCATTTGCATCCACTAAAATTACTGCTCTAGTGAGTTGTCAAAGTTCAGTTAAAATTATAGTGCCAATTCTTATAAAATTGTGAGCGTATAGTGAAAGCAATAAATATATATTAATTGAATGGGTAATAAGATTATCACAGAATCATATGTAATCAGAGGTTGCTCTTTTATAACTAGCTGAACTCCGGCTGATATCAAGGTTATATTAACCACAACAGAAAAGTGTATGTCAAACAAGAATTTATGGCATATTTAACAGGCATAAAAATCCTTAATATATAACATATTCTTATTTATTAAAGAAAAAGTATATCCCCAGTGTAAAAAGAACAAAAGACATAAACAAAATCCAAAAAAAAGAAAAATGTCTAACAAGCATGAAAGTATCATTTGCTTATATCCCATATTTTCATTTCCTTATGTGCTATTTGCTCTTAAAGCCACTCAAATCTCATTATTTTCCCAACACTGTCCAAAGAGCCACACTGAGAAATCCAGTGGACATTTCAGTCCTTGACTTCTTTGACCCATGAGCAATATTCCTCACAGGTGGCTACTGCCTAGAAGTCTCACCTCTCGGCTTCCAACTTTTCTGATATCCTTCCTCCTTAGCCTCTCTTCTTTGGCTGTATTTCTGAATCTCTGCCTATACATAATGATTAAATGCAAAAGTTGCTTTATACTAAGTTCTGGGCCTGTTTTCTTCTTCTTTATTTCCTGTCCCCAACCAATCTCATCCAGAACCATGACTTTATTTTCCACTGTGATTGAAGAGCTCCTATTTTTTTCTGTCTAATTGATTTTCTGTCTTTTTTTTCCTTATTATTATTATTATTATACTTTAAGTTCCAGGGTACATGTGCACAATGTGCAGGTTTGTCACGTATGTATACATGTGCCATGTTGCTGTGCTGCACCCATTAACTCGTCATTTACATTAGGTATATTTCCTAATGCTATCCCTCCCCCCTCCCCCCACCCCATGACAGGCCCCAGTGTGTGATGTTCCCCTTCCTGTGTCCATGTGTTCTCATTGTTCAATTCCCACCTATGAGTGAGAACATGCGCTGTTTGGTTTTTTGTCATTGCAATAGTTCGCTGAGAATGATGGTTTCCAGCTTCATCCATGTCCCTACAAAGGACAACTCATCATATTTTATGGCTGCATAGTATTCCATAGTGTATATGTGCCACATTTTCTTAATCCAGTCTATCATTGATGGACATTTGGGTTGGTTCCAAGTCTTTGCTATTGTGAGTAGTGCCGCGGTAAACATACATGTGCATGTGTGTTTATAGCAGCATGATTTATAATCCTTTGGGTATATACCCAGTAATGGGATGGCTGGGTCAAATGGTATTTCTAGTTATAGATCCTTGAGGAATCGCCACACTGTCTTCCACAATGGTTGAACTAGTTTACAGTTCCACCAACAATGTAAAAGTGTTCCTATTTCTCTACATTCTCTCCAGCACTGGTTGTTTCCTGACTTTTTAATGATCACCATTCTAACTGGTGTGAGATGGTATGTCATTGTGGTTTTGATTTGCATTTCTCTGATGGCCAGTGATGATGAGCATTTTTTCATGTGTCTTTTGGCTGCATAAATGTCTTCTTTTGAGAAGTGTCTGTTCATATACTTTGCCAACTTTTTGATGGGGCTGTTTGTTTTTTTCTTGTAAATTTGTTTGAGTTCTTTGTAGATTCTGGATATTAGCCCTTTGTCAGATGAGTAGATTGCAAAAATTTTCTCCCATTCTGTGGGTTGCCTGTTCACTCTGATGGTAGTTTCTTTTGCTGTGCAGAAGCTCTTTAGTTTAATTGGATCCCATTTGTCAATTTTGCCTTTTGTTGCCATTGCCTTTGGTGTTTTAGTCATAAAGTCCTTGCCCATGCCTATGACCTGAATGGTATTGCCTAGGTTTTCTTCTAGGGCTTTTGTGGTTTTAGGTCTAACATTTAAGTCTTTAATCCATCTTGAATTAATTTTTGTATAAGGTGTAAGGAAGGGATCCAGTTTCAGCTTTCTACATATGGCTAGCCAATTTTCCCAGAACCATTTATTAAATAGGGAATCCTTTCCCCATTTCTTGTTTTTGTCAGGTTTGTCAAAGATCAGATGGTTGTAGATGTGTGATATTATTTCTGAGGGCTCTGTTCTGTTCCATTGGTATGTATCTCTGTTTTGGTTACTGTAGCCTTGTAGTATAGTTTGAAGTCAGGTAGCGTGATGCCTCCAGCTTTGTTCTTTTGGCTAAGGATTGACTTGGCAACGCGGGCTCTTTTTTGGTTCCATATGAACTTGACAGTAGTTTTTTTCCAATTCTGTGAAGAAAGTCATTGGTAGCTTGATGGGGATGGCATTGAATCTATAAATTACCTTGGGCAGTATGGCCATTTTCACAATATTGATTCTTCCTACCCATGAGCATGGAATGTTCTTCCATTTCTTTGTGTCCTCTTTTATGTCATTGAGCAGTGGTTTGTAGTTCTTCTTGAAGAGGTCCTTCACATCCCTTGTAAGTTGGATTCCTAGGTATTTTATTCTCTTTGAAGCAATTGTGAATGGGAGTTCACTCATGATTTGGCTCTCTGTTTGTCTGTTATTGGTGTATAAGTATGCTTGTGATTTTTGCACATCGATTTTGTATCCTGAAACTTTGCTGAAGTTGCTTATCAGCTTGAGGAGATTTTGGGCTGAGACGATGGGGTTTTCTAGATATACAATCATGTCATCTGCAAACAGGGACAATTTGACTTCCTCTTTTCCTAATTGAATACCCTTTATTTCTTTCTCCTGCCTGATTGCCCTGGCCAGAACTTCCAACATTATGTTGAATAGGAGTGTTGAGAGAGGGCATCCCTGTCTTGTGCCAGTTTTCAAAGGGAATGCTTCCAGTTTTTGCCCATTCATTATGATATGTGCTGTGGGTTTGTCATAAATACCTCTTATTATTTTGAGATACATCCCATTAATACCTAATTTATTGAGAGTTCTTAGCATGAAGTGTTGTTGAATTTCGTCAAAGACCTTTTCTTCATCTATTGAGATAACCCATGTGCTTTTTGTCATTGGTTCTGTTTATATGCTGGATTATGTTTATTGATTTGCGTATGTTGAACCAGCCTTGCATCCCAGGGATGAAGCCCACTTGATCATGGTGGATAAGCTTTTTGATGTGCTGCTGGGTTCTGTTTGCCAGTATTTTATTGAGGATTTTTGCATCAATGTTCATCAGGGATATTGGTCTAAAATTCTCTTTTTTTGTTGTGTCTCTGCCAGGGTTTGGTGTCAGGATGATGCTGGCCTCATAAAATGAGTTAGAGAGCATTCCCTCTTTTTCTACTGGTTGGAATAGTTTCATAAGGAATGGTACCAGCTCCTCCTTGTACCTCTGGTAGAATTTGGCTGTGAATCCATCTGGCCCTGGACTTTTTTTGTTTGGTAGGCAATTAATTATTGCCTCAATTTCAGAGCCTGTTATTGGTATATTCAGGGATTCAGCTTCTTCCTGGTTTAGTCTTGGGAGGGTGTATGTGTCCAGGAATTTATCCATTTCTTCTAGATTTTCTAGTTTATTTGCGTAGAAGTGTTTATAGTGTTCTCTGATGGTAGTTCGTATTTCCGTGGGATCAGTGGTGATATCCCCTTTATCATTTTTTATTGCGTCTATTTGATTCCACTCTCTTTTCTTCTTTATTAGTCTTGCTAGCAGTCTATCAATTTTGTTGATCTTTTCAAAAAACCAGCTCCTGGATTCATTGATTTTTTGAAGGGTTTTTTGTGTCTCTATCTCCTTCAGTTCTGCTCTGATCTTAGTTTTTTCTTGCCTTCTGCTAGCTTTTAAATGTGTTTGCTCTTCCTTCTCTAGTTCTTTTAATTGTGATGTTAGGGTGTCAATTTTGAATCTTTCCTGCTTTCTCTTGTGGGCATTTAGTGGTATAAATTTCCCTCTACACACAGCTTTATATGTGTCTCAGAGATTCTGGTATGTTGTGTCTTTGTTCTCATCTTTATTTCTGACTTCATTTAGTTATTTACCCAGTAGTCATTCAGGAGCACGTTGTTCAGTTTCCATGCACTTGAGCAGTTTTGAGTGAGTTTCTTAATCCTGAGTTCTATTTTGATTACACTGTGGTCTGAGAGACAGTTTGCTATAATTTCTGTTCTTTTATATTTGCTGAGGAGTGCTTTACTTCCAACGGTGTGGTCAATTTTGGAATAAGTGCAACGTGGTGCTGAGAAGAATGTATATTCTGTTGATTTGCGGTGGAGAGTTCTGTAGATGTCTATTAGGTCCACTTGGTGCAGAGCTGAGTTCAATTCCTGGATACCCTTGTTAACTTTCTGTCTTGTTGATCTGTCTAATGTTGACAGGGGAGTGTTAAAGTCTTGCATTATTATTGTGTGGGAGTCAAAGTCTCTGTAGGTCTCTAAGGACTTGCTTTATGAATCTGGGTGCTCCTGTGTTGGGTGCATATACATTTAGGATAGTTAGCTCTTCTTGTTGAATTGATCCCTTTACCATTATGTAATGGCCTTCTTTGTCACTTTTGATCTTTGTTGGTTTAAAGTCTGTTTTATCAGAGACTAGGATTGCAACCCCTGCATTTTTTTTTGTTTTCCATTTGCTTGGTAGATCTTCCTCCATCCCTTTATTTTGAGCCTATGTGTGTCTCTGCATGTGACATGGGTCTCCTGAATTCAGCACACTGATGGTTCTTGACTCTTTATCCAGTTTGCCAGTCTGTGTCTTTTAATTGGAGCATTTAGCCTATTTACATTTAAGGTTAATATTGTTATGTGCGAATTTGATCCTGTCATTATGATGTTAGCTGGTTATTTTGCTCGTTAGTTGATGCAGTTTCTTCCTGGCATTGATGGTCTTTACAATTTGGCATGTTTTTGCAATGGCTGCTACCAGTTGCTCCTTTCTATTTTTAGTGCTTCCTTCAGGAGCTCTTTTAGGGCAGGCCTAGTGGTGACAAAATCTCTCAGCATTTGCTTGTCTGTAAAGGATTTTATTTCTCCTTCACTTATGAAGCTTAGTTTGGCTGGATATGAAATTCTAGGTTGAAAATTCTTTTCTTTAAGAATGTTGAATATTGGCCCCCACTCTCTTCTGGCCTGTAGAGTTTCTGCCAAGAGATCCGCTGTTAGTCTGATGGGCTTTCCTTTGTGGGTAACCCGACCTTTCTCTCTGGCTGCCCTTAACATTTTTTCCTTCATTTCAACTTTGGTGAATCTGACGATTATGCGTCTTGGAGTTGCTCTTCTCGAGGAGTATCTTTGTGGCATTCTCTGTATTTCCTGAATTTGAATGTTGGCCTGCGTTGGTAGGTTGGGGAAATTCTCCTGGATAATATCCTGCAGAGTGTTTTCCAACTTGGTTCCATTCTCCCCGTCACTTGCAGGTACACCAATCAGAGGTAGATTTGGTCTTTTCACATAGTCCCATATTTCTTGGAGGCTTTGTTCATTTCTTTTTATTCTTTTTTCTCTAAACTTCTCTTCTTGCTTCATTTCATTAATTTGATCTTCAATCACTGATACCCTTTCTTCCAGTTAATCAAATCGGCTACTGAAGCTTGTGCATTTGTCACATAGTTCTCGTGCCATGGCTTTCACCTCTATCAGGTCATTTAAGGACTTCTCTACACTGGTTATTCTAGTTAGCCATTTGTCTAATCTTTTCTCAAGGTTTTCAGCTTCTTTGCGATGGGTTCAAACTTCCTCCTTTAGCTCAGAGAAGTTTGATCATCTGAAGGCTTCTTCTCTCAACTTGTCAAAGTCATTCTCCATCCAGCTTTGTTCCATTGCTAGCGAGGAGCTGCTTTCCTTTGGAGGGGGAGAGGTGCTCCGATTTTTGGAATTTTCAGCTTTTCTGCTCTGTTTTTTCCCCATCTTTGTGGTTTTATCTACCTTTGCTCTTTGATGATGGTGACATACAGATGGGGTTTTGGTGCGGATGTCCTTTCTATTTGTTAGTTTTCCTTCTAACAGTCAGGACCCTCAGCTGCAGGTCTGTTGGTGTTTGCTGGAGGTCCACTCCAGACCCTGTTTGCCAGGGTATCAGCAGTGGAGGCTGCAGAACAGCAAATATTGTTGAACAGCAAATGTTGCTGCTGGAATGATCGTTCCTCTGGAAGCTTCATCTCAGAGTGGTACCTGGCTGTTTGAGGTGTCAGTCTGCCCCTACTGGAGGGGTACCTCCCATTTAGGCTACTCAGGGGTCAAGGACCCACTTAAGGAGGCAGTCTGTCCGTGCTCAGATCTCAAACTCCCTGCTGGGAGAACCACTACTCTCTTCAAAGCTGTCAGACAGGGACATTTACGTCTGCAGAGGATTCTGCTGCCTTTTGTTCAGCTATGCCCTGCCCCCAGAGGTGGAGTCTACAGAGGCAGGCAGGCCTCCTTGAGCTGCAGTGGGCTCCACCCAGTTCAAGCTTCCTGGCCGCTTTGTTTACCTACTCAAGCCTTAGCAATGGCGGGTGCCCCTCCAGCAGCCTCACTGCCTCCTTGCAGCTCGATCTCAGACTGCTGTGCTAGCAATGAGTAAGGCTCCTTGGGTGTGGGACCCTCTGAGCCAGGCGCAGGATATAATCTCCTGGTGTGCCGTTTGCTAAGACTATTGGAAAAGTGCAGTATTAGGGTGGGAGTGACCCAATTTTCCATGTGCCGTCTGTCACAGCTTCCCTTGACTAGGAAAGGGACTTCCCTGACCCCTTGTGCTTCCCAGGTGAGGCGATGCCTCACCCTGCCTCGGCTCTCGCTCGGTGGGCTGCACCCACTGTCCTGTACCCACTGTCTGACAAACCCCAGTGAGATGAACCCGGTAACTCAGTTGGAAATGCAGAAATCACCCATCTTCTGCGTCGCTCACACTGGGAGCTGTAGACTGGAGCTGTTCCTATTTGGCCATCTTGGAACTGTGTCTTATTGATTTTCTTCTGAATTATAGACACATAAGAATCTATACAATGAACAGACAAATATAAATGAATAAAAAATTAAGATTGGAGAAAAAAATACGTCAATATAAAACAAGACCAGGTTGTTATATATATGAAGTCATGCCAAAGTAAATTTGTAAAGTAGACATTGGGGTCAAACAGTCTTAATTTCTTATAAAAGTTAAACTTCAAATATGTCTCTGAGTCTCTTGATAATTATACAAAAAAGTATGTAAAATTAGTAATATTGTTTACACTCTCTGTAAAGACAGTACATACACATTCCTTAAGTGCTAAAGAATTTCTGATACTTGAGTTTCAAGGAATTATTTGTATGAGTAAAAAGAAGAAAATATCCTCAAATACACTGTCATAAATGCAAAAGCAGGTTTCCTGTGTATTTTTATTTAGCATTCCACCGAGTGGGCCAAAGCCATGGTACCAGAGTGGAACTCAGTGAACGACATTTTCAGGTACTAAACATGTATCTGAGCAAAGATTCCAGATGGTCTGGTTTGATACAAAGATAAAACTGCAAGAAAGGATAAAGCATATTTTCTACTGAAGTATCTTTTTGTCTCATTTGAACTTTGGATATAGCTTGGGAAGCAGATAACTCAAAGTTGTAATATATGGCAAAAGCTCTTGGAATCGATTTTATCCCAGTCCCCAGTTGCTGATCCTGATTCATCGTCCTTCCCAGTCTTATACTTAAACATATTTTTTCTTATTCATTGTAAGAGCCACACATTCACAGTGAAAAAACAAAAATATATAAGTATTAGAAAGTTAAATTTAACTTTTACCCATTGTTATCCTACCCTCTAAATATCACCAACCTATGACCGTCACATCCACATTGCAATGCTCCCCCCAGTTTTTTATTATATGTACTTTCTTTCTCTCCCTATGCACTCATGTATAGTACATTATATACATACATATCTATATATATCTGTGTATATATGTGTGTGTATATATACACAGATATATTTCCTTTATTAAAACAGTATAAAATTATGTCATATGAATTAACATGCTGTTATTAAACATTTATTTGACAAATTATAGATCTTAGATATACTTTAGCATCAGGATATACAGACTTGTTTTATTCTATAAAATTTAGTTCAATTTTTTAATAGATAATTCATGTATTTGGCTTAAAACTCAAAGAAGCAAATAATTCACAAATATAAAATTCCATTGGTAACACTTCTTTGATGTGTGGTCATGTATACTCAGTTACCTCCTTGACATTTCTACTTGGATGTCTGAAAGGCCCTTTAAATTCCACAAAACCCATCATCTTACCTCCAGATATTTCCCTCTTTCAGTGTTTCAATAAAAAGTGCAAGCATTCATCCAGTTGTTCAAATAACTCACAAATCTATTACATTTTTTCTGCCTTTACTCCCACTTCCCTACTCCAAGCCACCCTCATGTCTTTTCTGGTCTACTAAAATTGCCTAATTGGTCTCCCCGCATCCAGGCTTAACCTACCCTAATGTGTTCATATTGCAACACAGAATTATGTTTTCAAAACATACATGAGAAAATATTTTCCACACCCCTATTTAGAATCCTACAACGTTTCCATTGCACTTATGAGAAGAATAATATTCTTAATCCAGTAAAATTTCATTAGATAATTCAATTGGCCTAATCTCTGTTTCAACCACTCAGATCCTCTTTCAAGTTCATAAATGGATGATCCTATCTTTTTGCCATAAAATCTTTGAATACACAGTTTTCCTTCTCCCTCAAATTCTCTTCTTCCAATTCCTCATTAGCTAAATGTACTCCTCTTTTAGATAACAGTTCAAACGTCACTTTTACAGAGACACTTTCCATGATGCTCCCAATATAAATTAGCTGTTTCCTTATAGATTCCCATAGCACATGACAATCATAACATTTTCATATTTATATTTATTTATGAAATATAAATTTTATGTTTCTGTTTAAGACTGTTTGGTTGATAATTTGGTCTAAGAGACTTGTAAGTACCATAAAGGCAGGCTGAATGTTCTTAGTCCCCTTTGCATTCTCATGCCTGTCATACTGGTTTGAACATAGTAAGGATGCACTCTGGATTGATGAATAAATGAATTATAAAAGTAAATAAATGAATGAAAAGGCCATGAAATACCACTTTTTATGTAAGAAAAATGATAAGAGGTTGGTAAGCATGCAATGAAACAGGCATTTTTACACATATTTTTTATGAAATTGCAATTTTTACAGTTTAAAATTATCAATTAGTATTTTATATAGTTTATCCTAACATTTGGATATAAATTGGTAAAAATCTCTTAGGAGGGTGATTGTCAATTCATACATCCTTTGAGTCATTTTTTCTACTCAGGATTTAATTTTTAAGAAATAATAATAGATTTTTAATAAAAACTCATATTTAAAGATAGTTTTCAAACCAAAATGCAAAGAACTGAAAACAACTAAAATTCCCAAGAAAAGAAAATGATCTAACAAATTATAGAGCATCCAAAAACGAAATTTTATGTAGAAATAAAAAATTACATATTTGAATATAGCCACAATTCTTCCAAGTCTCCATGCCCTTGTGTATAAATATGGTAACGTTAACATGAATATTTAAATTTCTTTGATTCATAACTTTTACTTATAAACCATTTCTTGCTATAGTGTCCTAATTATTTCAGTGTCCCTAGTGAGGATAGTCGGGGAGAGGATAGTGGTAAGAACTTATCAGTAGTCTTCTTTAGCACTTGGTATGGTTTGGCTCTGTTTCCCCACACAAATCTCATTTTGAATTGTAACCCCCATAATCCCTATGTGTCAAGGGAGGAACCAGGTATGAGGTGATTGGATTATGGGGCTGGTTTCTCCCATGCTGTTCTTACTATAGTGAGTGAGTTCTCGTGGGATCTGATGATTTTATAAAACAGTTTTCCCTGCTCTTGCTTGCTCTGTCTCACCTGCCACCATGTAAGATGTGCCTGTTTCCTCTTCTGCCATGACTGTAAGTTTCCTGAGGTCTCCCTGGCCATGCAGAACTGTGAGTCTACTAAACCTTTGTTTATAAATTACCCAGTCTTGGGTAGTATCTTTATAGCCTTGTGAAAACAAACTAACACAGTACTTCTACAGCAATGTCAACACTTCCATAAAGAGTATGACCATTTCACTGGAGTAGGATGCCATCTCCTTTTCCATATTGCTATTTTTAACACATTGCATCCAAATCTGCAAGATTCACAAGTTACAAACTTTGCCCTCAGCATGACATTTTTGTGAAGCCTATTGTATTCTAAATAGAATATGGAAGAATATCTCATCCCTACATGTTGCTAAATGTATTACCAATTTCCTTTCTTTCTTTCTTTTTTTTTTTTTTTTTTTTTTTTTTTTTGTGAGATAGAGTTTCACTCTGTTGCCCAGACTGGAATGCAGGGGCGCAATCTCGGCTCACTGCAAGCTCCGCCTGCCGGGTTCACTCCATTCTCCTGCCTCAGCCTCCTGCATAGCTGGGACTAGAGGCGCCTGCTACCACGCCCTGCTAAATTTTTTTTGTATTTTGTAGTAGAGATGGGGTTTCACTGTGTTAGCCAGGATGGTCTCGATCTCCTGACCTCGTGATCCGCCCACCTCAGCCTCCCAAAGTGCTGGGATTACAGGCGTGAGCCACCACGGCCGGCCATGTATTACCAATTTCTTAATACCCAAAGTTCCTTCATCTTCTACTTGCAGTTCTCTCATCATAGGGTTCAGTTCTAAATCAAATGTCCAGCATGAGAAATTGTGCATACCCTTTCTTCCCTATGCCTCATCACTCTGAGCATAAATCATTTTTATTGAGGTTTCCTCATTGGTATATTAAATAAATGCTGCAGATTAGACAACTGGGGTTTGCAGCTCCACCACTTCATTAGACACAGTCAGATTCTTAATCTAATTCTAGACTCAGCAGGATTTTTAACACATGAGAAATTTTTAGACCATGGATTTAACAGTCCGATATAGTTTTATATGTGCCATGAGGTGAATATGGATTGAATTTTCTCTGAATGTTGAGACTTTGGATAATTTTATTTTCTTTTATAGTTTTCTTTTTTTCATCATCTACAACAAAATGCTATTCTTTCACACAAAACCAAATAATGTCAAATAATTATTAAAGTTCTGAGATGAGTGGTGGTATGGTTGTACAATAGTGTAAATGTACTTATTGCCATTGAACTGTACACTTACAATGGTTAAAATGGCAAACTTTATGTTATATATATTTTACCACAATAAATTTTAAAAACAAAATTAATTAAAATGAACACTTTTAAAATATAATGACTCTGAGATACATGCAAAACAATGTGGACTCCAAAATAGGACAAATTGATTAAACTTTGTTTAAATACTTTTGAGGTATATTTTTTACAGCAACATTTTATTTTATTTTATTATTTTTTATTATACTTTAACTTTTAGGGTACATGTGCACAACGCGCAGGTTTGTTACATATGTATACATGTGCCATGTTGGTGTGCTGCACCCATTAACTTGTCTTTTAACATTAGGTATATCTCCTAATGCTATCCCTCCCCCCTCCCCCCACCCCACAACAGGTCCCAGTGTGTGATGTTCCCCTTCCTGTGTCCATGTGTTCTCATTGTTCAATTCCCACCTATGAGTGAGAACATGTGATGTTTGGTTTTTTGTCCTTGTGATAGTTTGCTGAGAATGATGGTTTCCAGCTTCATCCATGTCCCTACAAGGAACATGAACTCATCATAATTTATGGCTGCATAGTATTCCATGGTGTATATGTGCCACATTTTCTTAATCCAGTCCATCATTGTTTGACATTTGGGTTGGTTCCAAGTCTTTGCTATTGTGAATAGTGCCGCAATAAACATACATGTGCATGTGTGTTTATAGCAGCATGATTTATAATCCTTTGGGTATATACCCAGTAATAGGATGTCTGAGTCAAATGGTATTTCTAGTTCTAGATCCCTGAGAAATCACCACACTGACTTCCACAATGGTTGAACTAGTTTACAGTCCCACCAACAGTGTAAAAGTGTTCCTATTTCTCTATATTCCCTCCAGCACCTGTTGTTTCCTGACTTTTTAATGATCGCCATTCTAACTGGTGTGAGATGGTATCTCATTGTGGTTTTGATTTGCATTTCTCTGATGGTCAGTGATGATGAGCATTTTTTCATGTGTCTTTTGGCTGCATAAATGTCTTCTTTTGAAAAGTGTGTGTTCATATCCTTTGCCCACTTTTTGATGGGGTTGTTTGTTTTTTTCTTGTAAATTTGTTTGAGTTCATTGTAGATTCTGGATATTAGCCCTTTGTCAGATGAGTAAGTTGCGAAAATTTTCTCCCATTCTGTAGGTTGCCTATTCACTCTGATGGTAGTTTCTTTTGCTGTGCTGAAGCTCTTTAGTTTAATTAGATCCCATTTGTCAATTTTGGCTTTTGTTGCCATTGCTTTTGGTGTTTTAGACATGAAGTCCTTGCCCGTGCCTATGTCCTGAATGGTATTGCCTAGGTTTTCTTCTAGGATTTTTATGGTTTTAGGTCTAACATTTAAGTCTTTAATCCATCTTGAATTAATTTTTGTATAAGGTGTAAGGAAGGGATCCAGTTTCAGCTTTCTACATATGGCTAGCCAGTTTTCCCAGCACCATTGATTAAATAGGGAATCCTTTCCCCATTTCTTGTTTTTGTCAGGTTTGTCAAAGATCAGATAGTTGTAGATATGTGGCATTATTTCTGAGGGCTCTGTTCTGTTCCATTGATCTATATCTCTGTTTTGGTACCAGTACCATGCTGTTTTGGTTACTGTAGCCTTGTAGTATAGTTCGAAGTCAGGTAGTGTGATGCCTCCAGCTTTGTTCTTTTGGCTTAGGATTGTCTTGGCAATGCGGGCTCTTTTTTGGTTCCATATGTACTATAAAGTAGTTTATTCCAATTCTGTGAAGAAAGTCATGGGTAGCTTGATGGGGATGGCATTGAATCTATAAATTACCTTGGGCAGTATGGCCATTTTCACAATATTGATTCTTCCTACCCATGAGCATGGAATGTTCTTCCATTTGTTTGTATCCTCTTTTATTTCATTGAGCAGTGGTTTGTAGTTCTCCTTGAAGAGGTCCTTCACGTCCCTTGTAAGTTGGATTCCTAGGTATTTTATTCTCTTTGAAGCAATTGTGAATGGGAGTTCACTCATGATTTGGCTCTCTGTTTGTCTGTTATTGGTGTATAAGAATGCTTGTGATTTTTGTACATTGATTTTGTATCCTGAGACTTTGCTGAAGTTGCCTATCAGCTTGAGGAGATTTTGGGCTGAGACAATGGGGTTTTCTAGATATACAATCATGTCATCTGCAAACAGGGACAATTTGACTTCCTCTTTTCCTAATTGAATACCCTTTATTTCCTTCTCCTGCCTAATTGCCCTGGCCAGAACTTCCAATACTATGTTGAATAGGAGTGTTGAGAGAGGGCATCCCTGTCTTGTGCCAGTTTTCAAAGGGAATGCTTCCAGTTTTTGCCCATTCAGTATGATATTGGCTGTGGGTTTGTCATAGATAGCTCTTATTATTTTGAGATACGTCCCATCAATACCTAATTTATTGAGTTTTTAGCATGAAGCGTTGTTGAATTTTGTCAAAGGCCTTTTCTGCATCTATTGAGATAATCATATGCTTTTTGTCGTTGGTTCTGTTTATACGCTGGATTATGTTTATTGATTTGTGTATGTTGAACCAGCCTTGCATCCCAGGGATGAAGCCCACTTGATCTTGGTACAGCAACATTTTAAAAACACATTTGATGTCTGACATAAATTGTAAAGACAGTTCTGGCAAGAGAGTCCTGGTAACATCATAATATGTTGTAAGCAGTAAAATAATTTCCCCCAGAATTGTATAAGGAGACATCACCTGTTTGGAGTAATAGAAGCCTGCCTGAAGGCTACAGGGATAAATTAGCACAGTGTTTGTAGTGTTTCTTGTGCTATGTCACACAGGATTTTAATATTTGCTTAAGTTCATTATTTTGAGCTTGTATTATCATCTATAAGATGTTTCTCCTTCACACCTGCCCAAGTATCAAGACTATTTAAAATTATCTGTTACACACTCCTGTAAGTAAGGGAAAGTATGTCTATGATTATATCACTAATCAACAGTGGGCCCAGTTGTGTTCTAGAGCCTGTTTATACCACCTAGAAGGAAACAGTTGTGCACATTTCTTCCCAACTGGAATACAAAGTAATATTCGATGATACTACTTTGATAGCTTTAAGTCATGGGAGAAGTATTTACACCACAGAAATCTGGAAACACTACAAATCAGGAGTTGTGTTTTTTGTTGTTTATCCAGGAGTACCTGTGATTAAAATCATTTACCAGCACATGACTCGCTGTTTGTGTATTCACTCACTCAACAGATATTTCTCAAGTACCTTGTAAGTACTAGATGTTGTATAGGTATGGGGCACACTGAAATAAACAAAGTAGATATGGCTCGTAATTCCATGAAATTATATATAATAATTAATACCTCTAGTTTAAAACCCTTGTCAGTAATCCAGAGTTTTAAATACGACAGCCTCCTCAACATCGCCATCTGAGTGTCTGAGGGTCATCTCAGATTTACACATCCAAAACAGAGTTCCTGACGTTCCTCTAAAACGTACTCCTACTGCCATCTTCTGAGGTCAAAATATGAGCCTCAGGTCAAAACTCCAGGAAGCATCCTTGGCTCATCTCATCTTTCATACATATCCAATCCATCAGCAAATCTAGTCATGTCTACTTTCAAATTATATGTTGAATCTAATCACTTAAGACTCCTACTGCTGCTACCTTAGTCCGAGCCAATATCATTTTTCACCTAAATTACTACAATACTCACCTAACTGGTTTTCTTACCCTTACTCCTGTTTCCCTTAAGTTTGTTCTCAGTGCAACAGCCAGAGTGAACCTATTAGCAATGGAATCACAATATATCTCCTCTACAAATCATTCAATGGCTCCTTAGCTCTCTCAGGGTAGAAACTGAAGTCCTTACACTGACTTACAAGAATTTAGACTAGCTGGTCCTTTGTTACTCTGTAATCTTTTCTATTACTACCACTTCCCCACTGTGCTCCGCCATCACTGTTCTCCTTCATTTTATCAGCATACTAGGCAAGTTTCCACCTCAGGACCTTGCACTCTGTAGAAAATATTCTTCCTCCAAACAGCCATGTTGTTCATTCCCTATACTGCTTCTGGACCCTGACTATTATATAAAATTGCTTTATTTTTATTACATGTATCACCTCCTAAAATACTATGTAATTGGACCATCTGTAATACTTACTTTTGCCTCTCTCCCCTATAGTGTTAGAATTTCCATGAAAACAAGGTTTGACTTGTGTATCAACTAAATGAATGAATAATAAGTAGAGTGCATGGTAACTATGAGAACACATAACAAGTGAGAGTGTATTTATTGTGTTAGAACAGAAAAACAGAAGTTGCAAAAGTGTTTTTGTTTATTTTTAATTTTTAATTTTATGGGTACCTAATAATTATACATATTTATGGGGGGTACATGTGATGTTTTTATACAGTCATACAATGTGCAATGATCAAATCAGGGTAATTGGGGTATTCATTACTCAATTTCTTTGTCATTTTCTTTGTGTTAGGAACATCTCAATTCCACTCTTTTATTTTATTTTAAAATATGCAATAGATTATTGCTAACTATAGTCACACTGTTATGTTATTCATCTTCTAGTAACTATCATTTGACTGTATGAGTTCATTATTAAAAATTTTTAGTTCTCACTTATGAGTAAGAACATGTGAAATTTGTCTTTTCTGTGCCTGGCTTATTTCACTTAACATAAAGTCCATCAGTTCCAGAAGTGTTTTTAATGTTCTTTATTTTACCAAAAAAAGAAAAAAAAGAAAAGAAAATATCCTCTGATAAATTGTGTTGCTAATATTAAATTTTAAAAATCATATAAATACTCTATATAATCTCATGGATAATGATCACCTTCAAATTAAGGTGAACCATCAATGGAGAAAAAGATTTGAGACTTTTCAAATGAGCATAAATAAAAGTTTTGAAGAAATCAAACAAAAGATGCTAGGCACTTATGAAATTGAGTATTTATATTGTATAAGTACTATTAATCCAAATCCCAGGTGTATAAATGAAGTAAATTTTTAAAAGTCATAGTACCATGTGTATTGACTTTTATACCTTCAAAATAAATGAATATGTAAAAGTTTTTTTTTCCCATAGCTAACTACATGATGTAAAATACATTCAAATTTCTTTAACTACTAATTATGATTCCATTAGCTTAAAATGTTTTACTTGTTAAAATTATAAGTTAAATATATCTTCCACAAAGGTTTACATAATCTAGTTTCATATTGAAGACAGTAGTATTTCAGAATCAAACAATAGTAGTATAATTCAATATTATCTTTTAAAATAACAGAATGCAATATCTTTCCTACATAAGAAGTTACTGGCAATCCCCGTTCACCATTCACAGAGCAAGTGCTGATGAAACCTTTAAAGAGGAGGAGTGAAACAGGACTCACTGGAAACAAAAAGATACTAGCTTTAAAGTTTTAGTTCACAAATAGAATACTTATACTAAAGATAGAATAAATACATATTTGCATTAAAAGTTATCAAGTCTAAACATGTACTTCTCACTGCACACAAATTTGAGTTACCAATGTTTAGTTAAATAACACAAGTGCCGGCTGGGCGCAGTGGCTCATGCCTGCAATCTCAGCACTTTGGGAGGCCGAGGTGGGCGGATCACGAGGTCAGGAGATCGAGACTATCCTGGCTAACGTGGTGAAACCCCATCTCTACTAAAAATACAAAAAATTAGCCGGGCGTGGTGGCGGGCGCCTGTAGTCCCAGTTACTCCGGAGGCTGAGGCAGGAGAATGGAGTGAACCCGGGAGGCGAAGCTTGCAGTGAACCGAGATGGCGCCACTGCACTCTAGCCTGGGCAACAGAAGGAGACTCCGTCTCAAAATAAATAAATAAATAAATAAATAAATAAATAAATAAACAAATAAATAAATAAATAACACAAGTGCCCCCAACAACATGGCTCACATTTCAGTTACCACGTCATATTAACTCACACATTAACTGTGAGTGTTTGCATAAAGGATAAACTTAGCTGCTAGCTTTTCAGTCTATGAACCACTCTACAAATAACAGATTAACATCATAATCAATGAGCAATCACATTCCTTCTTTCAAAATCTGTCACTGATTGGTTACTGATCTGTTCATTCAGTTCATGCACAAACAGAAAAGCACATAGTTGTATTGCCCAAGTGCTTTCCAGTGTTAAACTCACATGCCATTTTTAAAAATGGCTAATCAAGACCTGGAACAGTGGCTCACACCTGTAATCCCAGCGCTTTGGGAGGCAGAAATGGGAGGATCAACTGAGACTAGGAGTTTAAGGTTACAGTGAGCTATGGCTGCACCACTGCATACCAGCCTGGGTGACAGAGCAAGAACCTGTCTCAATAATAATAATAATCATAGCTAAAGAAAGAGGGGCTGGTCAGCAAAGATGAAAGTAGAGTGAAGAAATTAAAAAGAATTGAGAAGTGATAATGCTGGAAGTAAAATTTGAAACCAATGTAAATGCAGTTATGGAAGAATAACTGATGGAGGGAATGTTGATACTTTTACTCTTCAGATTCTAGATTCGCAGCCTGAGGGAATTATGAAAGGTGAACTTATCAACCTAAAGGAAGAAAGTGGTAGTGACAAAAGGGTGAAGCCATCATAGAGGAAAGTGGCATCAGCAAAAATCTTCACATAAAAAAATAAAAAAGAAACTCTTCAAGATAGTTCACCACTTTGAAAGTGCAAAGGATAAAATGTTGGAAGATAATTCAAATTTAGAAAAAAGGAGAATGCTTTGTCAAAGCATAGAAACGATGCTTGCTCTGCATAATCTTATATGGCAAGAAGAAGGCAAATTCTGTTCAAACTATTTGTGATACTTTTTTTTTACAAAGAAATAAAATGTTTTATTTCTCATTGTTTCTAATGTTTTAAAATTATATTCTACAAAAATGTTTTTCTGTTTTTCATTTCTCTATGTATTTATAACTGAGAGTAAGGGAGTTTCTGATCTTTTATCAAAAATGTTAAAGATTACAGGAAAATTGTATTTTTCCCAGTGATTATTTAGATCACTTTGCATGGTCTCAGTTTATATGATCATTTTGATTTCCAAGTACCATTTTGCAAAGCAAAGACTACCTGTATGTAAAAAAAAATCACAGCCTAATTGCCTAAGTTTGGTAATCAATAGATACTCTTTTCTCAGACTTCCACACTATTTAGCTCGTTGATATAGATCATTCTATTTACCAAACATTGTAACTTATTGAAAATACCTTTGTCAGAGATACAATTATATAGGTTTCTAAATAGAATAGAAAAGAAAAAAAGGGAGAAAGAAAACAGCTACAGAAAAGGTAACCTAAGGAGTGTGGATGGCTAAATACTGAAAACTATTAACACATAATTTCAAAAATAAGTATATGATCATCTAAGTGGATTCTGAAATAATTTGTGATAACTCAATTCCCATTCCTGATAGAATTCTTGGCGAACTACAATATACAGTATTTCTTAACATAATAAACAATATTTATCTGCAAATATAATATGTGAGAACTATATGAAGTAAACTTTACACACACACACACACACACACACACACACACAGAGAGAGAGACATATCTATATTCTGTTGACCCTTGAGCAATGCAGGACTTAGGGGCACTGAGCCCTGCACAGTAAAAATAATTGTGTATAATTTTGAACCCCACGAAACTTTACTATTTACTTCACTGGAAGCCTTACTAATAATATAAACAGTCAACACATATTTTGTATGTTATATGTATTATATACTGTATTCTTATGATAAAGTAAGCTAGAGAAAAGAACATATTATTAAGAAAATCATAAGGAAGAGAAAATATACTATTCATTAAGTGAAAGTGGATCATCATACAGGTCTTTATTCTCATCATCTTGTTGAGTAGGCTGAGAAGGAGGAGGAAGAAAGAGGGGTTGATCTTGCTGTCTAAGGGATAGCAAAGGGTGAAGTGGAGGAGGTGGAAGGAGAAACAGGAGAGACAGACACACTTGGTGTAATTTTACTGAAAACAATCCGCGTATAAGTGGACCTGTGTAGTTCAAACTCATGTTGTCCAAAGTCAAACGTACTAGAAAATAGAAAACACATACTGAAAAGATTAAACGGTAAAAGTATACCAGTTATTTTTAGTTTCACTGTAATTCCAACAAAACCATAGTAGAAGTTTGATGGAACTTAAATTATTAATTGTCTAAAAGTTTTCTGATTATAAGCTACTGAGATTAACCAAGAAATATTTACTACTAATAAAAAATAATAATGAAGAAAATTGTCCAATGAGATAGGAAAATACTATAACATTACAATAAATGAAAACATTTGGAATATGAACAAGAATCTGCAGTCAAATTGATTGTTGATATCAATAATTATATGTAAATATGTAAGAAGTTCAAATCTAGGATTATGTCTTCCTGTGAATTGATCCCTTTCATCATTATCAAATGTCTCTCTCTATATTTAATAATACATGCCTTAAAGACTAATTTTTATGATATTTATATAGCAAATCTTTTATTCTGGTTAGTGTTTACAAGGTAAACACCTTTTTACATAAACATTTTAATACCAAGTTCATTACACATGAACTTCTTTCATATATTATAATCAAAAGCAAGGTTGTCTGCTTGCTATGTATAAAGCTGGTAAACAAGGAAGAAGCACAGCAGAAGGAAAGTGACTTTAATCTAGAGTCAGCCATAGGGAAATGGCCAAGGTTAGTGCCTTAAAGAAACCATTTCAAACTTTAGGTTGGGGAGAGGGGCTAAAAAACGGAACTTGGTACGGGAAGCATGTGGGAATTGTGCTGGGTACAAAGTCTGTGTGTCTTATTCCGGTGGCTATCTTGAGTTGCAGTCCACCTGGAACTCAGGCTGGCATTGTCTCAACAATGGCTGGGTTGTTGACTAACTACCATGAAGTAATCTTCAGAATTTTGCAACTGGGTCTCCATGCTTGGTGTGTCTCAAGATTAGTCCCTGGAACTCCCAAGTAAGCACATAGATAAGTGTGCATGGTGTAAGCTTCACAAGCATACAGTTAGATAAATGTGCATAGTGTAAGGAAGTGTATGGTGGGAAAGGGAGGGATGTAGAGTTTTAAAAAGTACACTTCAAGCTATATTTTAAGACTAAGGAGGGAAAAAAAGGCTTCTGAAATTTGCTTCAAGTCTTGAGACTAGGAGGAAAGGAGAAAAAAGAAAGAAAAAAATTTTTAATGTGTTTTGAACCTAAACTACTTGGTTATAATATGAGATAATTACAAAGAAAGTACTACAAACCAATAAGAAAAGTATAATTTCCCAAAATACGAAATTTGGAATTTAGCTAATTATTTGGAAATAAAGTTAGAATCCTACTTTGCACTGAGCACTAACATAAATATCTCACAGAATAAACTGTAGCAATAAAATCATAAAAAACAAAAATATTATCATTAAGGTCTTCATTTTACCTGGGAAAAAAATCTCTAAACACAAGAGTATCAGAATACAGGGAAAAACATTGATTAATCTGACTATATAAGACTATATAACTAAAGCATTATATTAAGCATAATTAGATGATAAAGCAAACCTTTAAGTATTTATGATTAAATGAAAGACAGAATTAATATTTTACCTTAAAATTAGTTCTTATGAATCAATATGAAAATATCAATACAAATATGCAAAAGATGACAATTTTAGAAAAATAAAATGGTTACATAGACAAAACATTTTTACAATAATTAAAGAAATGCACATTTACCTAAAAATAGGCAATCATATTTTATGGTAATGCAATGATGAAGAAAGTCAGAGAAGTGAGCATTCTAATTTTCTGCTGGAGGAAATAGAAATCAGAACAACCATTTGAGAAATTATTTTGGCAATTAGTACACTGAAATTACTAATTCCTTTTGACACAGCAGCTTCACCTCTGTGTGTCTGCCCATAAAAAATAAAGATGCAAAGAAATATTTTATTGTTTGCAAATTTTTAACAATACAGTTTCAAAATAGACTTCTATGTCTTAGAATATACATTAATCAGTGATATAAAATAATGTTTTCAGGATATTGATATGCAAAAGGACATACAGTAAAATATTAACAAGTTGTAGAGATTACAGATAAAAACCATAATGATATAATGTATGCATATATATTTGCATATGCAAAATAAAATTGTGAAAGGAAATGAAAAATGAACCAGGATATTTAGCAATTCTGTCCTTTAGTGGCAGTATTGTGGAGAATTTGTATTTTCTTATGTATATTCTTCTGTATTTCAAAAGTATACATTTAATAATGAGAAGGGAAATGTAACTTATTTGTAAAGCAGGATGAGAGTAATCCACTGTTGCATTTTGTACAATAACCTGAATATTCACATGCTTTCTCATTAATATGTTATTCCATTGGTGATTTACTCATAGAAGCCTGGGCAATGACTCTCCCTTAGCAGTAACCTGGCCCCTCAGAACTCACACTGAGGTTTACTATATGTATTCATTCCTGTGAGTCACTGGAGTTATATAATAGACAATATCTAATGACACAGTATTTTCTATTTATTTGCTATCTGGATGTGGTTCCACTGATTGGATTTGTTAATGTTTAAGGAAAAACATTTTAGCAACACATGTACACATAACATGTCAAAATAAATAGAATTGTTGCCATTATCTGACGTGATGGTGATGAAACGCTCCTCTTAATTACAGAAAGTTGGTTAATCATGTTGTTCAAATCTTCTTTATCTTAACTAAGTTTCATTATTATTGTTGTTTTGCCTTCCTGTTTTATTGGCTACTGAGAGTGGTATGTTATAGTGCAACTATGACTGTGGATTATTTCTCATCTTAATTCTGTCAAGTTTGCACTGTACAACTTGAAGCAATGTTAATTAAAATCTAGGATTGTTATGTCTTCCTGTGAACTGATCCCTTTTATCATTATCAAATGTCCTTCTTTATATTTAATAATACATGTCTTTAAGTCTAATTTTTATGATATTTATATAGCAAATCTTTTCTTCTGATTAGTGTTTACATGGTAAACCTTTTTACGTAAACATTTTAAAATCAAGAATGTCTAATATAAGAAATCACAAATTTGATTTCATGGTAATGAATCATGTATTCCAATCACATAATGTCATTTTTACATTCACACACAGTAAAATTTATTTTGATTGATGTACAGATGCTGGGACCAGCTCGGTCCAGGAGACCCTAACCCAGGTTCCTAGAGGAATTAAAGACACACACACACAGAAATATAGAGGTGTGAAGTGGGAAATCAGGGGTCTCACAGCCTTCAGAGCTGAGAGCCCCAAACAGAGATTTACGCACATATTTATTAACAGCAAGCCAGTCATTAGCATTGTTTCTATAGATATTCAATTAATTAAAACTGTCCCTTATGGGAAACGAAGGGATGGACCAAATTAAAGGAATAGGTTGGGCTAGTTAACTGTAGCAGGAGCATGTCCTTAAGGCACAGATCGCTCATGCTATTGTTTGTGGCTTAAGAATGCCTTTAAGCAGTTTTCCGCCCTGGGCAGGCCGGGTGTTCCTTGCCCTCATTCCCGTAAACCCACAACCTTCCAGCTTGGGCATTAGGGCCATTATGAATATGTTACAGTGCTGCAGAGATTTTGTTTATGGCCAGTTTGGGGTCCAGTTTATGGCCAGATTTTGGGGGGCCTGCTGCCAACATACAGATTTAAGATTTTTAATGCATGGATAGTTCATTTAACAACCACCACAGCCAGGACACAGAACAATTTCATCATCACAAAGGAAAGCCTTTATGCTCTTATTTGTATTCACAGCCTCTTCCTGACCTAAAACCTGGGAATAACTGATCTACCTGCTACCACTGCAGGCTGATCTTTTTGGGAAAATGTCATATTAATATAATTATTCAACATGTAACCTTTAAGACTGGCTACTACTTTCACTGACCACAACATCTCTGAGATTACCCAAGTTAATCCGTGTATCAAGAGTTTGTTTCTTTCTATCCCTGAGGGTATTCCACTGTATGGCTGCTCCACAGTTTGTTTACAAAGGACATTTGGGTTGTTTCTAGTTTTGTGCAATGAATAGAACTGCTATGAGTGTTCATGTATGGGTTTTTTGTGTGAACAGAAGTTTTCATTTCTCTAGGGCAAGAAAATAGGAGTGAGATTGTTGGGTTGTATAGAAAACATATATTTAACTTTATAAGAAACTGCACTACCATTTTGTATTCATAACAGCAATGTGTGAGAGTTGCGCTTGTTCCAAATTCTAACCAGCAATTGATACTGTCAAATTTTCAAATTTATTTTTTAGTTGACATTATAAAATTGTATCTACCTATTGCGTGTGACATAATTTTTTAGTTGACATTATAAAATTGTATGTACCTATCATGTGCAACATAATTCTATATACCCTGTAGAATGGTTAAATATAGTTAATCAACAAATGCATTACCTCACACAGTTGTTATTTTTGTAGTTTCTCTTCAGAATAAATACATCTTTGTCTATTAAAAATGTTGATACTTATTTTATAGCCTAGACAAGCCTATCCTGGAGAATATTCCATATTCCCTTGACAAGAATATGTATTTTGGTGCTATTAGATTGAGTATTCTATAAATTACAGGGCTAATAGGTGAATGGTGTTCACATCTCTTACACTCTTGCTGATTTTCTAATTCTTCTATTAGTAAAAGTGGTTTATTGACGTCTATAACTATTCTTATTGAATTGTCTATTTCCCTTTTGTTCTGTTTTTGCTTCATGCATATTGACGTATATTGAAGGTCTCTTGTTAGATGCATATATGTTTGTGTCTGTATCTCTTTCTAATGAGTTCCTAGTTTGTCTCTAGTAACTTTTTGTCTTAAAGACTATTTTGTCTAATATTAATGTTGCCACTTCATTTCTTGTATTTTTACTCATTTACTCTCATTTAATGTTTGCATGGTGTGTTTTACATTCAAAGCTTTTCTGTTGTTTTACATTCCACATACTTGTGTATTTGGAGTTTAATTTATATCTTCATGTGGATTTGAGGAACCATTTGATGTTGCTTTCTTTCTGCCTGAAGAACATCCTTTAGTATATACTTAAGGCAGGTTTAATCATAACGCATTGTCTCGTTTGTCTTGCAATTTATTTCAACTTGTTTTTGAAAGACATGTTGACAATTTTCTCTTTTACACTTTTAATATTCCATCCCATTGCCTTTTTCTTTTGGATTTCATTATTTTCAATGAAAAGCCATCTGTTAATTTCATTATGGCTCTCTTGTGTGCAATTAATTATTTTTCTCTTGTCAACTGCAAGGATATTTTGTTTTGTGTTGTTTACTTTTTCTTTCACTTTCACCACTGCACTTATGATGTGCCTAGGTGCAGATCTTTGCATTTATCATAATTTCAGTTTGTTGAGCTTTTGATATTTGTGGATTAATGTGCTTCATCAAATTTAGGGAGTTTTCAGTCATTATTTTCTAAAAATATTTTTGTTCCCTTCTTTTTCCTCTTCTTCTGGGACTCCCATCATGCATATGCTTGTATATTTAATAGAGTCTCACAAATCTCTTAGGCTTTGTTCATTTGTCTTTAATTTTTCCTTGTTAAATTTTTTTCCTGTTTTCAGATTGAAAAATCTCTATTGTTCTACCTTTAAATTCCTTGATGCTTTCTTCTGCTAACTTAAAAATATTTAGAGGTTTTATTGTTGTTGTTGTTGTTGTTGTTATACTTTTCAGTTGCAGAATTTCCAAGTAATTCTTTTTGTAATTTCTATATCTTTGATAGTCTGTATTTGATGAATCATTGCATTATTGGTTTACTATTAATTTTTAAAAAGCTTTTCTTTTTTTCAATTATTATACTTTAAGTTTTAGGGTACATGTGCACAATGTGCAGGTTAGTTACATATGTATACATGTGACATGCTGGTGCGCTGCACCCACTAACTCGTCATCTAGCATTAGGTATATCTCCCAATGCTATCCCGCCCCCCTCCCCCGACCCCACAACAGTCCCCAGAGTGTGATGTTCCCCTTCCTGTGCCCATGTGTTCTCATTGTTCAATTCCCACCTATGAGTGAGAATATGCGGTGTTTGGTTTTTTGTTCTTGCGATAGTTTACTGAGAATGATGATTTCCAATTTCATCCATGTCCCTACAAAGGACATGAACTCATCATTTTTTTATGGCTGCATAGTATTCCATGGTGTATATGTGCCACATTTTCTTAATCCAGTCTATCGTTGTTGGACATTTGTGTTGGTTCCAAGTCTTTGCTATTGTGAATAGTGCCGCAATAAACATACGCGTGCATGTGTTTTTATAGCAGCATGATTTATAGTCCTTTGGGTATATACCCAGTAATGGGATGGCTGGGTCAAATGGTATTTCTAGTTCTAGATCCCTGAGGAATCGCCACACTGCCTTCCACAATGATTGAAATAGTTTACAGTTCCACCAACAGTGTAAAAGTGTTCCTATTTCTCCACATCCTCTCCAGCACCTGTTGTTTCCTGACTTTTTAATGATCGCCATTCTAACTGGTGTGAGATGATATCTCATTGTGGTTTTGATTTGCATTTCTCTGATGGCCAGTGATGGTGAGCATTTTTTCATGTGTTTTTTGGCTGCATAAATGTCTTCTTTTGAGAAGTGTCTGTTCATGTCCTTCGCCCACTTTTTGATGGGGTTGTTTGTTTTTTTCTTGTAAATTTGTTTGAGTTCATTGTAGATTCTGGATATTAGCCCTTTGTCAGATGAGTAGGTTGCGAAAATTTTCTCCCATTTTGTGGGTTGCCTGTTCACTCTGATGGTAGTTTCTTTTGCTGTGCAGAAGCTCTTTAGTTTAATTAGATCCCATTTGTCAATTTTGGCTTTTGTTGCCATTGCTTTTGGTGTTTTAGACATGAAGTCCTTGCCCATGCCAGTGTCCTGAATGGCAATGCGTAGGTTTTCTTCTAGGGTTTTTATGGTTTTAGATCTAACGTTTAAGTCTTTAATCCATCTTGAATTGATTGTTGTATAGGGTGTAAGGAAGGGATCCAGTTTCAGCTTTCTACATATGGCTAGCCAGTTTTCCCAGCACCATTGATTAAATAGGGAATCCTTTCCCCATTTCTTGTTTTTCTCAAGTTTGTCAAAGATCAGATATTTGTAGATATGCGGCATTATTTCTGAGGGCTCTGTTCTGTTCCATTGATCTATATCTCTGTTTTGGTACCAGTACCGTGCTGTTTTGGTTACTGTAGCCTTGTAGTATAGTTTGAAGTCAGGTAGCGTGATGCCTCCAGCTTTGTTCTTTTGGCTTAGGACTGACTTGGCGATGCGGGCTCTTTTTTGGTTCCATATGAACTTTAAAGTAGTTTTTTCTAATTCTGTGAAGAAAGTCATTGGTAGCTTGATGGGGATGGCATTGAATCTATAAATTACCTTGGGCAGTATGGCCATTTTCACGATATTGATTCTTCCTATACATGAGCATGGAATGTTCTTCCATTTGTTTGTATCCTCTTTTATTTCATTGAGGAGTGGTTTGTAGTTCTCCTTGAAGAGGTCCTTCACGTCCCTTATAAGGTGGATTCCTAGGTATTTTATTCTCTTTGAAGCAATTGTGAATGGGAGTTCACTCATGATTTGGCTCTCTGTTTGTCTGTTATTGGTGTATAAGAATGCTTGTGATTTTTGTACATTGATTTTGTATCCTGAGACTTTGCTGAAGTTGCCTATCAGCTTAAGGAGATTTTGGGCTGAGACAATGGGGTTTTCTAGATATACAATCATGTCATCTGCAAACAGGGACAATTTGACTTCCTCTTTTCCTAACTGAATACCCTTTATTTCCTTCTCCTGCCTAATTGCCCTGGCCAGAACTTCCAACACTATGTTGAATAGGAGTGTTGAGAGAGGGCATCCCTGTCTTGTGCCAGTTTTCAAAGGGAATGCTTCCAGTTTTTGCCCATTCAGCATGATATTGGCTGTGGATTTGTCATAGATAGCTCTTATTATTTTGAGATACGTCCCATCAATACGTAATTTATTGAGAGTTTTTAGCATGAGGGGTTATTGAATTTTGTCAAAGGCCTTTTCTGCATCTATTGAGATAATCATGTGGTTTTTGTCTTTGGTTCTGTTTATATGCTGGATTACATTTATTGATTTGCATATATTGAACCAGCCTTGCATCCCAGGGATGAAGCCCACTTGATCATGGTGGATAAGCTTTTTGATGTGCTGCTGGATTCGGTTTGCCAGTATTTTATTGAGGATTTTTGCATCAGTGTTCATCAAGGACATTGGTCTAAAATTCTCTTTTTTGGTTGTGTCTCTGCCCAGCTTTGGTATCAGGATGATGCTGGCCTCATAAAATGAGTTAGGGAGGATTCCCTCTTTTTCTATTGATTGGAATAGTTTCAGAAGGAATGGTACCAGTTCCTCCTTGTACCTCTGGTAGAATTTGGCTGTGAATCCATCTGGTCCTAAAAAGCTTTTCTTTAGTTCTCTAAACGTATTAATGGTGGCTGCATTGAAATCTCTCTCTGCTAAGTCCAACTTCTAGGACCTCTCAAAAATAATTTCTAATGACTGCATTTATCTCTGCATATGGGTTATGTTTTCCTCTTTCATGTGTTATAATTTTCTATCAAAAATCAGACATTTTATATAATTGAATGTAACAACTATGAATTCTATTTTTTCCACTCCACCTTGGGGTTTACTGTTATCATTTCTTGTTTGTTGTTTATTTATTTAGTGACTTGTGTGTACTAATTTTATGGAGTGTTTGTTTGACAGTTTGTGGTCTATGGTACCATTGCTCAGTTTTTTTCTTGTGTTTATTTTTAAGACTGGTTTCTAAAGGTTTATCTCTGAGTCAGCTTAGTTAGTGGTTGTTCAATCAGCCAATAACTGGTCAGCGGTTGTGATTAAATAACTTGAACTAGTAAGACTCTACTATTTGCCATTGGATCTGTGTCATGGGAATGCTTATAAAATTCAGAAGGTTTACAAGTCTGCCTCACATTCATCCAGGGTCTAGTATCTCTTAAGACTTTTTCCTGTCTTTTCTAAGTGGCACAGCCCTGTGCATGCATCAGCCTTGCAGATCAGCAGGGATTCAAACAGAGCCTTACTTGACTGTCTCTTCCCCTGAATCATCCTGTTAAATTTATAACTAGACTGCAGATTTGTTGCTTTCTCCAACTAACACTGCTATGTTTTAACCACTGATTGTTTTAACAACTGAGATGAGATCTCTATTATTTTCAACAAATACCCTAGGTAAGAGTTTATCCATTCTTTTCACTAAACAAAGTCAGCCCCCTCCAATACGGCAGCAGAGCTAGTAGTTCTCATAGATGTCCCCACCCACACAGGGCAGAACTTTCACACTGTGGACCTGGGGAAGGGAGAGGTAGACATGGAATCTTCTTGCTCTTACAGAGATTAACTACCCTTAATGAATACTTGTTAACTTATATGGCCTTTGTTTAATTTTCAGAGACTTTCAATAGTTAATTTTGATTATTTTTTCTTTTTCGGTTTTGGGGGAGAAGATATTTGGAGTTCCTCACACCATCTTTCTGAGAGTATACTCTATTGTGAAGTGTTTAAAGTTCTTTATATATTCTGCATATGAGTACTTTGTCAGGTATGTGATTTGCAAATATCTCCCAGACTGTGGCTTATTTTTCTACTCTTTTCACAAGGCATTGTGCAGAGCAAAGTTTTTAAATTTTGATAAAGATTAATTTATCAACATTTTTGCTCATATGAACTTTTTATTGTCATGTCCCAGAAATATTTGCCTATGTCCAGGTTACAAAGATTTCCTCCTAGGTTTTCTTCTAAATATTTTGTTGTTTTAATGTTTTACTTTTAGATGTATGATACATTTTGAGTTAATTTTTTTAAGTCTTAGCTTGAACTCAATGTAAAATATTTTTGGCATACAAATATCCAATTGTTTTAAAATATTTGTTGAAAATACTATCAACTATTCACTTAACTGCCTTTATACCATTGACAAAAATCAGTGGGCCACGTTTATGTACATCTGTTTCTAGACTCCAAATCCTGTTTCATTGATCTATGTCTTTACCAAATCCATACTGTATTGATTACTGCTGCACAGAAGTTCTTAAATGTGATAGAGTGATTCCCCCAACTTCAGTCTTCTTTTGTAAAGTTATTTTTCCTATTCCGCTTTTAAACTAGTTAATATACATTTTATTTATTTATTTATTTATTTATTTATTTATTTATTTATTTAATTTTGAGATGGAGCCTTGCTCTGTCACCAGGCTGGAGTACAGTGGTGCAATCTCGGTTCACTGCAACCTCCACCTCCCAGGTTCAAGCAATTCTCCTAGGACTGCAGGTGTTCACCAACACACTAGGCTAATTTTTTATATTTTTCATAGAGACAGGTTTTTTGCTATGTTGGCCAGGCTGGTCTTGAGCTCCTGGCCTCAAGTGACCCTCCCACCTCAGCCCCCCAAAGTGCTGGGATTACAGATGCATGAGCCACCACATCCAGCCTTAATAGATATTTTAGAACGAGCTTTTATGTATCTATAAAGAAATCTTACTGGAGTTTTTAATGTAATTGCATTAAATATGTAGATCAGTTAGGATATTATCAACATCTTTACTATGCTGAATCCTTCAAACTGTGAACATAGGATGCCTTTTTATCACCTATTTCGGTCTTTATTTTTTTATCAGTATTTTGCAGTTTTCATCATGTAGATTCTGCATGTTTTGATAGCTACATGCCTATTTTATTTTTGACCTAGTATTAGTGGTAGCTTTTTAAAATTTAGTTTCAAATTGTTCATTGCTGATAAATAAAAATACCATTGATTTTGTCACTTGAACCTGTATTCTGCATCCTTGTCAAACTCATTTATTAGGTCTATGTGGGGATTTTTGGAGATTTATTGGGATCATCTACATAGACAATCTTCTATTGTATGAATAGAGACATTATTAAATTTCTTTTGAATCTGTATGCCTATCCATTCTTTTTTATGACTTACTGCACTTTTAGCACAATGTTAAATAGAAGTGGTAAGAGTGGACATCCTTGATTGTTTTGATCACAGCAAAAATATACAGTTTTTTTGTCTTTCAACAGAATGTTAGTTTTAGGTTATTTGTAGATTTCTCTGTATCAGATTTAGGACATTGTCTTCTATTTGAATGTGCTGAGAGTTTATATTAAATTGACGTTGAACTTCATCAAATTTTTTTTCTGTTATCAATTAATATATTTAAATTGGTTTTTGGGTTAAATTGATTGAAATTTTAATATTAAAACCGGTCTCAAATTATGTAAACAAATACCATTTTTGGATGATGTATTTCTGTCTGGCTCTCCTCTCTCTCTCTCCTCATTTCTCTCTCTCTCTCTCTCCTTCTCTCTCTTCTCCCATCTCTCCTCCCCCACTTCCTGTCATGAATTATAAAGTGTTCTCTACTTTTCAATTATGTAGGATTTTGTAGCACTGGTGTTATTTTTCTTTAAATATCTGACATAATTCACCTGTGAAACCATGAGGTACTAGAGATTCATATTTTGGAAATTTAGTAAATATAGAACTCATTTTGGGTAGAGTTTTGTAGTTTGCACATATTAAGAAACTGGTCTATTTTATCTATTTATATATGTGTGTAGTATTATACTCTTTTTGAATGCCTGTTTCTCTGTAGTAGTATCACTTATTTTTTAAGATTTTGCTTATTTTTGTCTTCTCTCTCTCTTTTTTTTTTTTTTTTTTTTTTTTTGGTCAGTCTTTCTAGTGCGTTATCAATTTTAGCAAGCTTTCCAAAAGGTTATTTTTTGGATTCACTGATTTTCTTTCTATTGTCACTTCACTTTGACTTGTATTGATTTCCTCTCTTATTTAATTTCCTTTCTTTTTCTTGCTTTGGGTGCATTTTGTCCTTATTTTTTCTAGTTTTCACAGATGGAAACTTAGATTACTTATTTGAGAACTTTTAAATATTTTATGTAAGCATTTAATTCTGTAAATTTACATACAAGTACTGTTTTAGTTGAATCCCACAGGTTTTTTAATTTTGTATTTACATTTTCATTCTGTTCAAAATATTTTCTAGATTTCTGTAGACTTTTTCTTTGATCCATTGTGTGGTAGACAAATTTTATGATGATTCTTAGGATTTCTGCCTCCTCATCTTCATTACCTTTATATTAGCCTCCCATTGAGTAAAGACTGGACCTATGATTTGCATCTAACCAATAAAACGTGGCATATGTGATGAGATGTCACTTCGGTGATTGAATTATGTTATCTAAAGTTCCATCTCACTATCGGTTAGCTCTAGATTTTCTCTTTCTTCGTTGCTGGCTTTAAAAAATCAAGTTAACATGAATTCTACAGCCACACACACAACAATCTCCCATAACCTTAGAGAGATGGAAATGGATCCTTCTCCAGTCCAGCCTCCAGATGAGAAAACAGCCCAGCCAACATCTTGACAGCACCTTATGAGATCCTAAGAGAGGACCCAGCTAAGTTGTCCTCATTACTGACTCAGAAACTGTCAGATATTAACTGTTTTTGCAGGATGTGACGGCTCACACCTGTAGCTCCAGTGATACGGTTTGGCTCTGTGTCCCCACCCAAATCTCACCTCAAATTGTAATCCCCATAATCCCTATGTGTCGAGGGAGGGACCAGGTAGGAGGTGATTGAATCATGGGGGTGGTTTCTCCCATGCTGTTCTCGTGATAGTGAGTGAGTTCTCACAAGATCTGATGGTTTTATAAGGCAGTTTTCCCCACTCTTGCTCAGTCTCTCTTGCCTGCTGCCATGTAAGATGTGCCTGCTTCTCTTCTACCATAATTGTAAGTTTCCTGAGTCCTCCCCAACCATGTGGAACTGTGAGTCAATTAAACCTACTTTGTTTTTAAATTATCCACTCTTGGGTAGTATCTTTATAGCAGTGTGAGAACAGACTAATACACCCAGCTACATGGGAGGCTGAGGTGGAAGGATCACTTGAGCCTAGGAGTTTGAGGTGGCCATAAGCCATGACTGCACAATGCACTACAGCCTGGCCAAGAGAGAAAGATTCCATCTCTAAAAATAATAATGACAAGAATTTAAAAGGTGTTGTTTTACAGACCAGAATAAGAGTGGGTGAATAATAATAATTAATTTTTAAAGTATTAAGCTACTAAGTTGATGACAAGTTATTACACACCAAATAAAACTAATAAACATGAATACATGAATTATTTAAGAGTGTTTTGTGTAATTTCCAAGTTTGGAAATTTTTCTCTTTCCTGTTATTGATTTCCAGTTTAATTCCATTATTATCTAAGAATATATATTTGTTTTAATTTTTTGCACTTTTAAAATTTTGTTTTCTATTCTAGAATATGGGTCATCTTGGTAAATGCCTATTTGTACTTGAAAAGTATATATTCTGCTCTTGTTTGACTCAGTGCTCCATAAATGTCAGTTAGATGCAGTTCATTGGTGGAGTTATTTAGTTTTTCTATGTTCTCACTGATTTTCTATCTACTAATTTTATAAGTTCTAAAAAGATTATGAAATGCAAAATTATAATTGTGAATTTGTGGATCTGACCATTTATTTCAGTCAATTTTTGATTCACGTATTTTGAAGCACCGTTATTATGTGCATTTAGGATTATTTCGTCTTCTTGGTAAATTGATCCTTTAAGCATTAAACAAGATAAAGAATCTCTGGTAATTTTCTTTGCCTTGATGTACATGGTAGATCTTTTTCTACCATTTTACTTTTAATATACCTATGCCGTTATATAAGGTCCATTAAGCTACAAATTTTATGATCTATGATTTCAAATGAATTATAAATGAGAGATGTTATGACAAAACAAGAAGGATATATCTAATAAATTTCTGATGTTATATTTAGGCCGTGAGAGAGAGACACTATATTTTGAGATACAGTTTTTAGCATCAAAAAGTGAGTGGAATTGAGAGATCCTTCATAACACGTAGGAATGTGACTTTGTATTTGTTGGGGTGTGTGGAATACTGTATGTGATTTGACTGCCTCTGAATAACTAAAGTGACATTTTATCTTGAATTTGGTAAATATTTTTTTAAATATCCTATTTTACCAGTTTAAAGAAAACAAGCAAATCTGTTGAGTGTAATATTTTAAAAGGAAGAATATTATGCTCTATTTTCAATAAAATAGTTTATCTTAGCAAGAGAAAGCAAACCTATTAAAATAGAAAAAAAATATAAGGAAGAAAGAGAAAGCTTAGAGAAAAAATAACTTAACAGAAATAAAACTACTCCTATAATTAGAGTTTTCTTTTGAAAAAATGTGAATGCTGTTATCAAAGAGGTAGATGTAGAAACATAGCTATCAAAATAATGTTCAATTTCCTAATAGCCCTATTACCCTATTAAGTGAGAACATAGATGAAATGGCTTATTATAGAGAGTTTAAAAGATCCTCATGGTGAGAAAACAAAACCAGAAAATCTATAGTTGTCAACAGTAATTTCAGGTGATAGATGACTTAGGTAAATGATGATGAGACCTGAAAAAGTAGCCTTCTGTACAGATTTCTATTCTTAGCTATCTGTTAGGGTACAAATGAGAAAATATTCTGTATATAGTTCTTATTGCATTTTCACTTGACAATAATGAGAAATATATATATTAAGTGATATATATATGTGTATATATATGTATATATATGTGTATATATATATGTGTGTGTGTGTGTGTGTATGTATGTATATATATATATATATATCACTTAATCTGGAAACTTTCTAATGGATTGTTACCAGAGCAAATTTCCATACTGGTTTCTATTATAATACATGTTGTTTGATTTTTACTAGGTCTGCTCAGATTTTTTTTCTCCAAACAAGCTTAAACATTCCTCCTTATCTCAATAGAATAAAAATTTCTACAGACTAAGCACCATTTTCTTTCTGTTCTGTAGGTGTGACTGCTGCTTCAATTGGTTAGTTCTACTTGCTAACAATAAAAAGTACCCAAGCTCATATGGGCTTTTTTTATTGTTTATGTAAACGTCACCCATATGATGAAACATCCCATATGTTTCATCAAATGGGTGATGAAACCCTCAAAAGCACTCTACTTTTATCTGTTCTCAAGTACTGCACATAGCTTGAGCACAGTCTGACAGTATAATTTGAGGCATAACAAGTGCTTTCAATTAGAGGATTTAAGAGTACTATAAAGAAACATAATTACTTAGCAATATAATAATACAGCTTCTCATTGAATGGGATTTAAGGGTTTATCACACCAAACTACTCCATATTTAAAAATATATATATAATAGAGCTTGTATTGTTAGTCTGCCCCAGCTTCTGCATTCTATGTAGTTCCAGTGTACCTTTTGTTAGAGATAATTGATATCCAATCTTTTATTTATCTGCCAATGGAGAGCTTTCATTACAAACCATCATTCTACTTACCTTTCCCTGCAGTTATCTACAGTCACCATTATATTATGGAATGTTATTACATAAATTTAAATTTGTATCCTCAAACTAAAACTTTAAAGGGAGTTATTTTAAAGGGGGTGTCTCATAAAACAAGTAGAGCTCAATTAAAAGGATTCATACCATCTCCTCTCCCCCAGCTTCCTCAAAGTCAGCAATTACTCCACAAAGGGTTGTTATTGAGATGTCTTTTCAATGCATATAAAACCTGAGAATGAAAGGACATCTGATGTGGGAGCTCTTTGCACCCGTTTCAGGAAAACCAAAAGTACTACTACTACTTCAAATATTTATTTGGAGTTATGGTTTATAGGAATCAGATATGATGATCCCCTCAGAATACTTTCACCACCTAACAATTCCAGTCCTGAGGTTTGAAATATGCTGCTATTAAGGTAACCATAACAGCCATTATTTATACGCCACACTGTCATCTCAAAGAAATACACACAGTTCTACTCAGAAAGTATGACTTCCATTTTACTGTTTTCGAAGAGAAGAATATAAATTCAGGATTATGATTGGCTTTTACCTATAAGAAAGCAATGCAAATGGGCATAGTTAGGGCCTCCAGAACTAAAAACTTTAATTTCCTGTATTTACACAGTAATGCAACATAGAGGATGTCAGTTAGCACTTTATGAAATTTATAGAGTAATCATAATAATGTTCTTAAATTAATGGAACTGAAATCCACCATACAGAAAATTAATAATTTGGTGTGAACTTTCTGGCATCCCTGATTTTCTTCAGTGGTGAGACATGAAAATGACAGAACTGGAAAATACTTGCTTTTTGAAGTCAGATTATATTACTAATAAGTCATTTGCCTCCCATGAGCTCAGAAAGACTGAGAAGACTTATGGCCCTCAAAGAGAAAAGATTATTAAAATAAAATAATCTTATAGATGTGGTGTGAGGACAGAGAAGCAGCTGTTAAAAAAAAAAAAAGCAACTACCTTTTATTTTCTAAGTGTATCTCATGCATGAACTGACCACTCTAAAACAGCAGACTCACATCATTTTCTATCCACTTAATCTGTTTTATCTTTCTGCGTAGTACCCACTGCTATCTATTTTGTGTACCTTTATAGTCACACATTCTAGAATAATGCTTTCATTTATTTGGCACTCAATGCATATTTGTTGTATGGATAAATGAATGAATAAATGAATGGAGGTGATTTTTAAAGTTTTAAAAAGTAACTTAATAGTTTGTGCTTAAATCAATTTTAATAAGATGAAAATACAATTAAAAAGAAAAGCCAACTATGGAAAAGTTTCTGATTCTCATCTTTGTTATCTGAATTTTGAAGTTATCTAATACTTGCTTTATTCCACTTGCACAACTAAATAGATATTTCCATCTTCACAACTTACATACCCTTAAGATTTGGAAATCCTCATGCTTGTTGGCCACCATCATCTTTGCAAATTTAAAGAGAATACACTGGCACTGCCACAAGCTACTATTTAACTGATAAAAAAAATTGATACAGTGTAGATCAACATCAGACATAACTGAAAGGAATGAATTCCTAGTACATCCAATGAATTTACAAAGTCTCCAAGAGTCACACTGAATATTTCCATTTAATCCTTGAATCACTGAGCACTAGTTGCCATTATTCAAGTTGCACAGAAGATCTCATTACTCTCCATTCAACAAAACTGTTTTAAACGGAGAGATTTAGAAGAAAGATAACCTATGCTACATTACCTTGATGAAACAGGTTTCTGTTGAAAAGCTAGGGACAATATCCAAAGTTTTATTTAATCCTCATATCAGAATTTGGCATATGCTTTTTTTTTTCTTTCTATGCCACTCACAACTACCTAAGAACCACCTTTTTTCTTTTTTCTTATTTCCAGCTTTTATTTTATGATCAAGGGTACATGTGCAGGATGTACAGGTTTGTTACATAGGTAAACTTGTACCATGGTGGTTTGCCAAACAGATCGTTTCATCACCTAGGTATTAAGCCCAGCATCCATTAGTTATCCTTCATGATGCTCTTCTTCCTCCCACCCTCCACACTCCAAAAGGCCCCAGTGTGTGTTGTTCTCCCTTATGTGTCCAAGTGTTCTCATCATTTAGCTCCCACTTCTAAATAAGAGCATGCAGTATTTGGTTTTCTGTTCCTGCATTAGTTTGCTAAGGATAATAGCCTCCAACTCAATTTATGTCCCTGCAAAGGACATAATCTCATTCCTTTTTAGGGCTGCATAGTATTCCGTGGTATATGTACCACATTTTCTTTATCTAGTCTATTGCTGATGGGCATTAGGTTGATTATATGTCTTTGTTTTTGTGAATAGTGCTGCAATAAACATACACATGCATGTGTCCTTATAATAGAATGATTTATATTCCTTTGGGTATATATCAGTAATGGGATTGCTGGGTCGAATAGTATTTCCACTTCTACATCTTTGAGGAATCACCACACCGTCTTCCACAATGATTGAAATAATTTATACTCCTACCAACAGTGTAAAAGTGTTCCTTTTTCTCCACAACCTCACCAGCATCTGTTGCTTTTTGACTTTTTAATAATAGACATTCTGACTGGTGTGAGACGGTATCTCATTGTGGTTTTGATATGCATTTCTCTAATGATCAGTGATGTTGAGTTTTTCTCATATGTTTGTTGGCCACATGTATGTCTTCTTTTGAGAAATGTCTGTTCTCGTCCTTTGTCCACTTTTTAATGGGGTTGCTTATTTTTTTCTTGTAAATTTGTTAAGTTCTTTATAGATGCTGGATACTAGACATTTGTCAGATGCATAGATTGCAAAAATATTCTCCCATTCTGTAGGTTGGCTGTTTACTCTTGATAGTTTCTTTTGCTGTGAAGAATCTCTTTAGTTTAATATGATCCCTTTTGTCTATTTTTGCTTTCGCTGCAATTGCTTTTGGAAACTTTGTCATAAAATCTTTGCCCGTGCCTATGTCTTGAATGGTATTGCCTAGATTGTCTTCCAGGGTTTTTATGGGGTTTTGCATTTAAGTCTTTAATCCATCTTGATTAATTTTTGTATATGGTGTAAGGAAGGGGTCCAGTTTCAATTTTCTGCATATGGCTAACCAGTTATCCCAGCACCATTTATGAAATAGAGAATCCTTTCCCCACTGCTTGTTTTTATCAGGTTTGTCTAAGATCAGATAGTCTTAGATGTGTAGTCTTATTTCTGGATTCTTTATTCTGAAGAACCACTTTTAACACACTATATTTGTTTGTCTTTGTCTGCATCTTGTCTCTATAGCTGTTTTTCTTCCTGTGTTAATTTCACTATTATATTTAATATAGGTTAGGATAACTTAGGTTGACTGTCTACTGCATCTGACATTATCTAGCTCTTTGAATATATTGTGTTATGTAGTGTAATTTTAACGTTATGATAGTGTTATGTTTGTTATTTCTATTTAGCAAAGTTAAGAAAACTACTTATTTTAAAATCTATATACATGCTGAAGTCCTCATTTGTGAACAATTATTCATCTATCTGTACAAATGTTAAACAATTATTTGCATTCACTGCTTAACAATTATATTGACTCCTGTGAGCCAGAAGCTGCAAGGTGAGTGCTACAGAACACAGAGAAGAATAAATCAGTATCTTTTTCCTCTCGTAGCTCATTTAGAACAATGAGGTGAAATCAAAGTCTAAGCACAATATCTTTGAAGCACTGAGTGTGCAAAAAACTAGCTATGGAAGAATAGAAAGGAAATAATTCAGAGTGATTATTCTGTATCTGAGTGGAAATTAAAGCATGGGTAGAAATTTGCCAATTATATAAATAAAAGGTATGAGCAAGAGGGATAATTTCGATTTTTCGGTTCAGATCTACTCCTTATCATTTCTTTCTTTTCTCTGCCCCCTCCCCTCCACTCAGGCTAAATACCTGTGTGGATTGCACCAATAGGGTCCCTTGCTCTTTGGCCTTTTCTTGGTGTTGCCTAATGGGAGACACATGGAGGAAATGGGAGGAAATGATGAGAGTGGCTTTCGGACGTGTCTACCACTCCTTCCTTTCAGGAGTGCTGCAAATTGGCTAAGCCTCCAACCTGTAAGCATATCTCTTATTGGATGTTCATCTCCTAGAGCTTCATATCTTCATTTCAGATTCTAGGATCCTTTCACCCTTCACACCTGAAGAAGTGGGGTACCCACTCCCTGGCATTGCTAGTCCTGGATAACATTCATTCTACATCAATTTCCTTGAAGTCTACCGATAACTTTGTAAATGTCCTCTTCATTAAACTCTCTTCAGTTTGCACATTCTTGCATGTCATCTATTTTCCTTGGAGCTCTGACTGAGACTCCTTATTTCCTAATATATTTCCCACAATATAGTAGGTTTGTGGGGAAAGATAAGATGTCTAGTGTCACTGTTGTAAAACATGAGCAAAATTGCAGTTAATCTTCTAGAAAGTGAAGACGTAGGAAAATATTTTTAAAGACAACTTTGGAGATATTGTGAAGAAAGCAAGGAAAGAGCCACAGCAGGGAAACTCATTATGAGGACATTTCAAGATCCAAGCATTGATAGAAAAGAGGGAAAGAACAGATTTGGTGATGTCAGAAATTGGATGCATAAGACTTCAACAGTGCAAAGGAAGTGAGAAAAAGGGAGGATTTTAGAATAACTCTTATGTCCATATGAATAATATTTAGAATGAGGATACTCAAAAAAGTGTTCATTTTTCATGAATGAAAAACACCTATATTTTTATATAAGTATAGTAAGATTTCTTCTGAAGCCATTCATTCTTTAGGAGGATAAATATAAAATAATTTACATCTATTTTCACAGAATTTTAATGTCCATAATTGGTTAAGAAAAATGCCTGCCAAAAACTAATGCCTTGCAGTACCAATTAAAACATGTAGGCCGGGCGCGGTGGCTCACGCCTGTAATCCCAGCACTTTGGAAGGCCGAGGCAGGCAGATCATGAGGTCAAGAGATCAAGACCATTCTGGCCAACATGGTGAAACCCCATCTCTACTAAAAGTACAAAAATTAGCCAGGCGTGGAGGTGTGCGCCTGCAGTCTCAGCTACTTGGGAGGCTGAGGCAGGAGAATGGCATGAACTCGGGAGGCAGAGGTTGCAGTGAGCTGAGATTGTGCCACTGCACTCCAGCCTGGTGACAGAGCGAGACTCCATCTCAAAACAAAACAAGAGAAAAATGTAGCTTTGTTTACTTGTCCTCATCAGTTGAATTATGAACATAAGGTCCTGGAACTATGATTAATCAGCTTTAAGACAAGCTCCTTCTGATGAAAACTAGAATCTCAGAGTTGTGAGGGAGCCTACTTCCATCTATTTCCACAGTTTATCTGGTAGCTTATAGTTATTTAATTCATGTAATAAATGGTTACTCACTCTTCCTGAGGACCTCCAACAACAGAGAAAAAAAAAAAACAGAAAAACATAATAGCACTGGAGACAATTCATTGTGCTCTGGATAGCTAGCTGTGAGTCATTTTTCTCATAGAAACTGTGTAATCTGAGTTTTTACTCATAAAGTGTTCTAACACTGTTTTTGAAATCTGTTCCTCACTACAGCCTTTCATATATTTAACTAAAGCTTCCAAGTGTTCTGCCTCTTTTCAAGGCTAAAATGTTTCACTTCCTTTACCTATTAACTACTCTGCAATAAGTCTATTGCTCCTACCTGGGAGTTTCTTTCACTTTTATTCTTTCTAACTCCTCCACGTTTAAGCCACCGTTTGCCACTCCCTTTTCATCTAAAACCTCATTCTCTTATAAAAAATGAAATAAAATGAAATTGAATGGAGTTGTACACATTTGGAAAAGTATATCTAGCTTACAGTCTAAATAGAGTATCATGTATAGCTAATTATGTATAGTGTTCTGTGTTATCTCTATAAAGCATTGACTACTAGAAATATTATTTATAGGTGAATTTCAACCTAACACATACAGGCATACATCATTTTATCTCACTATGCTTTATTACACCTTGCAGATATTGTGCTTTTTACAAATTAAAGGTTTGTGACAATCCTGCATCGAGCAAAACTATTGGTGCCATTTTGCTGGTAGCATGTGTCACTTCATTTTTTCGTGTCACATTTTGGCAATAGTCACCATATTTTTAACTTTTTATTATTATTATATCTGTTCTGGTGACCTATGATCAGAGATCATTGATGTTACTCTGGTAATTGTTTTGGAGCTTCACGAACCATGCCCATGTAAGAAAGTGAAGTTCATCAGCAAATGTATATGTTCTGACTGCTCCATGTGCTCCTGACTCTCTTCCTCTCCTTGAGACTCCCTATTTCCTAACATATAACAATGTTGAAATTAAGCCAATTAATAACCATACAATGTCCTCTAAGTGTTGAAATGAAAGAGTCACAATGTCACTCGCTATTTGAGTGAGTTAAGCTAGAAATGATTAAGCTTAGTGAGGAAGACATATCAAAACCCAACACAGGCTGAAAGCTAGGCCTCTTGCACCAAACAGCCAAGTTCTGAATGGAAAGTAAGAGTTATTAATGGAAATTAAAAGTGCTACTCCAGTGAACACCAAATGGTAAGCAAACAAAGCAGCCTTATTGCTGATATAGAGTTTAAGTGGTCTGGATACAAGATCAAACAAGCCACAACATTTCCTTAAGCCAAAGCCTAATACGTGTCAAGGATCTAGCTCTTTTCAATGCTATAAAAGCTCAAAGAGTTGAAGAAGCTGCAGAAGAAAACTTGTGGCCAGCAGAGTTTGGTTCCTGAGGTATAAGGAAAGAAGCCATCTCCATAACATAAAAGTGCAAGGCAAAGCAGCAAGTGTTGAAAAGCTGCAGCAAGTTATCTAAAGGACCTAGTTAAGATCATTGATGAGGTGGCTATATTAAAGAACAGATTTTCAATGTAGACAAAACAGTCTTACATTGTAAAAAGATTCCATCTAGGACTTTCATAGCTAGAGAGGAGAAGTCAATGCCTGACTTCAAATCTTCAAATGACAGGCAGACTCTGTTACTAAGGGTTAGTGCAGCTGGTGACTTGAAGTTAAGCCAGTGCTCATTTGTTATTCCAAAAATCCTAGGGCCCTTAAAAATTATGCTGTCTATTCTGCCAGTGCCCTATAAAATGAACAACACAGCATGGATGATGACACATTTGTTCATGGCATGGTTTAATGAATATTTTAAATCCATTGTTAAGACTCACTGTTCAGAAAATAAGATTCCTTTCAAAATATCACTGCTCATTGGCAATGCACCTAGTAACCCAAGAGCTCTGATAGAGATATATGAGATTAATGTTGTTTTCATGTCTGCTGACACAAGACACAACATTCATTCTGCAGCCCAGGGATCAAAGAGTAAGTTAGACTTTCAAGTCTTATTATTTCAGAAATTTATTTTGTAAGGCAATAGCTGCCATAGTGATTCCTCTGATGGATCTGGGAAAAGTAAATTGAGAATCTTCTGGAAAAGATTCACCATTTTAGATAGCATTAAGAACATCATAGATGACTTTGAGGGGTTCAAAACTTCAGTGAAGGAAGTAACTGCAGTTGTAGTGGAAATAGCAAAAGAACAAGAATGTGGAGCCTGAAGATGTGACTGAATTGCTGCAATCTCATAATCAAACTTTAATGTTGAGGAGCTGCTTCTTATGCATGAACAAAGAAAGTGGTTTATTTAAATTGAATCTACTTCTGGGCAAGATACTGTGAACATTGTTGAAATAATAATAAACAATATAGAATATTATATAAACTTAGCTGATAAAGCAGCAGCAGGGTTTGAGAGTATTGACTTCAACTTTGAAAGACATTCTACTGTGGGTAAAATGCTATCAAATAGCATTGCATGCTACAGTGAAATCTTTTGTGAAAAGAAGAGTTAATTGATGTGGTAAACTTCATTATTGTCTTATTTTTAAAAACCTTTGTGGGATACAGCAAAAGCAGGACTAAGAGGGAAGTTTATAACAATAAAGATCTACATCAAAAGATCAATACAATAAAAAGTTGCTTTTTTGAAAAGACAACCAAACTTGACAAATCTTTAGCCAAAGAAGAAAGGAGAGAAAATATAAATAAATAAAATCAGAGTTGAAAAATTAGATATTACAATTGATAGCTCAAAAATTTAAAGGATCATTAGAGACTACTATTGTGCAACTATAAGCCAATAAATTTGAAAACCTAGAAGAAAAGGATAAATTCTTGAATACATACAACCTCCTAATATTGAACCATAAAGAAATAGAAAACCTAAATAGCCCAATATTATGTAATGTATAGAGCCAGTAATAAAAACTCTCCCATCAAAGAAGAGCCCAGGACTTGATGGTTTCAATGCTTAATTCTACCAAACATTTAAAGAAAAGCTAACACCAATCCTACTCATACTATTCTGAAAATATTAGGAAGAGGGAATACTTTCAAACTCATTCTCTAGGGCCAGCATTACCCTGATACCAAAACCAGGCAGAGACACTACCACAAGAAAAAAAATTAAAAACTGCAGACCAATATTGATTAATATAGATGAAAATAATCCTCAACAAATACTAGCATGCCAAATTCAACAACACATTAAAAAGATCACTCATCATGATCAGGTGAGATTCACATCAAATCCATAAACATGAAACATTACATCAACAGAATGAAAGACAAAAAATAGATGACTATTTCAGAAGATGCTAAAAAAGCATTTGGTAAAATTCAATGTCATGTCATGATTAAAAACTGTTATCAAACTGGATATAAAAGAAATATACCTCAATCCAATAAAGGCGATATGTAACAAACCTACAGTATCATACTGAATGGGAAAAACTGACAGCCTTTTCTGTAAGATCTGGAACAAGACAAGGATGCCCATTTTCACCATTTTTATTCAACATAGTACTGGAATTCATAGCCAGAGTAGTTAGACAAGAGAAAGAAATAAAGCATATCCAAATTAGAAAGAAGTCAAATTATTCTTGTTTGTAAACGATATGATCTTATATTTAGAAAACCTAAAGACTCCACTAAAAATGAAAAACTGTTAAAACTGATAAATGAGTTCAATAAAGTTGGACAATACAAAATCAACATACAAAAATCAATAGCATTCCTATATGCCAACAGTAAACATCTGAAAAGGAAATCAAGAGAGCAATCCCATTTATAATAGCAACAAATAAAATAAAATACCCAGGAATAAACTTAACCAAAGAAGCAAGAGATCTCTATATTGATGAAAGAAACTGAAGAGGACACCAAAAATGGGAAGATATTTCATGTTCATGGCCTGGAAGAATTAATATTGTTAAAATGTCTATTCTACCCCAAGCACTCTACAGATTCAATGCAATTCCCATCAAAATACCAATGATATTCTTCATAGAAAATTTGTTTAAGTCCTAAAAGTTGTATGGAATCACAGAAGATCCCAAATAGCCAAAGTAATTCTGAGCAAAAAGAACAAAACTTGAGGAATTACATTACCTGACTTCAAGTTATACTGCAAATTTATAGTTACCAAAACAGTATTGTGCTGTCATAAGAACAGACACATAGACGAATGGAACAGAATAGAGAACCATGAAATAAATCCACATGTTTGCAACCAGTTCATTTTCAACAAAGGTGCCAGGAACATACATTGGGGAAATGACAAGTTTGACAAGAAATGACCATATAACAAATGGTTCTAGGGAAACTGGATATCCATTATGGAGAAGAATGAAACTAGACCTCTATCTCTCACCATATAAAAAATCAAATAAAAATTAATTAAAGACTTATATGTAAGACCTAAATTATGAAACTACCATTAGAAAACATTGTGGAAAAACTTAAGGACTTTTGTCTTATCAAAGATTTCTGGAATAAGACCACAAAAGCACAGGCAATCAAAGAAAAAAAAATCCATAAATGGGATCACACCAATGAAAAAAATCTTCTGCACAGCAAAGGTAAAAATAGGAGGAAATATTTGTAGAATATTCAACTGAGAAGAAATTAGGAACCAGAATATATAAGAAACTCAAATACCTCAATAGAAAAACAAATAATACCATTTTTAAATGTGCAAAAGACCTGAACAGACATTTCTCAATGACAAACATACAAATCATCAACAAGTATATTAAAAAAATGCTCAGAATCACTAATCATCAAAGAAATGTAAATTAAAGCCACAATGAGATATCATGTTACCTCAGTTAAAATAGCTTTTATGAAAAATACAAAAAGTAATAGATGCTGATGAGGATGCAGAACAAAGGAAACACTCATGAACTGCTGGAATGTAAATTAGTACAGCTGCTAGAAAACAGTATGGAGGTTCCTCAAAAAACTAAAATAGAAATTCCAGCAAGCCCAGTGCTAGATATATATTTTAAAAAAGGAAACTAGTATATTGAAGGAATATCTGCAATCCCATGTTTATTGTAGCACTATTCACAATAGCCATGATATGGAATCAACTTAACTTTTCATCAATGAATGGAAAGAGAAAATGTGGTATATTAGATTGGTGCAAAAGTAATTGCTGTTTTTGCCATTATTTTTAATAATAGATACATAATAGAATACTATTCAGCCATGAAAAAATGAAATCCTGTCATTTGCAACGATATGAATAAAACTGAAGGATATTATGTTAAGTGAAATAAGCCAAGCACAGAAAGACAGATATTGTATATTTTCACTCATACTTGGAACTAAAAAAAATATATTGTGTATTCCAAAATAACTAGAGGAGTGGATTTGGAATGTTCCAAACACAAAGAAATGATAAATCCTTGAGCTGATGGATATCTTAATTATTTTGATCAGATCATTACACATCATACGATTTTATCAAAATATCACATATACTTCATAAATACATACGACTTTTTTTTTTTTTTTGAGACAGAGTCTCACTCTGTCACCTAGGTCAGAGTGCAGTGGTACAATCTCAGCTCTCTGTACCCTCCACTTCCCGAGTTCAAGCAATTCTCCTGCCTCAGCCTCCTGAGTAGCTGGGATTACAGGTGCATGTCACCATGACTGGCTAATTTTTTGTATTTTTAGTAGAGACGGGGTTTCACCATGTTGGCCAGGCTGGTCTTGAACTCCTGACCTCAGGTGATCTGCCTGCCTCGGCCTCCCAAAATGCTGGGATTACAGGTGTGGGCCACCACACCTGGCCGAAACAACTGTTATGTACTCAAAAAAAATTAAAGATTGAAATAAAATTTAAAAAGTAAGCATTCTTACATACCAACAAAAATTGCAACAGCCACCTCAACTTTCAGCAACCACCACCCTGATCAGTCAGCAGCTACCAATATTGAGGCAAGAATCTCCACCAGCAAATGATTATGACTTGCTGAAGGATCAGATGATCATTAGCATTTTATCAGTAAGTAATTTTTAATTAAGCTATGTACATTTTTTAGACATAATGCTATTGCACACTTGATAGACTACAGTACAGTGGAAACATAAGCTTTAAATGTGCTGGGAAACCTATAATTTCTGTGACTTGCTTTACTGCAATATTTACTTTATTGTGGTGGTCTGGAACCAGACCTACAACATATCCAAGGTTCTCCTGTATGTCAGTAAAGGAATTGTTTTCAAAAAAATAATCTTCTGGCCAGGTGTGGTGATTCACCAATTTGGGAGACTGAGGTGGGCTCATCACTTGAACTCAGGATTTCAAGACCAGCCTGGACAACATGGTGAGATCCCACTATCTCTACTAAAAATATAAAAAATAGCTGGGAGTGTTGGGGCACACCTCTGGTCCCAGCTACTCAGGAGACTGAGGTGGGAGGATCACTTGAGCCCAGGAGGCAGAGATTGCAGTGAGCCAAGATCACACCACTGCACTCCAGTCTGGGTGACAGAGACCCCATCTCAGAAGGAAATAATAATAATAACAATCTGCTAAGAGTTCAAAAGTGTTTTCATAGGGAATTAAACTCTCAATAAAGTTGTTTTAATAAAATTTGTTTTAATCTTTGTTATTTCTTTTAAATGTTTTACAACTTTGAGGGGGTTATAAGTGCAGATTTCTTACATTCATGTAAGATAAGTGGTAAAGTGTGGTCTTTTAGTGTACTAGTATTTTTACATTATTATAAATACATAATAGGTGTACATATTTATGGGGCACAAGTAATATTTTGATAAAAGCATATAATGTGTAATGATCAAATCAGAGTTATTGGAGTATCCATCACCTCAAGCTGTTAGCACTTTTGTGTTAGAAACATTCTAATTCTAGTCTCTTAGTTATTTAGTTATTTAGAAATATACAATAAATTAGTATTAGCTAAATAAGCTGCCCTGTTGTGATACTAAACACTAGATCTTATTTCTTCTATCTAATTGTATTTTTGTATTTATTAACTGTACTTTCTTTACCCTATCCTCTTCAGTACCTGTATGTGGGAGCTAAAAATATTTGAGCTCAAAGTTTTTTTGTTTTTGTTTTGTTTTGTTTTGTTTTTGAGACAAAGTCTCACTCTGTGCCCAAGCTGGAATGCAATGGCGCGATCTTGACTCACTGCAACCTCCGCCTCCTGGGTTCAAGTGATTCTCCTGCCTCAGCCTCCCAAGTAGCTGGGATTACAGGCATGCACCATCAAGCCTGCTTAATTTTTGTATTTTTAGTAGAGAAGGGGTTTCAACATGTTGGCCAGGCTGGTCTTGAACTTCTGACCTCAGGTGATCCACCCACCTTGGCCTCCTGAAGTGCTGGGATTACAGGCATGAGTCACCATGCCTGGCCTGAACTCAAAGTTTTTAATATGTAATTGATGACACTGAAGTGACTTTATGAAGCAGCTCTTTTGAAGTTACTTATGGAAGTGGTTTTTGAGACAATATAGAGGTGACACAAAATGTCAGTAAACTGGACTTCAAAAGAGTGATTTAGAATTTTATGTCTTATGGGTGAAATAATCAAATATGTTCTGATTTTAAAACTACTTATTACAGAGATAGTATAAGTAGCAAAAAATTTAGCAAGTTTTATATTGCCACTATAGATTACTACTTCTAAATCTGTTATCTGAAATTTTGAGTAGGCATTGTTTCATGTAATATTCTTTACTGATGCAGCATTTTGATACAAATCATTTTGTAATTACTATTTAAGTAAAAAATTAAAATTTTAGTATTAAATGAGTTATATATAAAGTTCTTAGAGTGTATGGTACCTAAGCATTCATGCATTAGCAATTATTACTTTTATTGTTAAAATAGAAAATTTATATTTATAATCAATATATTAATGAGGTCATGTTTAATACCTAAATCTCTAGCTTCATTCAGTACCACCTGTTTTTTCCCTGTCCTGTATGCTGTAGAGCTGGCCTTCCATAGTTCCCCAAATGCACTCTGCTTTCTCCTACCTCAGGACTTTGCTGTTCAACTTCCTTCTCTCATTCCCACCTTCACCCTAAATAAGCCCCCACTTATTTTTCTAATCTTAATGTTGCTTTCTTGTGGAAGTTATACCTAATGTCTTTACCACTGTGTCCACTTATAACCAAGACGAGGTCTAATTCCCTATTTTATGCTTCATAATTACTTGTACATAGCTTTATAATATCACACTGTAAACAATGAGGAAATTTTTATTCACCAGAATTTCCAAAAGGTTGAGCTAGACCTACCAGTTTAATGAGGGAGTGAGGGACTGGGTTAAACTTCACAAGAGGTTGTAAATGAAGAGTCACCCATGATGTATGTAGGGTTTTAGAAAATTAGGTGAACATTACAAAAAGAACAAACTCAAGGACAAACATCAGGACAAAGAATGGCAGTGTATTCTCCTCTCTCATAAATCTCTAAGTTCAATATAATTTTGAAATCTGAAATGCTTTATATAATTAAATTTCTTTTGGAAATCATACGTATATTTTTTACTGATTTAAGAATAGTGACAGAGGGAACTTTAAAAGTCAGATTGGTAACTTTAAAAATCATGGGGTATGGTACTGAGCACACAGGCCATCACACTAAAGCCCCAAGGAACATTTAACCAAATATCCTGGAGGCAACGTTACTTCAAGGGAAATTTGTGTGATAATTTCTAACCTATTTTGTGACTACTTGAGTAATATATTTCTTCTGCATTAGACTCTGAACTCCACAAGGGCAGGAGCTACTTCTATTTTGTTCATCAATATTGCCAAAAAAGATAACAAAATCCCAGAAGATAGCTGGTATTCAAGAAGTTCTTTAAAATAAATACATAAATGAGTAGATAAACCTAATTCTAAATCTAAATTGAATGCCTATAACATAGAAACAAATACTTTCACTATTCTGAAGCTGTTTTAAATATAATTTCCCTCAAATATCAGTATATACATTTTACTTATAAAAATCAAAGAATTTTAGATGAACAAGTGATTTGTTTCTTGACAGATAATATCCTATTATATGTATATATTCATATATACATATATGAATAGTCATAGTCATATATACATATATGAATAGTCATAGTCATATATGAGTCATACATGAGTCAGCAAATATAGATTATTTTAATAAAAGCTTATTCACTTTGAAATTTATTAAGACAACATTTATAATCATCTAAATGATTCATTTATTCTTAAGTTTGTCTAAGACAGTTATGGGCCGGGTTTGGTGGTTCATGCCTGTAATCCCAGCACTTTGGGAGGCCAAGGTGGACAGAAAGCTTGAACCCAAGAATTCAAGACCAGCCTGGACAACATGGTGAATCCTCATCTCTACAAGAAATACAGGAAAAAAAAAAAAACTAGCCAGGCATGCACCTGTAGTCTCAGCTACTCAGAGAGCTGAGGCAGAAAGATCACTTGAGCCAAGAGTTGGAGGTTCAGTGAGCTGTGATCACACCTCTGCACTCCAGCCTTGGCAACAGAGCAAGAGGCCCATCAACCAAACAAACAAACAAAGAATAGAAAAGGCAGTTATGAAAAAAATCACAAAATAAAATGTATCTAGAAAATGCATTTTGACAAAGGTCATGTATCTCTCAAATGATTTGTCAAAGCAGAGAAGCAGAAAATACCCTAGCACTGAAGGCCAGAAGTTGAAACTTCATGGGTCATGAGCAGCTGTTGCAACTAATCTTTATTTTGCACAGAGAGTAGCCAGACCGTATTTTGTGTTTGGGACTTAACAGACTAGAACATATGCTACTATGACCAGGAGCAAATTGATTGGAAGAGAGTAAAATTCGTATCATTTTAGGCAAATTATTTTTTGCATAGTTTCTACAATCAAATAAACATCTGAAGGCTGGATTCTGTCTTCATTGAAAAACTTGAAGATATGTAAAAGCTCATAAAAATCCAGAAACAACTTAATAAAAATGCCAACAAAAGGAAGAATTATAATAGATACAAATAACAATTACAAAATTGGAAAGGCTTTCTTATTGACATCAGACAAAAGTTACATCCAAACTAATCTGCCTTTCAAAAGACAATAAGTAAACATAAAAGACCACCTCAATTATATCAGAAAAATAGTAAGTGGTAAAGCAAAGCGGTCTAGTATTAGAGTGGAAAGGAAAACTTTTAAGAGGTGGCTTTAAAACTATTAGTTTTCAATAGATGCTTCTGAGAATTTCAGCTTCTATAAAGGATAATAAAAAGTGACTTTAAAACATGTTTAGGTGGTATGCTAATATGAAGAGTAAAGAATCAGCTCTTAGCTGTTACTTATGAAATAATCCTACTAAGGAGATTCTAATGTCTTTAAGAATCTGGTGAAGGAAGAATGGTGATGAGAAGCTCAGCAAAAATCCTTGGAAAAGCTGATGTAATCACATAAAATATTTTTTAAAGCAATAAAGCACTGACAATTATTTGGGTGAAATTATATCTCACATCTGACTATTTATTCTCAAGGTCCAGAGAATGTTTGTTCAGGTGAACCTAAATATCCATCCTCTCCACGCAAATTATTGTTGCTGAAGAAAGTTACAAAATAGAAAATATTGGTGCCCAAACGAATTCCAAATCAACAATTTCAAATAAGTTTTCATCAGAGCCTGGCAATTCTCCCTATTTCTTTGGCCAACCAAGTGTCCCTTTCTACAACAGTATTTTGGTATTTCTTTACTTTCCTCAAATCATTCACTTAATTCAACCTCCAGTGGTAATGCCCTAATCTAAGCAGCAATTATCTCTGAACCAAATCAGAACATAAGTTAGATAACTTACTTCCCTGCTTCCATTCTTTATATATATGTTTTTTATTTTTTATGAGACAGAGTCTTGCTCTGTCACTCAGGCTGGAGGGCAGTGATGTGATCTCTGCTCACTGCAACCTCCACCTGCCAGGCTCAAGAGATGCTCATACCTCAACCTCTTGAGTAGCTGGGATTACAGGCCTGTGCCACCACACCAGGTTAATTTTTGTATTTCTAGTAGAGATGAGGTTTCTCCATGTTGGCCAGGCTGGTCTCAAACTCCTGGCCTCAAGTGATCCGCCCACCTTGGGCTCCCAAAGTGCTGGGGTTACAGGTGTGAGCCACTGTGCCCAACATTTGCTTCCATTCTTTTCCTCTTCCAGTCTCCAGACTGAAGCTCGAAGCTCTTTTCTGGAGGAAATCTGATTATTCTACTTCTCTGATAAAATTGCCTCAATTACTTTCCACTGGCAAAAAAAATCCACAACCTGTACTATAACTTCATCTTAAACCACCTTCCCTCTTTACTTTCTGTGTATCAATTGCAGTATCCTGTAATTACTAAAGAATATGATGCTTCTTCCACCTGTACCCACTGTCTTAGTTTGTTAGGGCTGCTGTAACAATGTACCACATATTTGAGTGCCTTTAAATAACAGTAATTTATAGTCTTATTGTTCTGGTGGCTGGAAGTTTGAAATCGATGCTCCATGATACATGCTCCCTCAAGAACCTGTAGGGGACTCTTTCCTTGTCTTAACCTAGCTTCTGGTGATTTGCTGGCAATCTTTGCTGTTTCTTGGCTTGTTGATGCCACATTTCAATCTTCTGTCTTCACATAACATTCTCCCTACATATCTGTTTCCAAATTTTCCCTTTAAACAAGGACACTAGTCATATTGGGTTAGAGACCACCCTAATGACCTGATTTAAGCCCAATTACCTATGTAAAGAATCTATTTCCAAATAAGGTCTGTGATACTGGGTGTTGGGTCCTCAATATATCTTTTTTGGAGGGTCACAATTCAAACCGTAAAAACCCACCATCAGGCTGGGGCGGTGGCTCATGCCTGTAATCCCAGAACTTTGGGAGGCTGAGGCAGGCAGATCACCTGAGGTCAGGAATTCGAGACCAGCCTAACCAATATGGGAAACCCCCTCTCTACTAAAAATACAAAAATTAGCCGGGCGTGGTGGCGGGCATCTGTAGTCCCAGCTACTCAGGAGGCTGAGACAAGAGAATTGCTTGAACCTGGGAGGTGGAGGTTGCAGTGAGCCAAGATCGTGCCACTGCACTTACGGCCTGGGCGACAGAGCAAGACTCAGTCTCAAAAAAAAAAAAAAAAAAAACACCATCAACATAGGAGTTTTTCACATGCTGTTCATTCTCCCAGAAATCTTTGCAACCCTCACTCTTCTGCCACCTTGCCTGGTTATCCTTCCAAGTTTCAACCTAGAATGACTTTTCTTAGGGACAATTGAAGTACAATCTAAATACATTTTTCTCAGTTCATGTATACACTTGGCCTTACCTTCGTAACAGCTGTCACATCTGTAATTTACATTTATTGGTGAGATTATTTGATTAGTATTTGTCTGCTTCACAAATGGTATGGACTTCACAATTTGGGAAGTATTTTTCTACTTCACAGAAAACCATTTTTGCCCAGTGTTGGATCACTAGTGTTTGGAATACCATAGTAGGCATTCAATAAATGTTTTATTGAATAAATGAATCATGGATCAGACCAGCTATGACAAAAAGGTATGCTAGAAGTTTCAGTATCTCTACTATCACTAACATGTTCATGAGAACATAAACTGATTATTTCCATGTAATTCAAGTAAAATGATATTTTACCTGTTAGAAATTAATTTCTAACAGGTAGAAATTATTTCAGAAAATACCTTCTCTAGCATTAGACTAATTAGACTGGCCAGAAGAATCAATGCGATTTGCAATTTACTTTGAATTATCTGTGCTACAGGAGTTGTACAGGGCTTTAAGCTTGCTTGTGTTATTCCACTTCTCCCTTTACTCTCAGAAAATCAACTGTCTAAATACCTAAATCACATTCATTAGATGCCAGAGCAAGCAACAAAGCAAAAGATTATAATGAGATTTGAGGGATATTCAGTTCAGTACAACAAATTTATTGACAGGTGCTTGGCTTTGAAACACCAATACAGAAATAATTCCTATATTGAAATAAATGCTATGTGAGTTATAATCAACATGAGCAGGAACAGAAATGCCCACATATAATTCCTTTATATATTTTACCTTTGTTTTAATGTTACACATAAAGGCTTTTAGATTCAAAAATGCAAAATGGCAAAATTCTACTTCTGATTCTTTGGTGGGTATCTCTAACACACACACACATATAACACATAAGTATCTAACATATATATCATGGAGGAGAAATATATATATTTCTCTCCTAAAATAAATGGTTATATTCAAAATCTATAATCTGTATCTATATTGTCTTTGAAGACTGGCAAAACTGGCTTAAAATTCTAGCTCTTCTCTTATTATCTGGATCATTATGAACAATTCCCATAATCTTTTAAGCCTCAGTTTTCCTTTCTGTAAAATAGAGGTAATAGTATTATTCTGTGGTTGGATTATTATGGCTATTAAGTATATATGATGTATGTAACCCTATTACATACATTATGTACCCTAGTTATGGTTAACAATCAATTTTTTTATTATTATCTTCACCAAAATAACCATGAGAGTTGAATTTTAAAGTCTCCTATTTGAAACATACGCATTATTTTTCTTTGTAGAGTTCACACTGTTTTCCTAAACTTAGGTATTTTTTTGTCACTACTTTTTCTTTTCTCTTTCTGTAAGCTTTATTGAGGTATACTTGATATACAAAAAATGCACATATTTAATGTATACATTTTGATGAGCTTGGAAAAACATGATATCGCCACAATCAAGGCACTAAACATATCCATCACCTCAAAAAATTTCCTTGTGTTCTTATGTGTGTGTATTTGTTGTGTGTGTGTGTGTGTGTTAAGAACACTTAACATGGGATCTATCCTTTTAACATGATAAAGTTCATGATAATTTATTGCTAACTATAGGTACTATGTTATACAGCAGAAGTCTAGAACTTCTTTATCTTGCATTATTAAAACTTTATATACATTGAGCCCTGAGCAATCATTATCTGTTCTATGCTTTCATAAGTTTCACTCTTTTAGATACTACATATATTTGGAATCATGTAGTGAATTAAGCCAGTCACAAAAGGACAAATATGATTATTTTTCAAATCTAAGTTTCATGTTTACCTAATGGCTGTTATACATAATGAATTAAGACTGTTTTCTTTAGGTAAATCATGACTATAGTTAATATTAAGAATATTATATAGATAATTTTCACAATATCTTCTGAAAATTTAATTCTGCCCAGTAGTTACAACAACAAAGATTTATAAACATATTGATAAAATATCCTTATTTTGAAATATTTATTCTTAAGGTTAACATTTTTTGGCCTATGCGATATTCATTCTTTGATGAAAGTATTACGTCTGAAAATTTTTCATAAATCAAAATATATTCTATAAACATAAAATGACCAAAAGTAGAATTGAAACAACATAAAGATCGTGTTTTATTAAAATACAAAAAGCTAATTTGTTTGGTACATATTATTTTTGTCTCTGAACATTAGCTAGAATTTGGCAATTAGCCATGCTATCTCCAGTTCAAAATTGGAAGTTGCTTCTTTCAGCTATATTGTTACTCTGGTACTAAGTTAATAAAGCATGACTCTACTTACCATATTTACAGAATTCCTAACTTCCCCAAGAAGTTGCCCTCCAAAAGTCATATTTAAGTATGCTTTAAGTATACTTTTTAGAGACTCAAATATATTTTTCCGTTACAACAGTGTTATATGTAGTTACACAGATAGGCACCATGAAGATGTTCATGAGGCAGTATGAATTCAATATGAGGTATAACAGGAAGGCATAGCCTCAATCGAACTTGATTTATTAATCACGGAAATTCTGAACTTATCTCCTGCTGCTCTTAAATGGGTTTATGGACCATATCTTTTATAGGAGTTTCACATCTTTGTCAAGTATGTGGTATAATCCATATTATTTCTCTAGAAATTATATGTTTAAAAGTTAAACATACAGAGGAGACATGAAGGTTTTGAGCTGTGAAACCAGTATTTGTAAGCACTTATTAAGTGCTTTTCCAATTCCATTCAACAGACATTTATGAATTCTAATGTGTTAGGCACAATACCAAATCATTAATATCTTTCACTTACATCGGAGGTACCCAGTTCCCTGGGTTAGGGACCAGTACCAGTTCCTGGCCTGTTAGAACCAGGCTGCACAGCAGGAAGTGAGTGGTGGCTGGTGAGCTAAGAAGCTTCATCTGTTTTTACTGCCATTCCCCAGTGCTGCATTACTGCCTGAGCTCCGCCTCCTGTCAGGTCAGCGGCATTAGATTCTCATAGAAAGCCAACCTTATTGTGAACTGTAGGTGCGAAGAATCTAAGTTGAGTGCTCCTTATGAGAACTTAATGTGTGATGATCTGTCGCTGTCTCCCATCAACCCCAGATGGGACCGTCTAGTTGCAGGAAAACAAGCTCAGGGCTCCCACGGATTCTACATTATGGCAAGTTGTATAATTATTTTATTATATATTACAATGGAATCACAACAGAAATAAAGTGTGCAATAAATGTAATGCCCTTGAATCATCCCCACACCATCGCTCCCTCACCCACTGCCAGTCCATGGAAAAAAATTATCTTCCATAAAACCGATCCTTGGTGCCAAAAGGCTGGGCACCGCTGACTTACATCTGTTGATCCTCACTTTACCCCAAGAGATGGGTGTTCTTATTTCAATTTTAAAAATAATAAAGCTGAGGTTCAAAAAGTTTAAACAAGTGTCAGAATAGAATTTGAACCTAGATCTTCCTGATTCCTAGACTATGCCATGATTACCATTCTACGCTGCCTCTACTCAAGCAGTCCTTATCAACTGGTTTCCCAAAAGAGCAATGACTGTAACTATTGAAACGCCTTTGAAATACCTTTGAAACTCCATTTCAAACTCTGTTATAAAGAAAACCAATGAAATGGTTTTGTTTGTTTTTATATAGGTATATGGCTATTATTGATCCCTTGAAACCCAGACTGTCTGCTACAGCAACCAAGATTGTCATTGGAAGTATTTGGATTCTAGCATTTCTACTTGCCTTCCCTCAGTGTCTTTATTCCAAAACCAAAGTCATGCCAGGCCGTACTCTCTGCTTTGTGCAATGGCCAGAAGGTCCCAAACAACATTTCACGTAAGTTAATTCTCTATTATGGTTTTCAATTCAGTTTATCAAACATTTAGGAAACTACAGATTAGGAGCAACAATTAAATAAGACTGACATTTCCCCCAGGGTTCATACATTATTTGGAAAAGGAAATATATAAAAATACTGTAATATGGTATGATTTGTGTGTGGTCAATAAGTTGTGTAAGTTACTAAGGTTTTTAATTGGAAATATGAGGATGTCTATGTGGGATGGCACTGGAGAGTTTCCTGAAGGAAGTGATAAAAGATAAAAGCAATGTGCAAAGAAAAGCATTGTGTTATTGATTGAGAAATGAGTGAGAAGGAAGAAATCAAAGCCCAAATGTGTTGATTGCTCTTTTAGGAAGTGTAGCTGAAGGGAAGGAGCACCCTAGTAGGTTATCTAATTTTATTTTGGTTTGATTTGGTTTGTGTTCTTTTGCTTGTCTCTAGACAAGCAAAAAGCATTAAAAAACCTGAACACTAGATTGAAAAGGAAATACAAATGCTATAATATATGGTAAAATTTGGTTCATATTTTATACCCACATTAAATAGAGCAAGAAGGAATAATAATGTAATTGTGTAATTTATTGCATTTGATTTTTAAATTATAATCTTAAATTTTATTTTAATAATGTACTTATTTTTCTATTTTACTCACCAATTTTTCCCTTTAAAAATAACAAATGGTGCAAATAATGGTTGCCATTTAAAGCAGTCATTTTATCTACCTTTGCTCTACCCAAAGTTCAGATTTTTGAACAAAAATATTAGGAGGCACTTATTTAAGGAAAATCAGACAGCTCATATTAAACTGAGTACCCTATTCATATTATTAATACATCTTAATTGTATGATAATGTTATCATCTTCAAATTATTTGTTGACTGAATTATTTCCTCATTGACTTTAAATCAATACTTAGTAATCTACTGAGAAATGGAAAGGCAAGGATATTTAAGATTCACTTTACAAAAAACAAAACAAAACAAAAAAAACACTGGTATGGAGAAGACCGTTCTAACAAACTTTTTAATTACTTTAAAGCTTTCCAAGACAGTGAAATCCATACAAATTTTGTAAAATTATAAATTATATTTGGGCTATTGTAGTATGGCTTACTCTCCTTTTCCTCGCTAATTGAATTCTTATAATTTTGATTGAAAGCTACTAAATACCAGAATTTAATTTGATAATTCACAGCAGCATACTTCTCGTTTGACTACTATGTCGACATGTTTTTTTGTTTTGTTTTGTTTTGTTTTGTTTTTACCAAGTTAACAATGCAATCAAATGGACCCAGACTGGAAAATTGCATGTAAATGTCTTTACCTGATTTTTAAAAATTGTAGTAACTTGTGGATTAATTATGGCTCAGAGTATCTACTTACTTTTTTCCCACCATTTGAATGAAAAACAGTTTATGTATGTCTGATGTTGCAGCAATAGAGAAGACAGTCCTATATAGGAGAAAACATATGCCGGTTGATTCATTTATTCTATCCCTTCCCTTTTCCTCCAATGATACATTTAATTGGTTTAGCTCAACAATTACCAAGCAGAGTACATAGCAGTGGAAAGTCGTTCCTCCTCAACCTCTAGGCAAGGAGAACTTATGTTTAACTGAGCCCTTCAACCCAGCTATAGTTTTCATATACCAAGTAAAGATTGACAACATCAACTGGCAGCATTTGAAACATAAATATAAGTGACAATAGCATGATATTTTGATGGAATTTTGAGATGAATGTATAGAGATAATGTAGAAATAACTCTTGGTAGTTTTAATTATGATTTAAAGCTGAGCCAATTCAGTCCCCAATATTTCATTCCAATAAGGTCTTCAGCATGTGTTTTTCTTATTTTTCATAGTTACCATATTATCGTCATTATACTGGTGTACTGTTTCCCATTGCTCATCATGGGTATTACATACACCATTGTTGGAATTACTCTCTGGGGAGGAGAAATCCCAGGAGATACCTGTGACAAGTATCATGAGCAGCTAAAGGCCAAAAGAAAGGTACTGGTCCATGTTGTTTACCTAGCATTTGTATAGGTTATGGTATATCAGAAAGAAAAGCAATCTAGTCATGGCATGTTAATACAATATGATCTGATGCTCTACTCCTGTTTTTAATGTCTTTGTTTTAATTTTTTTTCTTTTCTTTTGGTTTTGTATAAGCTGCTGTCCACATACTGTAATCAGTCTGTTATATAATAGTTAATTCATTACATAAGGACTTCTTAAAAATTGCCTTTTGTAAAGTATTCTTAATTACTCTGCTGAAATTGCTAAAATTTCACTATTCCAGTTGATTGTATTTTTGCAACTCTATCTTTCTTTGTCATTTATTGAAAAGAATGCCTCTGATGTATTCTATAATCTGCTCAAGGCTTCTTTTATCCCAGGAATGACATCTCTTCTAGAAAGTGCAATAATTTTCTAATATACATCTATCTTTCCTGTATCCCCTCGTCTCTTTTTATTTCTCTCTCACTTTCTCTGTGTGTTCTTTCCCCTGATAAGACATTTTATATGTATGTATGATTAAAGGATGAGGATTGTATTAATACTATTCTATAATTTATTGAGTGACATTAAAAAGGCTGTTTCTAATTTACATGAAACAAAAACACCTCTAAAATATTATATTTTACTAGGATTATTTTATTGAGATTTTTTCTACTATCGTTATGCGACTAAATAAGTTAGATTTTTTTCATAAATTTGTGGAGTTAAAAGGAAACACATTCCATCCTTTTCTCCACAGTTGGGGTGTACCTAATGCATCTTGGAGAGGTTTTATCAAAGATGAATGAATCCTACTGATTATGCCAATCATTATTGTTTGTTCCATTTATGACTTATTTACACAGTACTACTAGCAACACATGGACATTTCCTTTAAAATTCAGTCAACAGTCTTAAAAACACTTAGCTACAAAAACTCACTTAACAGTGATCAATCAGGTTTTAAAAATGCAATGTACAAAATGGATTCCATTTTAATAGTGCTTTTTCTCTGATATTGACAAATAATACTAGACCACATTTATGTTTGGTTAACATTTACCATGATTTCTAGCATTTGAAAACAAAAAGTAAGAATGAGCTTTCCCAGATCAATTTACTCATTTCAGGATGTACAAAAATATATCTACTGTGTATGTAATTCAATTTTATTTTTCTTTCAAAAAGCTTTACTTAAAAATAATGTGCACAAACAACCAAATGGCCTCTGGCACCTACAAACGAATCCTAAAGCGAGGAGAGCTTCAAAAACATGGCCCTCTTACATGAACAGTATCTCTCTCCCCTTTGTAATTTCAACCCGCCTTATATAACATCTTGCTCATGTTGAAAGATACTCTTTTCTTGGGATAATTTCTTATAGCTATATCTTAGGTATCATCAGAGTCAATGACTGATGTTAGGTTCTATGTATTTCAGAATAATTTCTCTATAGTACCTGGTTAGTTTCTGTCATTTATTTCTTTTTTTTTTAATTTTATTATTATTATACTTTAAGTTTTAGGGTACATGTGCACAATGTGCAGGTTTGTTACATATGTATACATGTGCCACGTTGGTGTGCTGCAGCCATTAACTCGTCATTTAGCATTAGGTATATCTCCTAATGCTATCCCTCCCCCCTCCCCCCACCCCACAACAGTCCCTGGTGTGTGATGTTCCCCTTCCTGTGTCCATCTGTTCTCATGGTTCAGTTCCCACCAATGAGTGAGAACATGCGGTGTGTGGATTTTTGTCCTTGCAATAGTTTGCTGAGAATGATGTTTCCAGTTTCATCCATGTCACTACAAAGGACATGAACTCATCATTTTTTATGGCTGCATAGTATTCCATGGTGTATATGTGCCACAGTTTCTTAATCCAGTCTATCGTTGTTGGACATTTGGGTTGGTTCCAAGTCTTTGCTATTGTGAATAGTGCCACAATAAACATACGTGTGCATGTGTCTTTATAGCAGCATGATTTATAATCCTTTGGGTATATACCCAGTAATGGGAAGGCTGGGTCAAATGGTATTTCTAGTTCTAGATCCCTGAGGAATCGCCACACTGACTTCCACAATGGCTGAACTAGTTTACAGTCCCACCAACAGTGTAAAAGTGTTCCTATTTCCCCACATCCTCTCCAGCACCTGTTGTTTCCTGACTTTTTAATGCTCGCCATTCTAACTGGTGTGAGATGGTATCTCATTGTGGTTTTGATTTGCATTTCTCTGATGGCCAGTGATGATGAGCATTTTTTCATGTGTTTTTTGGCTGCATAAATGTCTTCTTTTGAGAAGTATCTGTTCATATCCTTCGCCCACTTTTTGAAGGGGTTGTTTGTTTTTTCTTGTAAATTTGTTTGAGTTCATTGTAGATTCTGGATATTAGCCCTTTGTCAGATGAGTAGGTTGTGAAAATTTTCTCCCATTTTGTGGGTTGCCTGTTCACTCTGATGGTAGTTTCTTTTGCTGTGCAGAAGCTCTTTAGTTTAATTAGATCCCATTTGTCAATTTTGGCTTTTGTTGCCATTGCTTTTGGTGTTTTAGACATGAAGTCCTTGCCCATGCCTATGTCCTGAATGGTATTGCCTAGGTTTTCTTCTAGGGTTTTTATGGTTTTAAGTCGAACATGTAAGTCTTTAATCCATCTTGAATTAATTTTTGTATAAGGTGTAAGGAAGGGATCCAGTTTCAGCTTTTTTTTTAAACATTTCACTGTGTACGCCTAAACAAATTAAAATAAACCCAGTGATTGTAGATTATAGTTTTTCTTCATATGCATGTAATGTTTTTCTAGAAAGAAATAAAAATTTAATCTGAGTGTTTCTTTTGTTTTTGAATTCAGAGTCCCAGAGGGAACAAAAAGGAAGAGGGATTTTTTTTTTAATTTTGTCTCTAAATAAATGGTGAGAGTAAGGCAAAACATTACCTTTTGATTTCATTACTCCACAGTTTCAAAATAGAAATACTAATTCAGACTGGGAGTGTGACCCTTCTAGAATATTTCAAAAAAGTAAGACATTTTAAAGTTCCAGTTTATATGTCTTCCTCTTGGTTTGTATTCTAGGCTGAAATAATACGAAATGGCCCCTTACATCATGGACTTCTCATAATAAATCTGTTTGTCCTTAGATTTCTTTTACAGTCAGTTATTGGTATGAGCATTGATATCTAGGCACTAATATGCATATTGTTCAAAATAATAAAATTTTAAAATATAGCTGGCCCTTCTCTTAATTTTTTTCTTTTTATCTAAAGTCAAAATATTGTTCTGGAGTTGTTTAGAATACAGCTATTACTAATAATCATGTTATTTTGGATTTTTTCATATCATTACTTAAAACACAGAAGTTCTACCCTGGATGGACCATTTATTCATATGTTGTCTCCTAGAGAATATATCTTTGATATTACAGATTGGACATAGACATTAAAAAAAAGTATTGGCTACATGAGTGCAAACTAATCATGACTATTGGGAAAAACAATTCTATACACTACTCTGAGCCAGACTCTTAATAATAAGAGACTACACGGGGTGGAGCAGGATGGTCAAATAGAAGCCTCCACTGATCATCACCCCAGAAGGACACCAATGTAACATCTATCTACACACAAAAATAATCATTTCCTAAGAACCAAAAATCACGAGAGCTCTCATGGTATCTGATTTTAACTTCATATAGCTGAAAGAGACACTGAAGAGTGTAGTAAAGACAGTCTTGAATTGCCAGTGACACCCCATCCCATCCCCAGCAGCAGCCATGTGGCATGGAGAGAGAATCTTTGCCCTTGGGAGAGAAAGGACAGCAATTGTTAGACATTGCCCTGTCACAGGAGAAAGCAAAACTGATCCAAATCTAGCTGATGCCTGTGCATAGAGGGAATATTTAATCCAGCCCTAGCCAGATGGGAGTCACCCATCCCACGGGTCAGAAGTTGAGTTCTCCCACGCCTCACCACAGTGGGCTAAAGTCCTCTGGGACTCTAAATAAACTTTAAATGCAGTATAGGCCACAAAGACCGCAACTCCTATGTGAGTCATAGTGCTGTGCGGGGCTCACAACCAGTGGACTTGGGTGGTGTACAACCTACTGAGACATCAGTGGGGCTGACTAAGGGGGTGCATGTACCACCTCCCCACAATCCCAGGCAGCAGGGCTCATGGGTTCAAAAGGAACTGGCTCCTTCCACTTGGGAAAGGAGAGGAAAGAGTAAAGAAGACTGTTTTGCATCTTGGATACTAGCTCAGCCACAATAAGATAGGGCACCAGTCAGAGTTATGAGGCTCCCTTTCCAGGTTCTAGGTGCAGGATGACATTTCTAGACACAACCTGGACTAGAAGGGAACCCACTGCCTTGAAGGGAAGGACCCAGTCACAGCAAGACCCATCACCGACTGACTAAAAAGCCTTTGAGAGCCTGAATAACCAGTGGCAATACCCAGGTAGTACACCATGGGCCTTGGGTGAGCCTGAGACATGCTAGCTTCAAGTGAGACTCAGCACATTCCCAGCTGTGGGGGCTATAGGGAAAAACACCTTCTGCTTGAGAAAAGCTAAGGGAAAAGTAAAGGGGACTTTATCTTCCATGTTAAGTACCAGCTCAGCCACAAGGAGGTAGAGCACAAAGTGGGCTCTTAGGGTCTCTGATTACAGACCTTGACACTTGGACAACATTTTTGGACCTACCTGGACCAGATGGGAGCCCACTGCCCTGAAGGGTGAATCCCAGGCCAGGCAGCATTTACCACAAGCTGACTTAAAACACTCTGGGCCTTAAGTGAACATAGGTGGTAGTCTGGCAGTACTCCCTGTAGGCCTGTGGCAGTGGTGGCCACAGGAAGTGTCCTCTGCCTTTGAAATGAAGACGGAAGAGGGGAAACAACTGATTCTTGTGGTTTGAATGCCAGCTCAGCCACAGTACAATAGAACACAAAGTAGACTTCTAAGGTTTTTGACTCTTGTCCCTGACTCCCAGACAGCACCTCTGGACCCACCTAGGAGGAACTCTGGACCCACCAGAACACCTCTGGATCTACCTGGGAGAACTTACCACCCTGAAGGGAAGGACACAAGCCTGGCTGGCTTCGCCACCTGCTCATTGTAGTATGCCAGCCTGCAAGCATAGATGGTAGCCAGGTGGTCATTATTTTATATATATATTATTATATATAAGATATATATATTATTATATATGAGATATATATATTATTATATATAAGATATATATATTATTATATATGAGATATATATATTATTATATATAAGATATATATATTATTATATATGAGATATATATATTATTATATATAAGATATATATATTATTATATATGAGATATATATATTATTATATATAAGATATATATATTATTATATAATATATTATTATATATAAAATATATATATCATATATAATATATATTATATACATCATATATAATATATATATTATATATGATATAATATATATTTATTTATATATATTTATATATATAAATATATATTATATATGATATAATATATATTTATTTATATATATTTATATATATTAAATATATATTATATATTTATATATAATATATTTATATATTTTATATAAATTTTATTTTATTAAATTTATTTTATATATTTATTTTATTAAATTTATTTTATATATTTATATATAAATAATACATATTTATATATAAATATATATAAATAATACATATTTATATATAAATATATATAAATATATTATTATACTTTAAGTTCTAGGGTACATGTGCACAATGTGCAGGTTTGTTACGTATGTATACATGTGCCATGTTGGTGTGCTGCACCCACTAACTCATCATTTACATTAGGTATATCTCCAGATGGTGATTAAAACAGGCTTTGGGTGAACCCCAGTGCTGTGTTTGCTTTATGTGTGACCCAATGCAGTTCCAGTGGTGGTGGCCACAGGCTGCTTGTGTCACCCCATCCACCTCACCCAGCTCCAGGTGGCTCAGAACAGGAAAAGGGACTATATTTGGAAGAAAGTGAAGGAAGAGAACAAGAGCCTCTGTCTGGAAATCCAGAGAATTCCTCTGGATCTTATCCAAGACCAACAAGGCAGTATCTCTGTGAGTCTGCAAGAACCACAGCCTTACTAGGTATGTGGTACCCCCTAATGCAGATGTGGCCTAGATCACAATACCCAAGTCCTTTTGAATATCTAGAAATCCTTCCCAAGAAGGATGGGTCCAAATGGGCGTAGACTGTGAAGACTACAATAAATAACAAACTCTTCAATGCCCAGACACAGACAAACATCCATGACCTTCAGGATCACCCAGGAAAACATGACCTCATGCAATGAACTAAATAAGTCACCAAGGACCAATTCTGGAGAAACAAAGATATGTGACCTTTCAGACGGAGAATTCCAAACTGCAATTTTGAGGAAACTCAAAGAAATTCAAGAGAACACAAGGAATTCAGAATTCTATCAAATCAATTTAGCAAAGACATTGAAATAATTAAAAAGAATCAAGAAAAATTGCTGGAGTTGAAAAATACAATTTATATACTGAGGAATGCATTAGTCTTTTAACAGCAGAATTGATCAAACAGAAGAAAGAATTAGTGAGCTTGAAGGCAGGCTATTTGAAAATGTACAGTAAGAGGAAACAAAAGAAAAACAAATAAAAAAACAATGAAGCATACCTACAGCATCTAGAAAACAGCCTCAAAGGGGCTATGTAATATATACAAAAATCAAATCTAAATGGATTAAAAACTTAAATCTAAGACCTGAAACTATGAAACTACTACACAAAAACATTGGGTCAATGATCCAGGCCATTGAACTAGGCAAAGAGTTCTTGAGTAATACCCAACAAGCACAGGCAACCAAAACCAAAATGGACAAAAGGAGATCACATCAAGTTAAAAAGCTTCTGTGCAGCAAAGGAAGCAATCAGTAAAGTGAAGAGATAACCCACAGAATGGGAGAAAATATTTGCAATCTCCCCATCTGACAAGGAGTTAATAACCAGAATATATCAGTAACTCAAACAACTCTCTAGGAAAAAAATCTAATAATCCAATTAAAAATGGGCAAAGGATCTGAATAGACATTTCTCAAAAGAAGACATACAAATGGCCAACAAGCATAAAAAAGATGCTCAACATTATTGATCATCAAAGAAGTGCAATTCCAAACTACAATGAGTTATCATTTTACCCCAACTAAAATGGCTTTATCCAAAAGTCAGGCAATCACAAATCCTGGCAAGGATGTGGAGGAAAGGAAACTCTCATACAGTTGATGGGAATGTAAATTAACACAAACACTATGGAGAACAGTTTGGAAGTTTCTCAAATAAAAATAAAAATAGCACTACCATATAATCCAGCAATCCCACTCCTAGGTACATAACCAAAAGGAAGGAAATCAGCATGTCAAAGAGACATATCCATTCCCATGTTTATTGCAACATTATTCACAATAGCCAAGACTTGGAAGCAACCTAAATGTCCATCAACAGATGAATGGATAAAGCAAATGTGGTACATATACACAATGGAGTACTTTTCAGCCATAAAAGAATGAGATTCTTTCACTTGCAACAACATGGATGGAACTAGAGGTCATTATGTTAAGTGAAATAAGCCAGGCACAGAAAGATGAAGTTTGTATGGTCCCACTTACGTGTGGGAGCTAGAAATGAAAATAATTGAGCTCATGGAGATAGAGAGTAGAAGGAAGGTCCCAGAGGTTGGAAGGGTAGTGGGAAAGTAGGGGTGAAGTGGGAAGTGTTATTGGGTACAAAAATATAGTTCGAAGAATGAATAAGTTCCCATATTATATAGCACAACAGAATGACTACCGTCAACAATAATTTAATTGTACATTTAAAATTACTAAAAAAGTATAATTAGATTGTTTGTAATGCAAAAGATAAATGCTTGAAGTGATGGATACCGCATTATCCTGTATTAAAATATCTCATGGAACTCATAAATGTATACCTCTACTATGTACCCACAGAAATAAATAATAAATAATGAAAGGCTAGCAGATGCTGATTGAACTCCCAATTACTCATGTACAAGAATATATAAGAGCTGAAAAAATTTTAGGCTAGTCACGAGCAGAAGACCTTTGTAAATATTGAAGAGCATTGCTTCCATTTCTCTTTCTCCCACTACTTTTAGGAACTGTGGTCAATTTCAAGCCTTGTGAATTATATTCTTTGAAGTATAGCCAGTAGAAATATCTCACATTTTTATGTTATATAGAACCTAGCATATTTAAACTTTGAATTAATATGAAACTTTTAGATAATTTTGGATTAACTACTCCCACTCGATTTTTATTATGTTCTGCCTAAGTAGCAATAGTTTAAAAATAACAACACTGGTATTAACTAGCACTAGGTAAAAAGACTGAATATTACCCTTGAGAAATAAGCTGATAGCTTTAAAAATGTTTCCTTACCATTAAAATTAGAGTGTTGAACCTCTTAAATGTAGCCAAGTATTTAACTTAAAAATCCCTATACTTTAAAGGAAAGTATATTCAACTAATTTCAAAATATAGAATAACAATTGTCACACAATCCTCAAAGCCTAGGCTAAGTTTAGTTCATTTTTTTCAATGATAATTGGTTACTAATCTTGCCAAAGCTCTCCTTCAAAAAATGTGTACTATTCAATACATTACTATGATATTCAAGTTGGAAATTGAAATTATGATACTTCTATAAATTTTAAGAGAGAATGCTTTCTTAACATTATCCTGTTTGCTGACCAAGTTATATTAATGCTTACATTCCAATTTGAGAATAATTTAGTATCTAGAAAAGGAAACTGATCCTTGTCAACTTTAGTCTACTTATTAGTAGATAGTCAAAGATTTTGGCTACCTATTAAAACATTGGCTAAAATGCAATGTATGAAAATCATTATTGAAACTATCTGTTTAAAATTATAACAATTATACAACAAAATTTGAAACTTTATGTCTTTATTCAATACACCATAGGTTGGCATATGAAAAGTTGAATTTTAAATATCTAGTGTTCAACTCACAAACTAACTTAAAATACACTTGCAGTTGTAAAAAACTATTCTAGAATGATAGATCTGATAAGAATCTAAAATTTCATGAATCCCTTGCCTTGCTCCTATTCTGTACTAAAATCGAAGACTGTAAGGAGGAAATGAGTAGAGGGGCTAACAGATTTCATATTTAGGATATTTGGTAAAAGAAATTAAATATGCTATTTTATTTTCTTAGTCTTGCCTATATCATACTGTTCCCTAAGTAAGAAAACTATAGATATCTTCTCAAAGTCATTTGTAATGCTTCTTAGAGTTAGCATCTTATTTACAGCTCACTAAATCCATATGACTACAATTTGAACTCATTCACTTTGGAAACAGAAAAGATTTGCTATCCATCTCTTCTACATAGTATTTCCATAAATAAAGACTACTTCATTCCATCTCAGGTTGGAAGAAAATGTAGTCACATTCTCCTATAAATAATTTAAAAATCCTTGGCAATGACAAAATACATCCCAAAATATATGCGTGAGGGGCACAAATGACTCCCTACTGACATCTTGGAGTAACTATCTACAACACTGGCCTTGTACAACATAAATGCTACAAGACCAATGACTAATTAGCAAGATGGAAAGAGAATAAATTATACTAATCAACAGCTGTATGATTGGACATAAAACATAATATTTAAATGATTATAATTATAAAATGCATCAATAAGAATAAAGAAGTGGTGTCTATATAGAGAATGGAAACAATGTGAATGTTATACTATATCAGATCCACCTTCATTCGTCAAAGATTATTTATTAAAAATTCCTACTGTGGAAGTGGAATAGACAAAGTTTGTCTAAATTCAGGAAAGATGTTTTCTAGTCTTCTGTTAGCCTTGTGAATCAGGTAAAGAAAAATGAACTGCTTTCAAGTTGCGGTTAATATTGGTTCAGTGCCAAACCTCCGCTTGTGTTGATAAAGAGAATTATCTCCACCTGGAGGAAGGGTTCTAAGGACATGCTGCAAAGCTTTGCCCTCAGTACTAGTATGTTCAAATTTGACCAATAACAAAAATATCAATTCTTGGTCATGAAAGTAATTCTGTAGATACAGACAGACTATTAAATGACTGAATTAGGAACTAGGAAAGCCAAGAGCTCCGTGCCATGTACATGACAGGTTTTGCATGCTGTGCCTTGGCCCCACAGCTAACTAGAAAGAACAGGGTCTTGGATGTGAAAGATCCTTGTATTCCAGTTCTTGCCCTATCTAGGAGTAATCTTGGTCACATATATTTAACTTTATTATGCTCCGTTTGCTGAAAATTGTGGAGGTTTAAATAAGATTGTATGTAGGGATCTTTTGGAATTAAAATTGTGGTTCTAGAGCCTAGCACTGTATCTTTTACACAAGAGGCATTTAGTTCATATGGATATTTGCCTTTTCTCCTACCATTGTGTATCTTTTCCAAAATAAAGAATCTCAACTTGGGTGCAGAACTCATTTCCTGACATTAATGTCTGATTCTCCTTTTTTCTTTTAATTAAGAATTTGTTCAGATGGCTGTAGATTTTGTCAAGATTTATAGTTAAGATAATTACATTAAAGATAAAATCAGTTTCTAAGTGTCCTAAGGTTTTCTATAGTTTTTTGTGCATTAATTGTAACAAGAAATATAAATGTCAAATTTCCTGTGGCTATACATTTCACCAAAGTGACAACAGCAGCAACAGCCACAGAGGAAATGGAGTAATTTTCCATTTTTCCATTCTTAGATTTAGCCTATAAACTAAATCTCTTACTCTTGGAGAATATCCAGTATAGCAAGCTGAATCAAGAATTTGATAGCACATTTCCTTCCCTGTGTTTTAATATTTACATCATATTTTATACTATTAATCTGAACTTCTGCTTACCAATTGTCTTCCTTTACTACCCTGCTTAGTGATCAATATAACAATATGTACAATATGTACACATTTTCACATTTTTCTAAGAGACAGCTCATTGTGCAGTATCAGCAGTAGTAAATGTTCAGGGTAATTGAGAAACTGCTAAAATGCTGGCTTTGTGAAAAGACTGGAACTTTTGTCTGACTCTTTTTCCATGCCAATTTATTTATCTTTATGTACTTTGTTGTAATTTAAAAAAACCTTGAAATTACCCATATGACTTAGATTTCCAATGTTAATATATCATGGAGATGTTCAAGCTCATATATAATGCAATTGTGGTTTACCTATTTTTGTGTCCCTCTCTCATTTCTACATTTTCAGGACACATTTCCACATTTTCAGGACACATTTCCACTTATTTCCATGCATCTTTCCTTAATAATTTGTCATAATAATATTGTTATTCATATTATTATTAATCATAAAACCATAATATCTCCTTTTAAAAACTAATGTATTCTACTTTCTTTTAAAAAGGCATGTTATCATCTTGGTATAAAACTAACATTTTAATAGTAAGTTTTCTAGGGAAATGAAAGTCAGGAACTAGAAAAAAATTTTTAAATTTCTGTTATGTATTATGAAATATCTTCCCAAAAAAGAAAAATATTGTAGGAATTTTATATAGAAATTCATGATTATTTACCAATTATTTTTCATTCAGATATTTTGAGAAAAGTTTTTATTTTGACCGATGAATCAATGAATATCATTAGACTGTATCTATCTCATATCATTCTGAAATTATATAAATATTTTAACCCAGCAGTGTATGCTGAAAATGTACGCAATTTGTTCTTTAAAAGCTTTTGCTTAAAAGAAAAATAGCTAAAAACAAAACAAAGTCAGAAAACATCTGAAACTTCTGATGGGCTTGTATAATATTACCATGTATACAATTCAACTACTGTTTCTAATTGAAACAGTGAAGCTTAAAGAAAACTAATAGCTCTTTGCTAATTCTAGTAACTTTATCTACCCCACCTCATGGTACGACTTGCAATCAGGAGAGCCTTCTATATCTGAGTTGTACATTGATTGCCAATACCACATGCTTTAAACCCTTTGATTAAATATTCCTCCTGCTCTCTATGTGTGGCAGTAAATCCTGCTCTCTATGTGTGGCAGTAAATGTGAAACACTTTGAAAGGCCTAGAAAAGTTTTTATTTTTTTTTGTGGTTTTCCAGTAGTACTGAAGAAGTGGAAATGATTATTCTTTTTTAAAAAGATAAGAAAAGATAAACATTAGGAGGAAATATCTAAAGCCTTTCAGTGTTTGGCAATCATCTGAAAAAGGTTCTCTATGGGTTATCTGTTAATACTACTCATTCTGCAAGTACAAATTCAGGAGAGATGGAATCATGTTCAGGCATCATGAATTTCTAGCAGGAAAATGAAGCTCAGCATATGAAATCTATAACAATTGCCATCATTATCAATACTTCATGAAACATACACACAGGCACACACACAACTGAGAATTATATCAATTATTATAGATTTTATACAATCATTATATAGAGCTTTGACATATATCGTTGTACTCATCCTCACAAAAATCCTGGAAGTGAGGCCTGGTAGAAATTGTTATCCCTCATTTAACAAATCAAAAAACTGAAGCTCTGGGAAGGTGAATGTTGCCCAAACTGACAGGTAGTGCAAGTAGAGTTCATTCCTACAGAATGCAAAACAACTGTTATTTCTACTACTTTGAACTGCAAAGAATTGGTAGCTACCCTTAGGCAATCTGTATCTCTCTCTCTCTCTCTCTCTCTCTCTTTTTTTTAGACAATGTCTCACTCTGTCGCCAGACTGGCAATCTCCCCCCTACTGAAATTTCCTGCTTATCATTCCATTCTACATCCTGATTTACTCTAGAACAGTGCTGTCCAATAAAAAGTTTTTCAATGATAGAAATGTTCCATATCTGAACTATCCAACACAGTAGCCACTAACCACAGGTAGCTATTTAACACTTGAAGTATGGCTAATACAAACAAATGAATAAGTTTATTTTATTTTATTCTAGTTATGTAAGTTTAAATTTAAATAGCCACATGTAGAAGTGGCTATCATATTAGTCAGCACTGCTCTAAAAAGGCATAAAAACAATAAAGCAAATCCAGTAGTTATTACAAAACCTGTGTTTACTCCCATTTATTGTGATAATGTAGTAAGACATGAATACAATCAGAAAGTGCCATTAATTTTAACAAACATAGAAATTCACTTGCCTTTTTGAAATTTCATATTGATACATAATTATTGTACATATTTTGGGGGTACATGTGATATTTTGATACACGAACACAATACATAGTAATCTAATTAGGGTAATTAGTATATCCATCAGCTCAAAAATTATTATACCTTTATGTTGGGAGCATTCCAAATCTTTCTTACAGCTATTTTAAAATATGCAATAAATTACTGTTGCATATTTTATCCTAGTCACCCTACTGTTATTAAACACTGGAATGTATTCCTTATATCTACCTGTATGTACGTATCCATTAACCAACCTCTCCTTAACTCCCCTCCACCCTACCCTTCCCAGCCTCTGGTAATCACCGTTCTACTCTGTACTTCCGTGAGATCAATTTTCATATAGTTCCCACATATGAGTGAGTACATGCATTATTTGTCTTTCTGTGCCTGGCTTATTTCACTTAGCATAATGTCCTCCAGTTCCATCTATGTTGCTGCAAATGACAGGATTTCATTCTTTTTTAATGGCTGAAACAATATTCTCTTGTGGATATACCACGTTTTCTTCAGTATTTGATGTTTTCTTTTTATAATAGACAAATAATAATAATTTGCCAATTTAAAAAAGCAACATTTTTTCTATTTTTACTCATTTTTTAATTGACAAATAATAATTGTATTCTCTTCCTTTTTAAAATTGACAAATAATAATTTTATACACTTATGAGGTACAATGTGATTATATATGATGTGATTATATATATACAATGTGATTATATATATATATAAATATGTATATCCATATTTTTGGATGATGGAATCAAGCTAATTAACATATCCATCACCTCACATATTTATCTTTTTTTGTTGTGAGAACATTTGAAATTTATTCTCTTAGCAATTTCAAAATACACAATACATTGTTATTAACTATAGTCATCATGCTGTTCAGTAGACCTTGAAAACTTATAGTATCACCTGTCTAACTGAAATGTACCCTTTGATCAACATCTCCCATTCCCTCCCAACATCACCTCTGGTAACCACCATTCTACTCTCTACTTCTATTAGTTTGACATTTTTTAGATTATGCATGTAAGTGAGATTATGAAGTATTTGCCTTTCTGTGCCTGGCTTATATAACTTAGCATAATGTCCTTCAGGTTCATCCATGTTATTGCAAATGGCAGAATCTCCTTCTTTTTAAAGGCTGACTAGTATTTCATTGTGTGTATATGCCACGTTTTTTATCCATTCATCCACTGATGTATACATAGGTTGATTACATATCTTGGCTATTGTGAATAATGTTGCAATAAACTGGGAATTGCAGATATCTTTTGATATACTCATTTCAATTCCTTTGGGTATGTATACAGAAGTGAGATTGCTGAATCAGATAATACTTGTTTAATTTTTAGCTTTCTGAGTAACCTTCATACTGTTTTACGCAATGGCTGTACTAATTTACATTCCCAACAACAGTGTACAAGGAAGGGTTCCCTTTTCTCCACATTCTTGCCAACACTTATCTTCCATTTTTTAAATAGCCATTCTAACAGGTGTGAGGTAATATATCATTGCGGTTTTAATTTGAATTTCCCTCATGATTAGTACTGTTGAACATTTTTTCATATATCAAAAGAACAATCTAAAGGTATCACACTATCTTATTTTAAAATATCTTACAAAACTATAGTAATCAAAATGGTATGGTACTGGAATTTTTTTAAAAAACACCTAGGCCAATGAAACAGAACAGTGAGCCCAGAAATGAACCCACACATTTACAATAAATTGATATTAACAAAGGTACCAAGAACACATAATTGAAAAAGAACAGTATGTGCAATAAATCGTGTTGAGGGACCTTGGGTATACACATGCAGAAGAATAAAATTGAACCCTTAAATCATAGTATATAAAAATCAACTCAAAATGGATTAAATACTTAAATGTAAGCCTTGAAACTATAAAACTACTAGAAGAAAAAATAAGGGGAAAGCTTTATGACATTTGTCTGAATAATTATTTTTTTGGGTTTAGCCTCAAAGCACTGGCAACAAAAGCAAAATAGACAAACAAGATTGCATTAAACTAAAATCTTCTGCATGGCAAAGAAAACAATCTATAGAGCAGGGGTGTCCAATCCTTTGGCTTCCCTGTGCCACACTGGAAGAAAAAGAATTGTCTTGGGCCACACATAAAATATACTAACACTAATGATAGCTGATGAGCTAAAAGAAAAAAAATCGTAAAAAAAAATCTCATAACGTTTTACAAAAATTTATGAATTTGTGTTGGGCCACATTCAAAGCCATCCTGGGCCACATGCAGCCTGTGGGCCACGGGTTGGACAAGCTTGCAATAGAGTAAAGATACAATGAATGGATTAGGAGAAAAAATTTGTAAACCATACATCTTATAAGAGGTTAGTATCCAAAATACATAAGGAATTCAAACAAACCAACAACAAGAAAACAAGTAACTTGATTTTAAAATGGGCAAAAGAACTAAACAGACATTTCTCAAATGAAAGTATACAAATGGCCAACAAATATGTGAAAAAAAACTCTCTACATCACTAATCATTAGGGAAGTGCATTTTTTCTCTATTCTTGATTCTTATTACAAGGTTAGGATTATTTCAACTGAATTTTGCCACAAGTAAGATTTCCTTTGCCAAAAAAAGCCTTTTTAAATTTCTTGCATTTATGATATTGTGTGTAACACAGCACATATACATACATATCTTTGCAATATTTTATAATGGGGACAAACATAAACTACAGAGTCAGACAGCATGGTTTGATTCTTGCATTGCCAGTTACTGGTCTACTACATCTTGATATCTCACCTTTCATTTTCTTATTTATAAAATACTAAAATAATATTTTTCTTGCAATGTTTTGATGAGGGTTAATCTAGGTAATATATATGTCAAAGTCTCTAGTTCCTAATGCTCATAAATATGCAAATCCAATCTTCACTTACTTTGCCCTATTCATGAAACAAATATAAACCTAATTATGATTATTAATTAAAAGATAATGCTTATGATAGGTCTAGAAACACAGCTAGCATTGATTGGTGCTTATTATGTGCCATACAGCTTACTTAGGTTGTTTAGATACATTAGACATTGAATCCTTATAACTGCATAAGGAAGACATCACTGTTATTTTCATTTTACAGATAAAGAAGTAACTAGAAGGGTTGAGTAACTTGCCTATTTTATTTAACAATAGAGTCAGGATTTGAACCCAGAAAGTCTGATTCTAGAGAATGTGTTCTTTCTCTCTGTATTATACTGATTATTTCTGTACTTAAGAAGGAAACAATAAATAAAAGTATTTCTTTACATTTTTTTGTGGTCAACTGATTTTTCTTTTTTTCATTTTATTTTATTATTATACTTTAAGTTTTAGGGTACATGTGCACAACGTGCAGGTTTGTTACATATGTATACATGTGCCATGTTGGTGTGCTGCACCCATTAACTCGTCATTTAGCACTAGGTATATCTTCCAATGCTATCCCTCCCCCCTCTCCCCACCCCACAACAGTCCCTGGTGTGTGATGTTCCCCTTCCTGTGTCCATGTGTTCTCATTGTTCAACTCCCACCTATGAGTGAGAACATGCAGTGTTTGGTTTTTTGTCCTGGCGATAGTTTGCTGAGAATGATGGTTTCCAGTTTCATCCATGTCACTACAAAGGACATGAACACATCATTTTTTTATGGCTGCATAGTATTCCATGGTGTATATGTGCCACAGTTTCTTAATCCAGTCTATCGTTGTTGGACATTTGGGTTAGTTCCAAGTCTTTGCTATTGTGAATAGTGCCGCAATAAACATACGTGTGCATGTGTCTTTATAGCAGCATGATTTATAATCCTTTGGGTATATACCCAGTAATGGGATGGCTGGGTCAAATGGTATTTCTAGCTCTAGATCCCTGAGGAATCACCACACCGACTTCCACAATGGTTGAACTAGTTTACAGTCCCACCAACAGTGTAAAAGTGTTCCTATTTCCCCACATCCTCTCCAGCACCTGTAGTTTCCTGACTTTTTAATGATCGCCATTCTAACTGGTGTGAGATGGTATCTCATTGTGGTTTTGAGTTGCATTTCTCTGATGGCCAGTGATGATGAGCATTTTTTCATGTGTTTTTTGGCTGCATAAATGTCTTCTTTTGAGAAGTGTCTGTTCATATCCTTTGCCCACTTTTTGATGGGGTTGTTTGTTTTTTCTTGTAAATTTGTTTGAGTTCATTGTAGATTCTGGATAGTAGCCCTTTGTCAGATAAGTAGGTTGCAAAAATTTTCTCCCATTCTGTAGGTTGTCTGTTCACTCTGATGGTAGTTTCTTTTGCTGTGTAGAAGCTTTTTGGTTTAATTAGATCCCATTTGTCAATTTTGGGTTTTGTTGCCATTGCTTTTGGTGTTTTAGACATGAAGTCCTTGCCCATGCCTATGTCCTGAATGGTATCGCCTAGGTTTTCTTCTAGGGTTTTTATGGTTTTAGGTCGAACATGTAAGTCTTTAATCCATCTTGAATTAATTTTTGTATAAGGTGTAAGGAAGGGATCCAGTTTCAGCTTTCTACATATGGCTAGCCAGTTTTCCCAGCACCATTGATTAAATAGGGAATCCTTTCCCCATTTCTTGTTTTTGTCAGGTTTGTCAAAGATCAGATAGTTGTAGATATGTGGCATTATTTCTGAGGGCTCTGTTCTGTTCCATTGGTCTATATCTCTGTTTTGGTACCAGTACCATGCTGTTTTGGTTACTGTAGCCTTGTAGTATAGTTTGAAGTCAGGTAGTGTGATGCCTCCAGCTTTGTTCTTTTGGCTTAGGATTGACTTGGCGATGTGGGCTCTCTTTTGGTTCCATATGAACTTTAAAGTAGTTTTTTCCAATTCTGTGAAGAAAGTCATTGGTAGCTTCATGGGTATGGCATTGAATCTGTAAATTACCTTTGGCAGTATGGCCTTTTTTATGATATTGATTCTTCCTACCCATGAGCATGGAATATTCTTCCATTTGTTTGTATCCCCCTTTTATTTCATTGAGCAGTGGTTTGTAGTTCTCCTTGAAGAGGTCCTTCACATCCCTGGTAAGTTGGATCCCTAGGTTTTTTATTCTCTTTGTAGCAATTGTGAAAGGGAGTTCACTCATGATTTGGCTCTCTGTTTGTCTGTTATTGGTGTATAAGAATGCTTGTGATTTTTGCACATTGATTTTGTATCCTGAGACTGCTGAAGTTGCTTATCAGCTTAAGGAGATTTTGGGCTGAGACAATGGGGTTTTCTAGATATACAATTCATGTCATCTGCAAACAGGGACAATTTGACTTCCTCTTTTCCTAACTGAATACCCTTTATTTCCTTCTCCTGCCTGATTGCCCTGGCCAGAACTTCCAACACTATGTTGAATAGGAGTGGTGAGAGAGGGCATCCTTGTCTTGTGCCAGTTTTCAAAGGGAATGCTTCCAGTTTTTGCCCATTCAGTATGATATTGGCTGTGGGTTTGTCATAGATAGCTCTTATTATTTTGAGATACGTCCCATCAATACCTAATTTATTGAGAGTTTTTAGCATGAAGGGTTGCTGAATTTTGTCAAAGGCCTTTCCTGCATCTATTGAGATAATCACGTGGTTTTTGTCGTTGGTTCTGTTTATATGCTGGATTACATTTATTGATTTGGGTATGTTGAACCAGTCTTGCATCCCAGGGATGAAGCCCACTTGATCATGGTGGATAAGCTTTTTGATTTGCTGCTGGATTCAGTTTGCCAGTATTTTATTGAGGATTTTTGCATCGATGTTCATCAAGGATATTGGTCTAAAATTCTCTTTTTTGGTTGTGTCTCTGCCTGGCTTTGGTATCAGGATGATGCTGGACTCATAAAATGAGTTAGGGAGGATTCCCTCTTTTGCTATTGATTGGAATAGTTTCAGAAGGAATGGTACCAGCTCCTCCTTGTACCTCTGGTAGAATTCGGCTGTGAATCCATCTGGTCCTGGACTTTTTTTGGTTGGTAAGCTATTGATTATTGCCACAATTTCAGAGCCTGTTATTGGTCTATTCAGAGATTCAAGTTCTTCCTGGTTTAGTATTGGGAGGATGTATGTGTCGAGGAATTTATCCATTTCTTCTAGATTTTCTAGTTTATTTGCATACAGGTGTTTATAGTATTCTCTGATGGTAGTTTATATTTCTGTGGGATTGGTGATGATATCCCCTTTATCATTTTTTATTGCGTCTATTTGATTCTTCTCTCTTTTCTTCTTTATTAGTCTTGCTAGCGGTCTATCAATTTTGTTGATCTTTTCAAAAAACCAGCTCCTGGATTCATTAATCTTTTGAAGGGTTTTTTGTGTCTCTATTTCCTTCAGTTCTGCTCTGATCTTAGTTATTTCTTGCCTTCTGCTAGCTTTTGAATGTGTTACCAGTACCACTGAATTGTATTATTGTATTATTTACGTATTATGAGATAAAAGGCTTTTGTGTGGTAAGCCAACCAAAATGTATAACATCATTTCTGAGAAGAAAATATTTTCCAATATCAGCAATCAAAATTCATCTAAGTACCAGAGTCAACTTAAAAATTAATTCTCAGAAAAAAACTCATGAAGCTGGGACTGCACATACTTACCAAAGTGAGATGCACTGAGGTAAAATCTGTGTTTTGATTGATTAAAAATTGTATATCTGCTCAATACATAGTATTTTGTGTTTTTTAGTTCAGATGGGTTTGTTTTCTAGCATTCAACAGCTCCTTTTGCTACATACTAAAACAATACATAAACTCCCTTAACAAATTCTCCTTAGTTAATTAACCTAAAGCATACTGAGAGTAATTAATGGTTTTATTGCAATGAAAGCAACTCTAAATACATTGTTAAATTTAGTAAACCTACATAAATTTAGCTGTTTATTTTTGAGAAATTCTGGATTCTTAAGCCAAATGAGCACAAAGTTTTGTGTGTGCCTATGAGAGAGGAAGAAGGACGAGGGAGGGGGAGAAAGAGAGAGAGACTGTGTTAGAAAGGAGAGTGATGATACAAAGCAAAAGAAAGGAAAAGTTTACAATACAATGGAAAGAGAATTGAAATTCAGGACTGCTGGTTGCTAGACTGGTACTGATTCAGTAATATGTTGGTAGGATCATTGTTTTCTAGGCTCATTAACTTATTCATAAAATAATAAGAGCTACCTCTAAATTCTCTTCCAATTATAGACATCAATGATTGAGATTCATCAAATATTTACTCAACATCTAATGTGTACCAGGCATTGTGCACAAGTGATTTTATTTAAATCTTACAAAAGGGTTTATATTTCAAGCATAAATATTAGTTGGCTAAGCTCACAAAAAATTCTTAGTGGGTTCTGTGCACTTGATTTTGGTTAGAGCCAAAGTTTTCCGTCACACCATTGACGTTAAGCAAGTCACCAAAGCAACCCACTTTATATTAAGCATGGGAAGGCTTAGAAGAATCCTTCATGATTAGGCTCTGAGTTGTCTGCAAGTTATGTTTTGCACAGGGGTAGGGGTGGGAAGATGCACACCTAAGTTCAGTTTAGCATGGAGACCTCTCCCCTCAAAAATGAAAGTTCTTCTTTCAGTTGATAAGACTCCAGTCGCTATATTCTTTCTCTTCAATCTCAGTCATTGTTCCACCTCATTCCTTCCTCTTCAACCCTTAGCCCTATCTAGTTGTCAGAAAGAAAAAATATATGCACTTTGATCTACATTTAGGCAAATGTTTTAGTGGGAGATAAATCATTGATACTGAGAGTATTAAATCATACTTATAGTACAATGTCATGTTTATATGTAGTAGTTTTGTCTCTATTACTCATATAAATATGCATATATGTGTGCATATATAATGTAGGTAATATACTTGTATGCGCAGACCCAGCACATCAAATGGTGAGGCAAGCAAGCTATATGGAGACTGAAACTAGCTCAGAATCTTTGATTAAAAAAATTCCCAACTCTAAAACCTTTTGTAGCACAGCCTACACATTATTTTATTTTACACTCCCAACAATGCTCTGGATTAGATAGAAAAGGTGTTATCTTACTTGAGAGATGCATAAGCAAATAAGGAAGTTGAAGCTAGAGAAACTAAAGGTGAAATGGAAAGGGATAAATGTGAAAACCTTTTAAAATAATCACCAGAGTTGGGTAACTCTATTAGCTATGGATACTGAGAGACTGGAAGTGAAAAAGTTCTGTTTTAAGATTAATTGCTAAGAAAATGAGGACGCTATTGACAGAAAATAGAAACAAATTTCTGTGCGAAAATCCAGCAATTGTTGAAGAAGTTAAATTCACTTTAGGAAAATCCAGCAAGGTGAAATAGTTCATATGCAGCAAGAGGTACTTTACAGTTTATGCTGATGAAGATGACAACTGATGGTCATTTATGAACAGAGATTCATATCAATGCATTCTGTTACTCTGATTATAAATGTTCATGAAGAGAACAGCATTCTATCATGCCCTTTAAATAGCAAAATTATAGCTAGTATAGCTGCACCACCTACTGGGTATCATGAGCACACATTTCTCTTCTCACTGTTTATGTTTCTTCCTCCCAATCTCATTCCCCCAACCTCCTGGAGGCCAAGTCAGACGAGAAGAGAAAAATCATTTTGCCAGAACTATTGGCTTCTGTTTACATTTATCTCATTTGAAGTTTTTATTTCTAATTCAGTAAAAGAAAGATTTTTAAGCAATGCAGAAAATTCCATTGATATCATTGTTCCTCTTCATTAGAGGTTACTGTTAATAACAGATTAATAAAATATCCTTTGGGAAAAAAGTGAATTAATGACTAACAGTTCATGCAGTGGTTTTTGTGCTCTCAAAAGTAAAAGGGTTAATGCCATCTGCCTTCTAGTCCTATTTAGTTTTGCATTAGAAGTATAACCAGCTTGTATTTATAACCATGTGTAATCTTTTAGCTTCCGACCTTTTGTGAGCAGAAGATGAATTTCTAGGTGCTTATTTCACATGGTGATAGGTCGATTGGTTCTGACTCATATTTATGTACTTTCTTCAGCTTCTATTTTGAAAGACTTGCTTTTTTTAAAAAAAGAACTAACTAAAGTTAGGAATATCTGTGGTCATAAAACAGAACAAATGCAACAAACCTATGGAGGAATTAAACCCCAAGACAATGGGCTCAGGAAAACACCTGGCTATTTTTTAAACGATTCAACTGAAAATAGAAATTAGCTCATTTAAATTGCAATGACCTGGATAAGGTTAGAGACTATTATTCTAAGTGAAATAATTCAGGAATGGAAAACCAAACATTTTATGTTCTCACTGATTGTGGGAGCTAAGCTATGAGGACACAAAGTCATAAAAATGGTACAGTGGACTTTGGGGACTTGTGGGGAAGAGTGGGAGGGTTGAGGGATCAGGACAACAAATAGGGTGCAGTGTATACTGCTTGGGTGATGGGTGCACCAGGGTCTCACAAATCTCCACTAAAGAATTTACTTATGTAACCAAATACCACCTGTACCCCAATAACTTATGGAAAAATAAAATTTAAAATAATAATAAAATAAATTGATTTGCAGCAAATAAGCTACCTCATGGGGCTCTGTTACTTTATTCATTTAGCCCTTAGGATTACAAAATCTACATGCATTTCTTTCAGATGCTCAATATTTCTTTATTTAGTAAATTACTTTTAATTATAATAAGACCACATATTTAAGCATTGTTAGTCACATACATTATCTCATTTAGTAGTGTCATCAACACTAAAAGGTATTATTATAGTTAGCTATCTGATGATATAACTAAGGCTTAGAGGGTGTGTCCAGAAAGCAGAGGAATCTAGTTTGGAACCCAGTCTAACACTAAGGTCTAGGAACTGCATTGTAGTTAATGTCAGTAAGAGGGACAAAAAGATGTCAGGAAAATAATTAATAATATAATAATATCATCATACTAACACTTTTTAATCTTTTTTTTACAATATGTACTCACTATGTAAGTTTTAAGAGAACAAATTTATTCTTCCTTCTATAAATTATATCCCTCTAGTTCTGTTGTCCATGTCACTTAGAGTTATCTTGCCCCCTTTGATTATGAATATTGTGGCTACATTTACAAGGCACTGTTAGATTTTATATTTAATGCTAAAATGATCTTCTGCCTTTCTGTACAGATTCACTTTTCTGGAAATAGATTGGTCTTTGCTCTTCAATGTATTGATTTATTCTTTCTTCATAAGCTTTCATCCAGCTTTCAGTGCACTTTATAAAATGACAATATTTCTTTTTCTTTATTTCTTCAAAAAAAAAAAACAGGATACATGTGCAGAACGTGCAGGTTTGTTACCTAGGTATACGTGTGCCATGGTGGTTTGCTGCACCTATTGACCCATCCTCTAAGTTCCCTCCCCTCACCCCCCACCCACCAACAGACCCTGCTGTATGTTGTTCTCCTTCCTGTGTCCATGTGTTCTCAATATTCAACTCTCTCTTATAAGTGAAAGAGATCATGTGATGTTTGATTTTCTGTTCCTGTGTTAGTTTGCTGAGCATGATGGCTTCCAGCTTCAACCATGTCCCTGCAAAGGACATGATCTCATTTCTCTTTGTGGCTGCATAGTATTCCAGGAGGTATAGGTACCACATTTTCTTTATTCAGCCTATCATTGATGGGCATTTGGGTTGGTTCCATGTATAATGACAAGATTTCTATCAGAATTTGTTTCAATGTTTTCTGTCTCATCTGGTAAGCCAAATTCACACAAACATTATTGTCTTTTCCCTCTCCTAAGACGAATGCGCATTTCTAAATGTTGTCCATGTTTCCCTATTTTATCTTGATTGAGTTGTTTTTAATATACAGTTAAATAGTTTTAACTAGGCTATTTGTGAATATTTGGAGTATTCACTTTAGTAAATAATAACATTATGTAATAACCATGTATGATTCTTTAGTTTACAATTAGACCCCATGTAACAATAAGCTCGCACAGCTATTAGACTTAAAAAATAGAGGAAAGAACAAGATAAATCAAAAATAGGTTGAATTGAAATGATACTTGGTTAGAAAAAGGAAAGTATTTTATCACAAGCAAATTCTAGGCTCTATTAAAGAACACTGATCAAGAGCAGTGCTTTACTCACCATTGTCTTCTCAGTGCCTAGCATAATGCCAGATGGATGGAGTTTTGTGAATCAACTACCTTCTCATTTTATAGATGAGAGAATCTACAGTCATGTGATGTGACTTGCTTAAGGTCAGAATTGTTATAAACAGGGAGAGCCAATTGTGGACTTTAGGCTTCCTAATTTCCAACACGGTACTCAGCTCAGTCCCAACACACAAAGGAAAGATTATAATCTGAATCTTCCAGACAAAGTTCATGTTTTCAGGACTATATTAATTCCCTCAGGACTGAAAGTAAGGCCTATTCATCTTACTGCTAAATGAATTAAACTTTTCTGGAAAGTTTCCATAGCTCACTAAATATTTTAATAAATATTTATGTGCTCTGCCATAAGTAAAATAATACATAGGAAGCTTTTTATTATATACATTATTGATATAGTATGCAGTAAACCAAAAATTCTAATCAGTAAAAAGGAACTATACCATGCATTTATTATTCATTTTTTTATTATACTTTAAGTTCTAGGGTACATGTGTGCAACGTGCAGTGTTGATACACAGGTATACATGTATCATGTTGGTTTGCTGCACTCATCAACTCGTCATTTACATTAGGTATTTCTCCAAGTGCTATCCCTCCTCCAGCCACCCACACCCCGACAGGCCCCCATGTGTGATGTTCCCTGCCCTGTGTCCCAGTGTTCTCATCGTTCAATTCCCACCTATGAGTGAGAACATGCCGTGTTTGGTTTTTGGTCCTTGTGATAGTTTGCTGAGAATGATGGTTTCCAGCTTCATCCATGTCCCTGCAAAGGACATGAACTCATCTTTTTATGGCTGCATTGTATTCCATGTGTATATGTGCCACATTTTCTTAATCCAGTCTATCATTGATGGACATTTGGGTTGGTTCCAAGTCTTTGCTATTGTGAATAGTGCCACGATAAACACACGTGTGTGTGTGTCTTTATAGTAGCATGATTTATAATCCTTTGGGTATATACCCAGTAATGGGATGGCTGGGTCAATGGTTTTTCTAGTTCTAGATACTTGAGGAATCACCACACTGTCTTCCACAATGGTTGAACTAATTTACACTCCCACCAACAGTGTAAAAGCATTCCCATTTCTCCACATCTCCTCCAGCATCTGTTGTTTCCTGACTTTTTAACGATCACCATTCTAACTGCCATGAGATGGTATCTCATTGTGGTTGTGATTTGCATTTCTCTGATGACCAGTGATGATGAGCATTTTTTCATGTGTCTGTTGGCTGCATAAATGTCTTCTTTTGAGAAGTGTCTGTTCATATCCCTTGCCCACTTTTTGATGGGGTTGTTTTATTCTTGTAAATTTGAGTTCTTTGTAGATTCTGGATATTAGCCGTTTGTTAGATAGGTAGATTGCAAAGATTTTCTCACACTCTGTAAGTTGCCTATTCACTCTGATGGTAGTTTCTTTTGCTGTACAGAAGCTCTTTAGTTTAATTAGATCCCATTTGTCAATTTTGGCTTTTGTTGCCATTGCTTTTGGTGTTTTATTCATGAAGTCCTTGCCCATGCCTATGTCCTGAATGGTATTGCCTAGGTTTTATTCTAGGGTTTTTATGGTTTTAGGTCTAACATTTAAGTCTTTAATCCATTTGAATTAATTTTTGTATAAGGTGTAAGGAAGGGATCCAGTTTCAGTTTTCTTCATAGGGCAGCCAGTTTCCCCAGCACCATTTATTAAATAGGGAATCCTTTCTCCATTTCTTGTTTTTGTCAGGTTTGTCAAAGAACAGATGGTTGTAGATGTGCGGTGTTATTTCTGAGGGCTCTATTCTGTACCATTGGTCTATATCTCTGTTTTGGTACCAGTACCATGCTGTTTTGGCTATGGTAGCCTTGTAGTATAGTTTGAAGTCAAGTAGCGTGATGCCTCCAGCTTTGTTTTTTTTTGTTGTTGTTGTTGTTTTTTTTGTTTTTTTTTTGTTTTTTTTTTGTTTTGCTTAGGATTGTCTTGGCAATGTGGGCTCTTTTTTGGTTCCATATGAACTATAAAGTAGTTTATTCCAATTCTGTGAAGAAAGTCATTGGTAGCTTGATGGGGATGGCATTGAATCTGTAAATTACCTTGGGCAGTATGGCCATTTTCACGATATTAATTCTTCCTACCCATGAGCATGGAATGTTCTTCCATTTGTTTGTGTACTCTTTTATTTCATTGAGCAGTGGTTTGTAGTTCTCCTTGAAGAGGTCCTCCACATCCCTTGTAAGTTGGATTCCCAGGTATTTTATTCTCTTTGTAGCAATTGTGAATGGGAGTTCACTCATGATTTGGATCTCTGTTTGTCTGCTATTGGTGTATAAGAATGCTTGTGATTTTTGCACATTGATTTTGTATCCTGAGACTTTGCTGAAGTTGCTTATCAGCTTGAGGAGATTTTGGGCTGAGACAATGGGGTTTTCTAGATATACAATCATGTCATCTGAAAACAGGGACAATTTGGCTTCCTCTTTTCCTAATTGAATACCCTTTATTTCTTTCTCCTGCCTGATTGCCCTGTCCAGAACTTCCAACACTATGTTGAATAGGAGTGTTGAGAGAGGGCATCCTTGTCTTGTGCCAGTTTTCAAAGGGAATGCTTCCAGTTTTTGCCCATTCAGTATGATATTGGCTGTGGGTTTGTCATAAATAGCTCTGATTATTTTGAGATACATTCCATCAATACCTAGTTTATTGAGAGTTTTTAGCATGAAGGGCTGTTGAATTTTGTCAAAGGCCTTTTGTGCATCTGTTGAGATAATCATGTGGTTTTTGTCATTGGTTCTGTGTATACGATGGATTACATTTATTGATTTGTGTCTGTTGAACCAGCCTTGCATCCCAGGGATGAAGCTGACTTGATTGTGGTGGTTAAGCTTTTTGATGTGCTGCTGGATTCAGTTTGTCAGTATTTTATTGAGGATTTTTGCATTGATGTTCATCAGGGATATTGATCTAAAATTCTTTTTATCTCTGCCAGGCTTTGGTATCAGGATGATGCTTGCCTCATAAAATGAGTTAGGGAGGATTCCCTCTTTTTCTATTGATTGGAATAGTTTCACAAGGAATGGTACCAGCTCCTCCTTGTACCTCTGGTAGAATTCAGCTGTGAATCTATCTGGTCCTGGATTTTTTTGGTTGGTGGGCTATTAATTATTGCCTCAATTTCAGAGCCTGTTATTGGTCTATTCAGAGATTTGACTTCTTCCTGGTTTAGTGTTGGGAGGGTGTATGTGTCCAGGAATTTATCCATTTCTTCTAGATTTTCTAGTTTATTTGTGTAGAGTTGTTTATAGTATTCTCTGATGGTAGTTTGTATTTCTGTGGGATCAGTGGTGATATCCCCTTTATCATTTTTTATTGTGTATATTTGATTCCTCTCCCTTTTCTTCTTTATTAGTCTTGCTAGCAGTCTATCATCAATTTTGTTGATCTTTTCAAAAAACCAGCTCCTGGATTCATTGATTTTTTGAAGGGTTTTTTGTGTCTCTATCTCCTTCAGGTCTGCTCTGATCTTAGTGATTTCTTGCCTTCTGCTAGCTTTTGAATGTGTTTGCTCTTGCTTCTCTGGTTCTTTTAATTGTAATGTTAGGGTGTTGATTTTAGGTCTTTCCTGCTTTCTCTTGTGGGCATTTAGTGCTGTAAATTTCCCTCTACACACTGCTTCAAATGTGTCCCAGAGATTCTGGTACCTTGTGTCTTTTTTCTCATTAGTTTCAACGAACATTTTTATTTCTGCCTTCATTTTATTGTTTACCCAGTAGTCATTCGGGAGCAAGTTGTTCAGTTTCCATGAAGTTGTGCAGTTTTGAGTGAGTTTCTTAATCCTGAGTTCTGATTTGATTGCACTGTGGTCTGAGAGACAGTTTGTTGTGATTTCTGTTCTTTTACGTTTGCTGAGGAGTGCTTTACTTCCAATCATGTGGTCAGTTTTAGAATAAGTGTGATGTGGTTCTAAGAAGAATGTATATTCTGTTGATATGGGGGTGGAGAGTTATGCAGATGTCTATTAGGTCCGCTTGGTGGAGAGCTGAGTTCAAGTCCTGGATATCCTTGTTAACCTTCTGTCTTGTTGATCTGTCTAATATTGACAGTGGGGTGTTAAAGTTTCCCATTATTATTGTGTGGCAGTCTAAGTCTCTTTGTAGGTCTCTAAGGACTTGCTTTATGAATCTGGGTGCTCCTGTATTGGGTGCATATATATTTAGGATAGTTAGCTCTTCTTGATGAATTGATCCCTTTACCAAGACTTTTTTTAAAAATTTATTTATTTATTTATTTTTTTGACCGAGTCTTGCTCTATCGCCCAGGCTGGAGTGCCGTGGAGCAGTCTTGGCTCACTGCTACCTCTGCCGCCCAGGTTCAAGTGATTCTCATGCCTCAGCCTTCTGAGTAGCTAGGATTATAGGTGCACACCACCATGCCCAGCTTTTTTTTTTTTTTTTTTTTTTTTTAATGGAAACACAGTTTCACCATGTTGGCCAGACTGGTCTCGTACTCCTGACCTCAGGTGATCCATCACCCTGGCTTCTCAAAGTGCTGGGATTACAGGTATGAACCACCAAGGAAGAATTAGCACAACTTTAATACCTAGACTTTTTTTTTTTTTTTTTTTTTTTTTTTTTGAGACGGAGTCTCACACCGTCACTTGGGCTGGAATGCAATGGCATGATCTCGGCTCACGGCAACCTCCGCCTCCTGAGTTCAAGTGATTCTCCTGCCTCAGCCTCCCAAGGAGCTGGGACTACAGGTGCCTGCCACCACGCCCAGCTAATTTTTTTTTTTTATTTATTTTTCACAGAGATGGGGTTTTGCTATGTTGGCCAGGCTGGTCTCCAACTCCTGGCCTCGTGATCCGCCCACCTCAATCTCCCAAAGTGCTGGGATAACGGGTGTGAGCTACCGCGCTCGGCCCCACCACAATTAAAACAATACATAGGGACCTTTGGAAACTTTATATTATATAGATTACTGATACAGTATGCAGTAAACTAAAAATTCTAATCAGTAAAAAGAAATTATACCATGCATTTATTACTCATTATAAAGTTACAAATTCCCTTAACCTTAAACTATACTGAAAACAACAACAAACACAATGCCTGCTTTCTTTCATACCGGAGAAAACTACTTCAATGTTTTGTAGGACTATATTTATCAACATCAAATATAAATTACCTGGCCATGTAAAATAATTACTAGAGAGGTGCAGTTAACAGAATGATGAATAGCAAGGACTACACGCAGGCTTAAGTGTTGCAAATCTCCATGGCATATTTGCTAACCGACACACATTCCTGCAAGCCTCCCATTCTGCCCCAGGCCCTTAGCTGGTTACACCAGCTATACGTCTTTTTCCTAAACACAAAAATTCGTCAAAAAAAAATAACAATAATAATAAAAGCCCACATAAAGGACAGGCTTTTTTGTCTTAGCGTCCTTTTGGTTGACAGCTAAGATCCAGAGGTGACATATGACCAGGCTCTCTCTGATGGATGTAATTGGTAAAAGATACCAGATTAGATTAGTAATTTCAGCCACAGAAGCACCTATGTAAATTACACATGTATATGACTCAACATGGATCTACCTAGGTTGAATAACAATACAAACGTCAGTTCACATCTGTCCCATATGATTTAGAGGGTGATGAGGTGATAGGGAGGGAAAGGTAAAAATGATAGTTTGTTAGAGCTGCCATAACAAAGTATCACAGACTGGGTGGCTTAAACTATAGACATTTATTTTTCCACTGTCTTGGAGGCTAGAAGTCCAAGATCAAAATGTAGGCTGGGTTGATTTTTCCCGAGGCCTCTCTCCTTGGCTTGTAAAAGGCTCCATCCCTCTGGGATCTTCATGTGGCCTTCCCTTCAGGTCTGTGTCCTAATCTCTTCTGATAAAAGCACAGTTATTTTTGGATTACAGACCAGGTGTATGATCTCATTTTACCTGAATTGCCTCTTTAAAGGCCCTATCTTCAAATTCTGTCACAGTGTAAGGTACTGGGGGTTAGGACTTCAACAAAAAAATTTTAGGAGGACATAGTTCAGCAGATAACACAGAGGTTATTTAAAGTCTTTAGATATTGATCTCTTTGATCCAAGTCACCTCATAGATTCCGGGAGCTTCCTGGCACCAAGGATGAATTCTGCTCTAATATGAAGATACAGGTTTCATGGCAAGTGAGAGTGCTACTAAATAAAGGTAGAATTACAACCCCCCACCCCCTACTCCCATATCATTCTAACTCGTTTATTCTTTAGCTGAAAGAAAATTGAGGAAAGTATTTTTCTGCTGGCCTGACTTGAATATTTTACTCCTTTTGTTCATCCCTACTTGGCAGTTTTTTTTCCACTTTCCCTTGCATTTCTACTTCTCTTTTGTCTATCCTTGCCTTACAGGAAACAGTTCATTTCAAAATTATTTCACCTTTTCATTTGTACATAATCTTTGTAACAAGGGACCAAGTTTTTAATGTGCCTAGCACAACACCTACTTCCCACCAAGAGAGCACTCTGTAAATGTCTCATAGTCCTTACACGTTTTATACCATTCAATTCCCAGTAATATTGTTTTCATTTATCATTGCCTATGTAAACCAGATTTTAGCAGCCTCCATGTATATAACTTTTTTAATTTTTTCATATGTCCTTAATGAAAAATGTAAATTTACTGAGGATTTTGTAGATGAGTCCAAAAGGATAATTTGTCTCTCACGGCATAAAATTCCTTTCAACATTTCTTCTGAAGTCAGTTCTGAGGCAATTGCGTGTTTCTCTCTTTTTTAATCTCCTTCTCTCTTTTCTTCTCCCTCTCTACCTTTCCCTGTCTTGCTGCTCCCCCTTGATCCATTTCTCTGATCCAGAAAGACCATTCACCCACACTTTTTAAAGACAAATTTAGAATTGTTCTGACAATTCAAACTGTAGCCCTCTTCCTATAATTCAAATGATTCCAAACTTCCAAATACCTACCCACATCTGTTACCCTATTCAGAAAAAACAAAATATTCTCCATGTACCCACATTTCACTCTCCTTCAAGTCAAAAGGGAATTACAAATAGAAAAATAATGTTTTGTCTTACAAACCATGTTACACAAATGCTTTATTTCTGTAATTCCAATTACATGCTGTAAATCTCTTCAGATTTCTTTCTAATACTATTTTCATTTGTATTTCATTTCAACAAAGATTTCGGGGAGACTTTCTTCTACTACTTTGCTTAAGTTGTAAATTCCAAAGTGCTATGATTTTCTATACACCTATATACTTTACTCAGCATATTTTCAAATTTATGGCTTTGTCGAAATCATTTGTATGCCTCTCAAGCCTGTCTTTAATCTTTTTTTATTTGAAAACATTTAGAACTAGTGGAATAATGCACTGTGATTACTTTATCCCTTTTGATTCTCAGGTATTATCTTCAGATTATTTCTGCTTCATTATTTCATCATTCTCCAGTAAGATGTGGCAGTCTTATATAAATCTCTGCAACAGGAATTTCTAAAGCCTCTTGCTGCACCATCTAAGCCCAGACAAGGAAAATTATTTTTGCTAACACCCTAAAGGAACATACATGCTTTGTATACTAAATCTGCAAAGAAAAACAGCATCATAAAAGACATGAGAACAACACAGAAAACAGTAATTGCATACCTAAAGGGAATAGGAACTCAAATATTAATTAGAATAAGCAACGGGTCCTTCAAATGTTACCCGTGTGGATTAAAAGGCAGACAATCAAGTATGAAATAATTCTCTTCATATAAAGTTTCTCATTAGAAATTAAAAACTGATGAGTGATAGTGAAAGGTTGATATGCCACAGTTAACCTAGATTGAACAAGGTAGTGTGTTTTACTTTAAAACAAAATACCCTGGAGAACTAGAAGTCACTGTTTTATTTACATTATTCAGAATATAAGCCAGGTCTCCATCATCCGAAAACGAGTCTACCTTCTAGCTGTGAGATTTCCTGGAGCATCTCCTAGAAAATTTCATTACCAAGCAAGAAATTTTTGCAAGAAGGACTATGCATAGAGACCTCTGAATCCAGTACTGTGAGGCAATAAGTAAATCAACTTACATTTATTTAGGGATCACTTGTAATACATTGAATGGGAGACCCTATGCCTTAAAATTCAGTTTCTATTGCTCTCTGGTCTTCCTATAAGACTGCCTAGGATTTAGGCAGTCTTGGGCAAGTGATTCAAAAATAAAGGATTTAACCCACACCCTCCTTAAGTCTCATAACCTAAAATGGGACATATAGTTCAGATACGTTTTGCTATAGTCATGTTATCAAATTTTTATATGGCACAAACATGGCTGTTATAGTCTATGATTACAAGCCAAAATAAATTTTGCCATAAAATAAGCAGAAAACTATTTTCCAGCATATGAAGTTGTTAATTAAAAAAAAATAGAGAAAAATCCCAGGGTGTCTATCTTTGCATGATTTAGCAGCATAAATCAGATTCTCTTCTCTCTGAAATATATAGCTTTGCAAATATATTTTGATCCAACTAAAGTACCAGATTACAATAGTTGAGTGGAAAAAAGTTTATAGTTTTATTTGTATAAATTTTAAATACATGTATAAAGCATTAATGTATTTATTTTAAATCTTCTTCACAGGAAGATTTAAATAATACAATATTTAAAATAATGTATCTTAAATCCTCCTGTGAAGAGGAGGATTTAAGATAAATATATATTTTAAAGACTTTGTTATTTAAATTTGTACATTATTTTAAATACATTAGGTAGGTATACTCCAGTTGGAGGACAGGTAGATCCAGGAAATGACCTCGTGGCATTTTCATCTTTTAAATTTTGCCCTCTGATTCATTTTGAGTAGAACTTTAACATGCATTTTATTTTATTTTTGGAAGTGTAGTTTCTTAAAATTGGGTGAATGCCCTTATCCAACCACCTTGACATTAGTCTCCTCTGGGTCTGATAGCTGCTTGCTACTGAGCTCCATAACTCCACAGCAATGCAGTTCTTCTCTGGTACCTGAATAATTCCTAGTATTGAATTTTGGATTCTTTTTTATGTGGGGGTTGGAGGTTCAATTGGCCACATATTTTTGGCTAGACTCACTCTGAACACCTCATCAAGCCTCTCGGCTCACTGCAAGCTCCGCTTCCCGGGTTCACGCCATTCTCCTGCCTCAGCCTCCCCAGCAGCTGGGACTACAGGCACACGCTGCCACGCCTGGCTAATTTTGTATTTTTAGTAGAGACGGGGTTTCACTGTGTTAGCCAGGATGGTCTCGATCTCCTGACCTTGTGATCCGCCTGCCTCAGCCTCCCAAACTGCTGGGATTGCAGGCGTGAGCCACCGTGCCTGGCCTTTCACTGATTTCTATCTTTTCATGTCCTTCATCCACTCATTACCAATATTCTGTATCCTTGGCACTTCCTTCTCAAGAGTAGTCCTCCGTCAATGAAACCATCTGTCTTCTGAACCATGACCTATTTTACTTCACCATGTTCTCTCTTCAAAATGTAAGTATGCTCACATCTCTTTGCCTGCTTCTCTTATCAATCTTTTACACCTTTGATTAATTCGCTGTGGCTTCCAACACACCATTCCACTGAAACCACCCTTGCCAAAGTTACCTTTGACTTCTTTGTTCCTAAATTCATTGGATGTATTCAGTCCTTGGCTAGACTGAAGGAACAGACACCCTTTGATCACTCCCCCTTCGAGAAGTCTCCCTGTCCATGGCATTGGTGTCCTTTCTCTCTGCAGACCATTCCTCTTCAGTAGACTTTTTTGGCTTTTCTTCTTCTAACAACCACTTAAATGCTACTCTTTACCCAAAGTCCCATTCTTTATATTTTTATACTTTCATTTAGGATCTCATTTGGATAATCTCATCTCCCAGGATATCAACACCCTTAAAAATTACTTTCAAATCTACATTTGTATTATGCCCATATCTAGATTTCTCTAGGTTTAGGCCCTGAGCTTGAGATTAAAATTTTATTAACCACCTCTCACTCCAAACCTATGTGTAGTAGACGCTTCAAAGTAAGCTGGTAAAAACTAAATAATAATTTTTGCTCTGAAATGCCTGTTTCCATTTTATAGAATATTCTTAATATCTGTACAGTGGTCCAGACAAAAAATCTGGAAATAATCTATAACTTTTCCCTTTCCTTAATCAATGTTCAATGAATGACAAGGACCTTCAAATTAACTCTAAATGTACTCATATAGTTATTTTCTTCTTTCCTAAGCCTTTTCTCCATTCTTGTTTAGAACTACCTAATTCTTTGTCTGAATTTATAAAAAGCCTCCTGCCTATCTTATATTCCACTCAAATGAAGTCCATTCTAAACTGTCTTCAAAGTATCTAAAATCTGAATTTATGAATACCCTTATTAAAATTCTTTAATGGTTTCTCTGACCTGTAAACACATATTGGCCCTCTATTCTCATCTCCATCCTTATCTCCCAGCTTCTTCATCAGCATACCTTGTAGTACATGGTACATCCCACTCAGCGAAACTATTCGTAATACTAGAAGGAGGCATGAGTTTTGGTTACCTTATTTTCTGTGATCAGAAGACTCGTCCCTGCTTTCCCCCACTGCTTTTCAATTGCTCTCATCACAGACAGCTATTCTTCTAGAAGGACTCTTCAATATCTCCACTTCCTCAGTGTTTCACATTGAGCTTCCACAATACCACATGGAAAACTCTAGCATGTGGCATACAACATTATATAAGTAATGTTCTTTTGTTTAGCTATCTGTTCCAAGAAATTTTACCAAACTGAAGAGCAGGGTCTATGCCTTAGCATTAGATATTCAACAACTCACAAGGTACATAATTCAAGAATGGTATAAATGCTTATAAGATTAATGAATGAATCTGTTTCCTTGGAATCTTTATTTTTTAAAATTTAACTTTTATTTTAGAGACAAGTACATGTGTAGATTTGTTGTATAGGAATATTGTGTGAAGTTGATGTCTGGAGTATGAATCCACATCCCCCAGGTGTGAGCATAGTGCTCAATGGGTAGTTTTTTAAATCCACCCCCACCCTCCAGTAGTCCACGATGTGTATTGTTCCCATATTTATGTCCATGTGTGCTCAATGTTTAGCTCCTACTTATATGCAAGAACATGTGGTATTTGGTTTTCTATTCCTGCATTAGTTTGTTTAGGATAACGACCTCCGGGATCATCCATGTCCCTGCAAAGGACATGATTTCCCTCTTTTTTATGGCTGCATAGTATTTCAAGGTGTATATGGGCATTTTTTAAATTGTACTCTATCATTAATGGGTACCAGGGTTGATCACATGTCTTTGCTATTGTGAATGAATATGCAGTGATGAACGTATGTGTCTTTTAGGTAGAATGATTTATTTTCTTTGGTGTACCCAGTAATGGGAATGCTGGGTTGAATAGCAGCTCTATTTTAAGTTCTTTGAGAAATCTCTGGACTGATTTCCATAGCGGTCATGCTAATTTATGTTCCTACCAATAGTGTTTAAGCCCCCCAACAGTGTTCCCTTTTCTCCACAACCTCACCAGCATCTGTTGCTTTTTGACTGTTTAATAAAAGCCATTCTGACTGGTGTAAGATGATATCTCATTGTGGCTTTAATTTGCATTTCTCTGACAACTAGTGATGCTGAGCATTTTTTATATGTTTGTTGGCCACTTGTATGTCTTGTTTTGAAAAATGTCTGTTCATGTTCTTTGCCCATTTTTAAAATAAGGTTTTTTTTTTTGCTTGTTGATTTAAGTTCCCTATAGATTCCAGATATCAGACATTTGTCAGGTACATAGTTTGTGAATATCCTCCATTCTGTAGGTTGTCTGTTTGCTCTGTTGATAGTTTTTGTTTGCTGTGCAGAAACTCTTTATTTTAATTAGGTCCCACTTATCAACTTAGCAAGTTTTTGTTACTTTGGAGACATTCCTGGAATACAGGGCTGTTTCAATATCTGCAAGTTGATAATTGTGATTCACCACACAACCAGAATCAATAGCACAAATCATATTGTCATGTCAATAAATGCAGAAAAACCTTTTGATAAAAATCCAAAATTTCTTCATGATAAAAACCCTCAACATACTAGAGTTCAAAGGAATACACCTCAAAATAATAAGAGCCATCTGTAACGGACCCACAACCAACATCATATTGAATGGGCAAAAGCTCAAACCATTCTCCTTGAGACCTGAAACAAGACAAGGATGCCGACTCTCACCACTCCTATTCAACATAGTACTGGAAGTCTCAGCCAGAGCAGTCAGGCAAAAGAAGGAAATAAAAGCCATCTAAATAGTGGCCAGGTGCAGTGGCTCATGCCTGTAATCTCAGCAATTTGGGAGGCTGAGGTGGGCAGATCACTTGAGGTCAGGAGTTCAAGACCAGCCTGGCCAACATGGTGAAACCCTGTCTCTACTAAAAATACAAAAATTAGCCAGGCGTGGTGGCAGGTGTCTGCAATCCCAGCTACTCAGGAGGCTGGGGCAGGAGAATTGCTTGAACCCTGGAGGCAGAGCTTGCAGTGAGTTGAGATCGTGCCACTGAACTCCAGCCTGGGTGACAGAGTGAGACTCCGTCAAAAAAAAAATAGGAAGTCACGCTATCTCTCTTCACAGATGATATGATTGTATACCTAGAAAACCCTATAGTCTCTGCTCAAAGACTCCTAAAATTGATAAACACTTTCAGCAACTTTCAGAGAAAGAAATGAAAAGCATCCAAATAGGAAAAGAAGTCAAACTATCTCTCTTTGCAGATGGCATTATTCTCTACGTGAAATATCCTAAAGACTCTGCCAAAAGGCTCCTAGAATTGATAAACAACTTTAGTAAAATTTCAGGATACAAAATCAACGTACAAAAATCAATAGCATTTCTATATACCAGCATTCCAGGCTGAGAGATAAATCAAAAGCACCATCTCACTTACAATAGCCACAAAAAAATAAAATGCCTACAAATACAACTGACCAAGGAGGTGGAAGATCTTTACAAGGAGAACTACAAAACACTGCTGAAAGAAATCAGAGAGGACACAAATAAATAAAAAGCATCTCATGCTCATGGATTGGAGGAATTCAATATCGTAAAAATGGTCACACTTCCCAAAGCAATTTACAGATTCAGTGCTATTCCTATCAAACTACCTGTCATTCCTCACAGAACTAGAAAAACTAGTCTAAAATTCATATGGAACAAAAAAAAAAAAAAAAAAAAAAAAAAAGCCCAAGTCACCAAAGCAATCCTAAGCAAAAAGAACAAATCCAGAGGCATCATACCACCCGACTTCAAACTATGCTATAAAGCCACAGTAACCAAAACAGTTTGGCACTGGTACAAAAGCAGACACCTAGACCAATGGAAGAGAACAGAAAACTCAGAAATAAGCCACACACCTACAACCAACCATCTGAACTTTGTCAAGACTGACAAAAACAAGCCACAGAGAAAGGATTCCCTATTCAACAAATGGTGCTAGGATAACTAGCTAGCCATATGCAGAAGATTGAAGCTGGACTCCTACCTTTCACCATATACAAAAATTAACTTAAAATGGATTAAAGCTTTCAATGTAGGACCTCAAATTATAAACATCGTGGAAGACAATCTAGGAAGTACTCTTCTCAACATCGACCTTGGCAAAGAATTTATGGCTAAGTTCCCCAAAGCAATTGCAACAAAAACACAAATAGAATTATTTTTTCTGATGACAAATGCCCTCAAAGGATGACTAAAAGCCAGTGAAAAAATATTTTTCCTAAACTCATAGACACTGAATTTTTAGGATATTTTATGATTTTTCTCCCATCAATTTTATTTTCTCTATCTACAAGCATCATGACATCTGGTGATATTTTTTTCTCTCCTAATTACCTTCCCCCAGGTGCCTGATAAACACATATTCTTTCAAAATGATACTAGTTAAGTTCATTCCTCTATTTAAGTCATTACTTAAAAAATAATCATTATATATGAAAGTTTACATTTAATATGGAGGGTAGAATATTTCAAAATAAATCAGTTTGCTATACATTTTCTTGCTTGTTTTTCTTAAACCATGACTCAAATGAATTATGATCTTCTAATATTTATGACTCAAATAAACATTAAACGATAATGAATCATTTTGATATTCCAAGTCTGGTTTCCACTTTTGATGAGGCAGCATACACCAATTCTTATGTTTATGAGTTGCTAAAAAGAATAGACTCTGACCAGAAACAGCAGCAATTAATGGGAACTTAACAATAGAAAGATTTTGCTTAGAAGTCCCCCAAAATTAATTTTTTTCTTCTAGTAATGATGAAAACAAATGTTTTATTCTAGAGCTATAGTCTTGGAAAAAGATTTGAGATAGTAACAAAATGAATCAAGTATTATCAAGTACTTTTTATCAAGTATTTACATAATCATGATTAAAATGAAATGTTTTGTATTGATTTAAGATATTATTCTAAGATTTGCATTTGCTTCTCTCTTTCTTTAAATACTTTTTATATCTCTCCTGAAATTCTCGATTTTTTAACTCATTATAACTAACTTTTTCTGTAGATACCTTAATATGTTTATCGTACTTATTTAAAGGTCTTCCCTGCTAATTGTGAAATATATTTGCTCATTTTGTTTCTTGACTATGGATTACATTTTTCTATTTATTCACATGTCTCATAATTTTTTGTTGCTTAGTGAACATTGTGAAGTAGCATATTAAGAGTCTGGATCATATCTTCATCTGAAAAATTCTATGCTTTCTCCTGTAAGTCAGTTAAAATTACTGGTGGGTCATCTCAGATTTGTGGAGGTCTGGGTTTTTTAATTCTTTTAAATTTAATATTATTTTGAAATAAGGTCTTGCTCTGTTTACCAGGTGATAGTGCAGTGGCCTGATCATGGCTCACTGCAACCTGGACCTCCTGGGCTTAATCGACATGCCCACCTCAGCCTCCTGAGTAGCTGGGACTACAAGCACATGCCACCATGCCCCGCTAATTTTTGTATTTTTTGGTAGAGACAGGGTTGTACTATGTTGCTCAGGCTGGTCTCAAACTCCTAGGCTCAAGAGACCTATCTGCCTTGACCTCCCGAAGGTCTGAAATTACAGGCGTGAGCCACTGCGCCTGGCTGAGATTTGGTTTTATATTTTGTTAGGGAAATCTATTTTAGTTTTGCCCTTGGTTTTAGGATAATCTTTTAATCTTTTAATTTTAGGCATAGCATTTAAGCATACACCTGGGAAAATTAGGGTTTCTACTGAAAACAGTTTTTACTGAGGATTTTTCTCTAGTTTGGTGGGACTCAAATGTATACATACAAATACATGCATACATATATATGCACAAGTATAATGTATATGTGTGTGTCTATAGAGAGATAAATATACATGCTACTCTTTACATTGTACAATACTATATATACTATATACTCCATATGTTATTTATGTATATGCTCTGTACATTTGTGATACACAAACACACACACACACACATACACGTATGTACTCTGCCATTATTGGGAGCCAGAATCCCTAAAATTCTTATATTGGAAACATCTTTATAATAATATGTCCTGTCTTTTTTTCTTTGGTTGTCTGTTCTGTGCTGTGTAGTAACCCACAAACTTGTATTAATGTTTCACTTAAAACTTTGCATTCTTCACTATCCTGTCTAGGAGTTTCCTCTAGCACAGGTCATGAATTTCTGACATTACTGACCTGTATGAATCCATAACATTGAATTTTCCACAACATCTGCAGTTTTTCTGACATATTATGGGAAACATTTGAATGCACTGTTATAAAATGTATTTCCGGAATTGTCAAAGCAGAGGATATTACTCTTTCTCAGAAAATATTTATGATCTAAAGGAGTAGATATATAGACAAGCTGTTTTCCTTTATCTCAGATGAAATTTATGAGCCAGTACAAATTGAAATCTTAAATACAAACAAAAAAATATACCGAGATTTCATGCCTTGGTTAATTTTATGCTCTATATATTACAGTTAAGAATTAAATTGCCATTAGAGTCTGTGTACTTTTTTACTGTTTAAGAACATATATTGTCTTTTCATTGTGAAACATATTTTATTAAGTTTTATTTTTCTAATTTTCCAGTACAACTAAAACAAATATCAAGAACAAGACATTTAGTCTTTTTCTTTCTCTGGTAATCATCACAATAGTTTTTTAATAGGAAAGCTATTCAAGGAATATCTATCATCTTGTTATTTTGTGGAAATATGCTATGTTGGAGAAGTAGTAAAGCCATTATAACTATCCAACAATTAGGCTTGCTATTTTTTAAGTTGCAATGAGAAACATGAATCTGATGCCACTTCCCAAAACAAACCCATTTCCCTCTCTCTCTCTCTCTCTCTCTCTCTCTCTCTCACACACACACACACACACACACGATAGCAGGAAATATGGTAAAAGGAAGAGCTGTTTTAACTGCTTTAACTCCTACTAGCTGCATACTTGCTATTATGAAATTTGACAGAAGTATTTGGCCCTCCAGTACTCGGTCTTCATGTTACCCATGGTCCCTCAGCTCACGACCATGGTCTTCTCTTGCCTTTACAAATACATTCATAGGACGGGCGCGGTGGCTCACGCCTGTAATCCCAGCACTTTGGGAGGCCGAGGTGGGCGGATCACGAGGTCAGGAGATCGAGACCATCCTGGCTAACACAGTGAAACCCTGTCTCTACTAAAAAATACAAAAAAATTAGCCAGGCGTGATGGCGGGCGCCTGTAGTCCCAGTTACTCAGGAGGCTGAGGCAGGAGAATGGCATGAACCTGGGAGGCGGAGCTTGCAGTGAGCGGAGATCGCGCCACTGCACTCCAGACTGGGTGACAGAGCAAGACTCTGTCTCAAAAAAAAAAAAAAAAAAAAAAAAAAAACACATTCATAATCAACTTAGGTTATAGTGCTAATGATTTAAAATATGATTATAAATTAGCAAGATCATGAAAATGAAGTAAAAATGAATATCTTACTGAATATTGAATATTGAATGAATATCAAGCCCAGAGTATGTTGAGTTTGGCATTCACATTTTCATTTAGTCTTCATAATCCCCTGAGTGATGAGTGTTCTCATCTCTTCTTCACTAATAAGACTATTGTGTCCTTGGGCAAATTACTTAATCTTTCTGAACATCAATATTCTTACTATATCCAATATACTAACGTAGTCTAGATTTAAATCAAATTTTGTAACTTTAATGCTCTTAGCACTGCAGTACACTACTGTGCAATGAAGACTGAAAGGTTTGACTGTAACCATTCCATGAAGAGCATGAGCTTAAACATATACCACTGCTCAACCATTTAATGATTCATTTAAAGCCTTTGCCTCAACACTAAATGGAACCAAGTTAATAAAACCTAGACCTTAGAATATCAAGGAAAAAAAAATCTGTCAGTTTTTTGGCTTTACTACTTCTCCAACATAGCATATTTCCACAAAATAACAAGATGATAGATATTCCTTGAATAGCTTTCCTATTAAAAAACTATTATGATGATTACCAGAGAGAGAAAGAAAAAGACTAAATGTCTTGTTCTTGATATTTGTTTTAGTTGTACTGGAAAATTAGAACTCAAAGGGAAAGTCTAGAAAGTAATAGAACTAAACATTCATAAATGAACATTTGAGAATATATCTTAAATTTATTTTTGCTAAGGACTAAATTGTACATCACCAAAATTCATATGTTAAAGCCATAACACCCATTATAACCGTGTGTGTAAATGAGGTCTATAAGGAGGTAAAGTTAAATAAGGACATAAAAATGGGATCCTTATACAATAGAATGAGTATCCCTATAAGAGGAGATGCCAGAGTTCTCACTCATTCATTCTCTTTCTGTCTCTGCCTCACTCTTTCTCTCTCTTTCTCCCCTTCTCCACTCCCTCTCCTCCTGTACCAAAAAAAAAGAGGTAATGTGAGCACATAGTGAGGTGGTAGCCACCTACAAGCCAGGAAGGAAGCCTTCACCAAAATGTAACCATGCTGGCACCCTGATCTTAGACTCTCAGCCTAAAGAACTGTGAGAAAATAAATGTCTGTTGTTTAAGCCACCCAATCTATATGTTGTTATGACAGTCTAAGCTAAGACAATTTTCATTTTATTACCAGCTATTAAAATACAATATTAGTCTTGCACGGTGGCTCATGCCTATAATCCCAGCACTTGGGGAGGCCAAGGTGGGCAGATCACAAGGTCAGGAGATCAAGACCAGCCTGGCCAATATAGTGAAACCCCGTCTCCACCAATAGTACAAAAAAAAAAAAAATTAGCCGGGCGTGGTAGCGCACACCTGTAATCCCAGCTACTCGGGAAGTTGAGGCAGGAGAATCGCTTGAACCTGGAAGGCAGAGGTTGCAGTGAGCAAGATGGCAGTTTTCCCTAAGTAATGCTTAAAAGCATTATTTTAAATAATTTTCACACAACCTTATGAGGTTAGCCTCATTTTATAGGTATGTGAGAAAGCTGAGGCTTTATCACACAGATATTTACTAGCAAGGTTGGGACTAGAATTCTTATCACCTGGCTCTTAGTCCTTCTTTTTAATCACAACGCCTATGTTATTATACTAAAAAGTAAGCACTTTGCCTATACAAAGACTTATTTTCACCAGCACTATATACGACAGCTAAAATATAACTAGTATATTGACCATTTTTGCACATTACAAAACTATCCGTATATTATTAATTAGATTTGCAATATAGAAAGAGACTCTAAAGGGAAACTTTATAACACTCTCTCAGAAGCCCATATGATGTTTAAGCTGTTTTTTATCTAGGGCATCACAACTCCAAACCATGTATGAGAATACCAATCTTTCACTTTGTACCATTCATCTATTTATATATTCATTTATTCATTTATTTAAAAGAGGGTTATCATGTGCTCTGGGTATTCTTCTAAGCACTGGAGAGAGAGAGAAATGCAAAACACAGCTTCCCAGGCCAGGCTCTGTGGCTCACGCCTGTAATCCCAGCACTTTGGGAGGCCAAGGTGGGCAGATCACCTGAGGTCAGGAGTTTGAGACCAACCTGGCCAACATGGCGAGATCCCAATCTCTACTAAAAAACACAAAAATTAGCTGGTGTGGTGGTGCACACCTGTAGTCCCAGGTACTCAGAAGGCTAAGGCACAAGAATCACTTGAACCAGGCGGAGGTTGCAGTGAGCCAAGAGCAAGCCACTGCACTCCAGCCTGGGTGACAGAGCGAGGCTGTCTCAAAAAATAACCACAAGAAAAAAAAAAAAGAACTTCATGGGATTTGCATTTAAGCAGGGCAAAGATAACCCCTAAATAAACAAGAGAGTAACAAATTACACTGGAAAAGCTGAAGGAAATAAGCCATGAAAGAGAATAATTGCAATCGGAGTTGTTTTCAACTAGGGTGGTAGGAAATGACTGTTGGAGTGATATTCTAGCTGAGTTCTTATCAATAAGAACAAATAAAGCACACAAAGAATTAGGAGAAGAGCACTCCAGGCAAGAAAGACAACATAAGCAATGCCTGAAGTAGGAAAATTATTGATGTTTTTAAGGATCAGAAAGAAGTCAGGATGTTGGGGCATAAAGAACCAATGGGAGTATGTAATGGGTGAGACTGGAGAACACGGCAGCAAAATATAACAGAAGCTTTGAATGTTCAGTTTTATTTCAGATACAATAAGAAAATTATTTTAAGTAGAGGGTAATCTATTTTACATTTTTTAAAAAGTTACTGTATCTGCTATTTGGAAGCAGAGGCCAATTAGATGGTTATCGCATTTGTTTAGGAGAGAGACAACAATGCTTTCTCAGAGGTTATAGTAGTAGAGATGACAAGATATTAAAAGATATAAGACTTATTTTGATGTCTTGGTCAATAGGATTTGCCAAGTGATTGAATGGGGCAGTGAAAATGAGGAAAACCAAAGAAACAACCATGACTTATAAGTGTCTGTCTCTGGCAGTCAGATAGATGATGATGACACTTACTGAGGTGTGGATGTTCACAAGAAGAATGTAGCTTTTAGAGGGGCAAAAAAGTAAACTTTTTTATTGGCCTTTTGCTCCAGAATCATTCTCCTCTACTTCTTGATGCCATGTCTGTGTTAAAAAAAAGGAAATGCTTGTCTACTAGACAGTTTAACTATAATTGAAACATAATTAGCTGGCACCTCCAATATGTACAGATTGCATTAGTTCAAAAGAGGTAATGCATGTGGCACAGAGCCTTGCACATAAAAGGTCTCCAACAAATTTTACTCCCCCTCTGCCTTAGGAGGCAACTGTGTGTACCTTACTTTTGCTCTTTAAGGTGTTAATTAGTTATTAATTATCACCAACAGCAAACTCTCTAAAAAAGAAATTAAGAAATCAATCCCACTTACAATAGCTACAAAAAAATAAAGTAACTAGGACTAAACTTAACCGAGGAGATGGAAGATCTCTACAATAAAAACTATGAAACATTAACAAAAGCAACTAAAGAGGACACTAATAAGTGGAAAAATATCCCATCTTCTTGGACTGGAAGAATTAATATTGCTAAAATATCCATACTACCCAAAACAATTTACAAATTCAATTCAATCCCTATCAGAATACCAATGAAAGTGTTCACAGAAATAGGAAAAACAATCCTAAAATTTTCATGAAATTATAAAAGACCCTGAATAGCTAAAGCAAGCTTGAACAAAAAGGACAAAGCTGGAGGCATTACACTACCCGACCTTAAAATATACTAAAAACAAAAATAGTGAAAGCAGCATGATACTAGCCTAAAAACAGACACATATACCGATGGAACAGATTAGAGAACCCAGAAATAAATCCACACTTTACACCCGACTGATTTTTAACAAATGCACCAAGAACACACATTGGGGAAAGGACAAGCCCCTAAATGGGGCTAGGAAAACTGGTTATGCATATGCAGATGGATGGAACTAGACCTCTGTTTTTCAACACTTACAAAAATCAACTCAAAATGGATTAAAGATATAAATGTAAGACCCAAAACTATGAAACTACTAGACAAATTTATGGGGAAATGCTTTATGACATTGATCTGGACAAGGATATTTTGAATAAGACCTCAAAAGCAAGAGAAATAAAAGCAAAAATAGGCAAATAAGATGATGACAAACTAAAAAGCTTTTGTACAGCAAAGGAAATAATCAACAGAGTGAAGGGACAATCTACAGAATTGGAGAAAATATTTGCAAACTATGCCTCTGACAAGTAGTTAATATCCAGACTATATAAGGAACTCAAACAACTCAATAGCAAAAATAATAGTAATAATAAAATTTAAAAATGGATAAAGGATCTGAGTAGACATTTCCCAAAAGAAGACATACAAAGGACTAACAGGTATATGAAAAACAATGCTCAACATCACTAATTATTAGAGAAACACAAATTAGAATCACAATGAGATATAATCTCATCCCAGTTAGAATGGCTATTATGAAAAAGACAAAAAATAACAAATGCTGGCAAAGGTGCACAGGAAAAAGAACTCTTATACACTATTGGAGGGACAAACTGTAAACTAGTACAGCCTTTATGGATAATAACATGGAAGTTCCTCAAAAAATTAAAAACAGAACTACCACATAGTCCAGCAATTCCATTACAAGGTACATACTCAAAAGCAATGAAATTAGCATGTTGAAGAGATACCTGCACTCCTATATTTATTGCAGCACTAATCACAATAGCCAAGAAGTGGAATCAACCTAAGTGTCCACCAAGAGATGCATGGTTAAAGAAAATATGGTTATATACGCAATACAATGCTAGTTAGTCATAAAAAATTATTTTTTATGATTTGTAACAGTTTCCATGAACCTAGAGGACATTATGTTAAGCCAACCACAGAGGAACAAACACCACAAGATTTCAGTCATATGTAGAATCTAACAAAGTTTACCTTATAGAAGAAGTGAGTGGTTACTTCTCACTAATCACTAGTAGAATAGTGGTTACCAGAGGCTGAGGAGAGTGGCAGGAGAGGGGATGGGGAGAGGTTGGTCACCAGGTACAAATTTACAGTTCGATAGGAAGAATAAGTTACCATGTTCTATTACACAGTAGGTTGTCTATAGTCAACAATAATGTATTGTACACTTCAAAATAGCTAAAAGAAAGGATTTTGAATGTTCTCACTACAAAGAAATGACAAATGTTTGAGATAAGTATTCTGTTTACCCTGATTTGATCATTTCATTATATATGTATTGAAACACACTACCCCACAAATAATGTACAACCATTATCTGTTAATTATAAACAAAATAAAACATAAAAATAAAAGACCAAATGTACTTTTATGTTGCTCCTTTTTGAGTTATTTCTTATAATAAAAAGCAGTTTCTTTCTTTTTGCATTGCTGATATTGAGGGAAGACAGCAAGAGCTTCTATAACATATATTTTGAATTATATTTGCTTTAGGGTGTAAATAAATCACACTAACACAATATTACATCCTACAAAAACATTTGTGTATGGAAATAATTTTGTGGCCACTGTTGAAATAGAATGCAGTGAATAAGGCCAACAAATATCTATCTTTTTCTATTAGTAGCTTATCACTAATAATTCCACAGCATAATGAAGCCTGTGCTATGATATTCATTACACTGTGTAGTTCCCTATTACACACTTCATATTTTTGGCCACCCTAGAGGCAGCCCAATTTCTGAGCACTTTCAATTTTATATGAAATATGTATGATTTAGGGAAGAATACACTGTTTTCTAATCAAATTAATTCCTCATCTATTTAGCTAATGACATTGCCTCAGGCTCTATTAATTTATTGATTTTACAAATATTTATTCAGAATGTTCTATGTGCTACCTTGTTTGTAGGCACACTGAGCACTAGTTATTAAGAAACTAGGAGACAATAGATGAAATTAGATTTCTGACCATGTAACTTACTTACAAATCCATTTGATATACTCTCTACAATCATACCTTTTTATTACAATGAAGAAATGTCCACCTCCCCAAAGTTTGCAGAATCCATTTGCTCATACTCTGTTAGAAAGCATAAGCCTTCGGTTGTACTTGGCGACCTATAGGCTTATTCCAATAGCATTCAAACACCTTTCAGTATGTTTAATTTTAGAAAATTATCTTTTGATCCTCCACCCAGCTTCCAATCTATGTCCCTCCATTATAACCAATGAAAACATCCATAATTCTTTTTTTATTTCAGATTCACGGGGTACATGTGCAAATTTGTTTCATGGGTATATAGTGTGATGCTGAGATTTGGGGTCTGGATTCTATCACCCAGGTAGTGAGCACAGGACCCAATAGGTAGTTTTTCCACCTATGCTCCCCTTTCTCCTGCCTCTAGTAGTCTACAGTATCTATTGTTCCTACTTTTATGTCCATGCGTGCTTAATGTTTAGCTTCCACTTATAAGTGAGAACAAGTGGTATCTCGTTTTCTATTTCGGTTTTAATTCATTGAGGATTATGGCCTCCAGCTGCATCCATGTTGCTGCAAAGGACATGATTTTATACTTTTATGGCTATGTAGTTTCCCATGGTGTATATGAACCACATTTTCTTTATCCAATCTATTATCGATGAGCACCTAGGTTAATCCCATGCCTTTGCTATTGTGAATAGCGTGGTAACGAACATATGAGTGCGTGTGTCATTTTGATAGAATGATTTATTTTCTTTTAGGTATGTATCCAATAATATTTCATTCACACTTTAAACCTTTCCATTTAGATTTTGACTGCACAATTCCACCACAGGTACTCTGGTTCAGTTCAACCACTAGTCTCCATGGAAACGATCATTTCTTATCTTACTAAAACTTTGAGCAACATTCTACAGGACTGGCAATCCCTCCTAAAGGAGAGGAAAACCCTGTAGTGATGTTTCTGACCACGTTATAGCAGTTTTCTTGCCAAACACTGCTTGTTCCTGATATCCTTTCCAGCCCTTTGTCTCTATCTGACTGACTTCAAAATGTCTGACTTATTTGGGGCTTAATCTAGACCACTTCTCACTCTCTATTCTCTGAGTAATTTCATTCATTCCCATGGCATTAAATATCATCTAAAATGTATATTTGAAGTCAATATTCTCTATATGTTCAATCTAAGTATACAATAGATTAAGTACACAAAAACAACTGTATTTCTTTCTTAAGCCTATATTATCACATGGCTCAAATAGCTATTCTTTCCAAACATCCAGCCTGCTAGAGACAAAAACTAAGAGCAATAAAGATTATTTTAATTTAAATATAAAATATTTAAAAGTATTTTTGTTTTATTTATTTTAAATAATATTTTTGAATTCTTATTATGAGCATAATAACACTAAACACTGGTAAGATAAAAATAAATACATAATGCTTCCTGCAATTCAAATGTTCATAAACTGAGTCTGAAAATCAGATACCTTCAAAAGTCAAAAGATACCTTCAAAATTCAAAACTCAAAAACTATGCTAATTTCTAGGGGCACAAAATGAATAATGCATAGGCAATGATATGGACTAAAAGAAACAAAAACATGCTTAACAATACCGCATATCTGTTACAAAAGATAAGTATGATTTGCTAAGTCTAATTAAGAATTATTATCTCTTGAGATAATCATGTGGTTTTTGTCCTTGGCTCTGTTTATATGCTGGATTACATTTATTGATTTGCGTATATTGAACCAGCCTTGCATCCCAGGGATGAAGCCAAAATTCAACAACCCTTCATGCTAAAAACTCTCAATAAATTAGGTATTGATGGGATGTATTTCAAAATAATAAGAGCTATCTATGACAAACCCACAGCCAATATCATACTGAATGGGCAAAAACTGGAAGCATTCCCTTTGAAAACTGGCACAAGACAGGGATGCCCTCTCTCAACACTCCTATTCAACATAGTGTTGGAAGTTCTGGACAGGGCAATTAGGCCGGAGAAGGAAATAAAGGGTATTCAATTAGGAAAAGAGGAAGTCAAATTGTCCCTGTTTGCAGATGACATGATTGTATATCTAGAAAACCCCACTGTCTCAGCCCAAAATCTCCTTAAGCTGATAAGCAACTTCAGCAAAGTCTCAGGATACAAAATCAATGTACAAAAATCACAAGCATTCTTATACACCAACAACAGACAGAGAGCCAAATCATGAGTGAACTCCCATTCACAATTGCTTCAAAGAAAATAAAATACCTAGGAATCCAACTTACAAGGGATATGAAGGAGCTCTTCAAGGAGAACTACAAACCACTGCTCAGTGAAATAAAAGAGGATACAAACAAATGGAAGAACAGTCCATGCTCATGGATAGGAAGAATCAATATTGTGAAAATGGCCATACTGCCCAAGGTAATTTACAGATTCAATGCCATCCCCATCCAACTACCACTGACTTTCTTCACAGAATTGGAAAAAACTACTTTAAAGTTCATATGGAACCAAAAAAGAGCCCGCATCGCCAAGTCAATCCTAAGCCAAAAGAACAAAGCTGGAGGCATCACACTACCTGACTTCAAACTATACTACAAGGCTACAGTAACCAAAACAGCATGGTACTGGTACCAAAACAGAGATATAGACCAATGGAACAGAACAGAGCCCTCAGAAATAATGCCACATATCTACAACTATCTGATCTTTGACAAACCTGACAAAAACAAGAAATGGGGAAAGGATTCCCTATTTAATCAATGGTGCTGGGAAAACTGGCTAGCCATATGTAGAAAGCTGAAACTGGATCCCTTCCTTACACCTTATACAAAAATTAATTCAAGATGGATTAAAGACTTAAACGTACGACCTAAAACCATAAAAACCCTAGAAGAAAACCTAGGCATTACCATTCAGTACATAGGCATGGGCAAGGACTTCATGTCTAAAACACCAAAAGCCATGGCAACCAAAGACAAAATTGACAAATGGGATCTAATTAAACTAAAGAGCTTCTGCACAGCAAAAGAAACTACCATCAGAGTGAACAGGCAACCTACAAAATGGGAGAAAATTTTCACAACCTACTCATCTGACAAAGGGCTAATATCCAGAATCTACAATGAACTCAAACAAATTTACAAGAAAAAAACAACCCCATCGAAAAGTGGGTGAAGGACATGAACAGACACTTCTCAAAAGAAGACATTTATGCAGCCAAAAAACACATGAAAAAATGTTCATCATCACTGGCCATCAGAGAAATGCAAATCAAAACCACAATGAGATACTATCTCACACCAGTTAGAATGGCAATCATTAAAAAGTCAGGAAACAACAGGTGCTGGAGAGGATGTGGAGAAATAGGAACAGTTTTACACTGTTGGTGGGACTGTAAACTAGTTCAACCATTGTGGAAGTCAGTGTGGCAATTCCTCAGGGATCTAGAACTAGAAATACCATTTGACCCAGCCATCCCATTACTGGGTATATACCCAAAGGACTATAAATCATGCTGCTATAAAGACACATGCACACGTATGTTTATTGCCGCATTATTCACAATAGCAAAGACTTGGAACCAACCCAAATGTCCAACAATGATAGACTGGATTAAGAAACTGTGGCACATATACACCATGGAATACTATGCAGCCATAAAAAATGATGAGTTCATGTCCTTTGTAGGGACATGGATGAAATTGGAAATCATCATTCTCAGTAAACTATCGCAAAAAAAAGCCAAACACCACATATTCTCACTCATAGGTGGGAATTGAACAATGAGATCACATGGACACAGGAAGGGGAACATCACACTCTGGGGACTGTTGTGGGGTGGGGGGAGGGGGGAGGGATAGCATTGGGAGATATACCTAATGCTAGATGACGAGTTAGTGGGTGCAGTGCACCAGCATGGCACATGTATACATATGTAACTAACCTGCACAATGTGCACATGTACCCTAAAACTTAAAGTATAATAATAAAAAGAAAAAAAAAAGAATTATTATCTCTCTAATGACCAGTGATGATGAGCTTTCTTTCATATGTTTGTTGGCCACATAACTGTCTTGTTTTGAGAAGTGTCTCTTCATATCCTTTGCCCACTTTTTGATGGTGGTGTTTTTTTTCTTGTAAATTTGTTTAAATTCTTTGTAGATTCTGGATATTAGCCCTTTGTCAGATGGATACATTGCAAAAAAATTCTCCCATTCTATAAGTTGCCTGTTCACTCATGGTAGTTTCTTTTGCTGTGCAGAAGCTCTTTAGTTTAATTTAGATCCCATTTGTCAATTTTGGCTTTTGTTGCCATTGCTTTTGGTGTTTTAATCATGAAGTCTTTTCTCATGTCTACATCCTGAATGGTGTTGCCTAGGTTTTCTTCTAGGGTTTTTATGGTTTTCGGTCTTATGTTTAATTCTTTAATCCATCTTGAATTAATTTTTGTATAAGGTGTAAGGAAGGGATCCAGTTTCAGTTTTCTGCATATGGCTAGCCAGTTTTCCCAGCACCATTTATTAAATAGGGAATCCTTTCCCCATTGATTGTTTTTGTCAGGTTTGTCAAAGATCAGATGGTTGTAGATGTGTGGTGTTATTTCTGAGGCCTCTGTTCTGTTGCATTGGTTTGTATATCTGTTTTGGTACCAGTACCATGGTGTTTTGGTTACTATAGCCTTGCAGTATAATTTGAAGTCAAGCAGCCTGATGCCTCCGGCTTTGTTCTTTTAGCTTAGGATTGTCTTGGAGATATGGGCTCCTTTTTGGTCCCATATGAAATTTAAAATAGTTTTTTCTAATTCTGTGAAGAAAGTCAATGGTAGTTGATGGGGATAGCATTGAATCTATAAATTACTTTGGGCAGTATGGCCATTTTCAAGATACTGATTCTTCCTATCCATGAGCATGGAATGTTTTTCCGTTTGTGTCTTCTCTTATTTCCTTGAGCAGTGGTTTGTAGTTCGGTGATCATTAAAAAGTCAGGAAACAACAGTTGCTGGAGAGGATGTGGAGAAATAGGAATGCTTTCACACTGTTGGTGGGAATATAAATTAGTTCAACCTTTGTAGAAGACAGTGTGGCAATTCCTCAAAGATCTAGAACCAGAAATTCCATTTGACCCAGCAATCCCATTACTGGGTATATACCCAAAGGATTATAAATCATTCTACTATAAAGACACATGCACACGTATGTTTATTGCAGCACTGTTCACAATAGCAAAGTCTTGGAACCAACCCAAATGCCCATCAATGATAGACTGGATAAAGAAAATATGGCACATATACACCATGGAATACTATGCCGCCATAAAAAAGGATAAGTTCGCCCAGCGTGAGCAACGCAGAAGACGGGTGATTTCTACATTTCCAACTGAGGTACCGGGTTCATCTCACTGGGGAGTGCCAGACAGTAGGTGCAAGACAGTGGGTGCAGCGCACCGTGCACGAGCCAAAGCAGGGCGAGGCATAACCTCACCCGGGAAGTGCAAGGGGTAAGGGAATTCCCTTTCCTAGTCAAAGAAAGCAGTGACAGGCAGCACCTGGAAAATCGGGTCACTCCCACCCTAATATTTCGCTTTTCCAATGGGCTTAAAAAATGGCACACCAGGAGATTATATCCCGCACATGGCTAGGAGGGTCCTACGCCCATGGAGTCTTGCTCATTGCTAGCACAGCAGTCCGAGATCAAACTGCAAGGTGGCAGCGAGGCTGGGGGAGGGGCACCTGCCATTGCTGAGTTAGTTGTATGATTAGGTAAACAAAGCAGACAGGAAGCTCGAACTGGGCAGAGCCCACCACAGCTCAAGGAGGCCTGCCTGCCTCTGTAGGCTCCACCTCTTGGTGTAGGGCACAGACAAACAAAAAGACAGCAGTAACCTCTGCAGACTTAAATGTCCCTCTCTGACAGCTTTGAAGAGAGTAGTGGTGCTCCCAGCATGCAGCTTGAGATCTGAGAATGGGCAGACTGCCTCCTTAAGTGGCTCCCTGACCCCCGAGTAGCCTAAATGGGAGGCACCCTCCAGTAGGGCTGGACTAACACCTCACATGGCCTGGTACTCCTCTGAGACAAAACTTCCACAGGAACGATCAGACAGCAGCATCTGCGGTTCACCAATATCCGCTGTTCTGCAGCCACTGCTGCTGATACCCAGGCAAACAGGGTCTGCAGTGGACCTCTAGGCAAACTCCAACAGACCTGCAGCTGAGGGTCCTGTCTGTTAGAAGGAAAACTAACAAACAGAAAGGACATCCACATCAAAAACCCATCTGTACGTCACCATCATCAAAGATCAAAGGTGGATAAAACCACAAAGATGGGAAAAAAAAAAAAGAGCAGAAAAACTGGAAACTCTAAAAAGCAGAGCACCTCTCCTCCTCCAAAGGAACACAGCTCCTCACCAGCAACGGAACACAGCTGGATGGAGAATGACTTAGAGGAGTTGAGAGAAGAAGGCTTCAGACAATCAAACTACTCCAAGCTACAGGAGAAATTCAAACCAATGGCAAAGAAGTTCAAAGCTTTGAAAAAAAATTAGACAAATGGATAACTAGAATAACCAATGCAGAGAAGTCCTTAAAGGACATGATGGAGCTGAAAACCAAGGCACGAGAGCTACGTGACGAATGCAGAAGCCTCAGTAGCCGATGCGATCAACTGGAAGAAAGGGTATCAGTGATGGAAGATGAAATGAATGAAATGAAGGGAGAAGAGAAGTTTAGAGAAAAAAGAATAAAAAGAAATGAACAAAGCCTCCAAGAAATATGGGACTATGTGAAAAGACCAAATCTACGTCTGATTGGTGTACCTGAAAGTGACGGGGAGATTGGAACCAAGTTGGAAAACACTCTGCAGGATACTATCTAGGAGAACTTCCCCAATCTAGCAAAGCAGGCCAACATTCAAACTCAGGATATACAGAGAACACCACAAAGATACTCCTCAAGAATAGCAACTAAAAGACACATAATTGTCAGATTCACCAAAGTGGAAATGAAGGAAAAAATGTTAAGCGCAGCCAGAGAGAAAGGTCAGGTTACCCACAAAGGGAAGCCCATCAGACTAACACCTGATCTCTCAGCAGAAACTCTACAAGCCAGAAGAGAGTGGAGACCAATATTCAACATTTTTAAAGAAAAGAATTTTCATCCCAGAATTTCATATCCAGCCAAACTAAGCTTCATAAGTGAAGGAGAAATAATATCCTCTACAGACAAGCTAATGCTGAGAGATTTTGTCACCACCAGGCCTGCCCTAAAAGAGCTCCTGAAGGAAGCACTAAACATGGAAAGGAACAACCAGTACCAGCCATTGCAAAAACATGCCAAATTGCAAAGACCATCAAGGCTAGGAAGAAACTGCATCAAATATCGAGCAAAATAACCAGCTAACATCATAATGACAGGATCAAATTCACACAAAATAATATTAACTTTAAATGTAAATGGGCTAAATTCTCCAATTAAAAGACTCAGACTGGCAAATTGGATAGCGTCAAGACCCATCAGTGTGCTGTATTCAGGAAACCCATCTCACATGCAGAGACACACATAGGCTCAAAATAAAGGGATGGAGGAAAATCTACCAAGCAAATGGAAAACAAAAAAAGGCCATTACATAATGGTAAAGGGATCAATTCAACAAGAAGAGCTAACTATCCTAAATATATATACACCCAATACAGGAGCACCCAGATTCATAAAGCAAGTCCTTAGCGACCAACAAAGAGACTTAGACTCCACACAATAATAATGGGAGACTTTAACATCCCACTGTCAACATTAGACAGATCAACGAGAGAAAGTTAACAAAGATACCCAAGAATTGAACTCAGCTCTGCACAAAGCTGACCTGATAGACACCTACAGAAATCTCCACCCCAAATCAACAAAATATGCATTCTTTTCAGCACCACACCACACCTACTCCAAAACTGACCACATAGTTGGAAGTAAAGCACTCCTCAGCAAATGTAAAAGAACAGAAATTATAACAAACTGTCTCTCAGACCACAGTGCAATCAAACTAGAACTCAGGATTAAGAAACTCACTCAAAACTGCTCAACTACATGGAAAATGAACAACCGGCTCCTGAATGACTACTGGGTAAATAATGAAATGAAGGCAGAAATAAAGATGTTCTTTGAAACCAATGAGAACAAAGACACAATATACCAGAATCTCTGGGACACATTCAAAGCAGTGTGCAGAGGGAAATTTATAGCACTAAATGCCCACAAGAGAAAGCAAGAAAGATCTAAAATTGACACCCTAACATCACAATTAAAAGAACTAGAAAAGCAAGATCAAACACATTCAAAAGCTAGCAGAAGGCAAGAAATAACTAAGATCAGAGCAGAACTGAAGGAAATAGAGACACAAAAAACCCTTCAAAAGATTAATGAATCCAGGAGCTGGTTTTTTGAAGAGAGCAACAAAATTGATTGATAGACTGCTAGCAAGACTAATAAAGAAGAAAAGAGAGAAGAATCAAATAGACCCAATAAAAAATGATAAAGGGGATATCAACACTGATCCCACAGGAATACAAACTACCATCAGAGGATACTATAAATACCTCTATGCAAATAAACTAGAAAATCTAGAAGAAATGGATAAATTCCTTGACACATACACCCTCCCAAGACTAAACCAGGAAGAAGTTGAATCTCTGAATAGACCAATAACAGGCTGTGAAATTGAGGTAATAATCAATAGCTTACCAACCAAAAAAAGTCCAGGACCAGATGGATTCACAGCCGAATTCTACCAGAGTTACAAAGAGGAGCTGATACCATTCCTTCTGAAACTATTCCAATCAATAGAAAAAGAGGGAATCCTCCCTAACTCATTTTATGAGGCCAGCATCATCCTGATACCAAAGCCCAGCAGAGACACAACCAAAAAAGAGAATTTTAGACCAATATCCTTGATGAACATTGATGCAAAAATCCTCAATAAAATACTGGCAAACCGAATCCAGCAGCACATCAAAAAGTTTATCCACCATGATCAAGGGGGCTTCATCCCTGGGATGCAAGGCTGGTTCGACATACGCAAATCAACAAATCTAATCCAGCATATAAACAGAACCAATGACAAAAAGCACATGACTATCTCAATAGATGCAGAAAAGGCCTTTGACAAAATTCAACAGCACTTCATGCTAAAAAATCTCAATAAATTAGGTATTGATGGGACGTATCTCAAAATAATAAGAGCTATCTATGACAAACCCACAGCCAATATCATACTGAATGGGCAAAAACTGGAAGCATTCCTTTTGAAAACTGGCACAAGACAAGGATGCCCTCTCTCACCACTCCTATTCAACATAGTGTTGGAAGTTCTGGCCAGGGCAATCAGACAGGAGAAGGGAATAAAGGGTATTCAATTAGGAAAAGAGGAAGTCAAATTGTCTCTGTTTGCAGATGACATGATTGTGTATCTAGAAAACCCCATTGTCTCAGCCCAAAATCTCCTCAAGCTGATAAGCAACTTCAGCAAAGTCTCAGGATACAAAATCAATGTACAAAAACCACAAGCATTCTTATACACCAATAACAGACAAACAGAGAGCCAAATCATGAGTGAACTCCCATTCACAATTGCTTCAAAGAAAATAAAATACCTAGGAATCCAACTTACAAGGGATATGAAGGAGCTCTTCAAGGAGAACTACAAACCACTGCTCAGTGAAATAAAAGAGGATACAAACAAATGGAAGAACATTCCATGTTCATGGGTAGGAAGAATCAATATTGTGAAAATGGCCATACTGCCCAAGGTAATTTACAGATTCAATGCCATCCCCATCAAGCTACCAATGACTTTCTTCACAGAACTGGGAAAAACTACTTTAAAGTTCATATGGAACCAAAAAAGAGCCTGCATCACCAAGTCAGTCCTAAGCCAAAAGAACAAAGCTGGAGGCATCATGCTACCTGACTTCAAACTATACTACAAGGCTACAGTAACCAAAACAGCATGGTACTGGTGCACAAACAGATATATAGACCAATGGAACAGAACAGAGCCCTCAGAAATAATGCCGCATATCTACAAATATCTGATCTTTGACAAACCTGACAAAAACAAGAAATGGGGAAAGGATTCCCTATTTAATCAATGGTGCTGGGAAAACTGGCTAGCCATATGTAGAAAGCTGAAACTGGATCCCTTCCTTACACCTTATATAAAAATCAATTCAAGATGGATTAAAGACTTACATGTTAGACCTAAAACCATAAAAACCCTAGAAGAAAACATAGGCAATACCATTCAGTACATAGGCATGGGCAAGGACTTCATGTCTAACACACCAAAAGCAATGGCAACAAAAGCCAAAATTGACAAATGGGATCTAAGTAATCTAAAGAGCTTCTGCACAGCAAAAGAAACTACCATCAGAGTGAACAGGCAACCTACAGAATGGGAGAAAGTTTTTGCAACCTACTTATCTGACAAAGGGCTAATATCCAGAATCTAAAATGAACTCAAACAAATTTACAAGAAAAAAACAAACAACCTCATCAAAAAGTGGGCGAAGGATATGAACAGACACTTCTCAAAAGAAGACATTTATGCAGCCGAAAAACACATGAAAAAATGCTCACCATCACTGGCCATCAGAGAAATGCAAATCAAAACCACAATGAGATACCATCTCACACCAGTTAGAATGGTGATCATTAAAAAGTCAGGAAACAACAGGTGCTGGAGAGGATGTGGAGAAATAGGAACACTTTTACACTGTTGGTGGGACTGTAAACTAGTTCAACCACTGTGGAAGTCGGTGTGGCGATTCCTCAGGGATCTAGAACTAGAAATACCATTTGACCTAGCCATCCCATTACTGGGTATATCCCCAAAGGATTATAAATCATGCTGTTATAAAGACACATGCACACGTATGTTTATAGCGGCACTATTCACAATAGCAAAGACTTGGAACCAACTTAAATGTCCAAAAACAATAGACTGAATTAAGAAAATGTGGCACATATACACCATGGAATACTATGCAGCCATAAATTATGATGAGTTCATGTCCTTTGTAGGGACATGGATGAAACTGGAAACCATCATTCTCAGCAAACTATTACAAGGACAAAAAACCAAACTGCATGTTCTCACTCACAGGTGGGAATTGAACAATGAGAACACATGGACACAGGAAGGGGAACATCACACACTGGGGACTCTTGTGGGGTGGGGGGACGGGGGAGGGATAGCATTAGGAGATGTACCTAATGTAAATGACGAGTTAATGGGTGCAGCAGACCAACATGGCACATGTATACATATGTAACAAACCTGCACGTTGTGCACTTGTACCCTAAAACTTAAAGTATAATAATAATAAAATTTAAAAAAAAGGATTCTAATCAAAACAAGCAGTTTTGTTGTGTTTTGTTTTTTGTCACACCAAGCTGACCATTTTTATTCCAAGCATTTAGAAAGAATCAATCTTGTACCAACAGAGAAATGCAAACCAAAACCACAATGAGATATCATCTCACACCAGTTAGAATGGCAATCTTTAAAAAGTCAGGAAACAACAGGTGCTGGAGAGGATGTGGAGAAATAGGAACACTTTTACACTGTTGGTGGGACTGTAAACTAGTTCAACCATTGTGGAAGTCAGTGTGGCAATTCCTCAGGGAACTAGAACTAGAAATACCATTTGACCCAGCCTTCCCATTACTGGGTATATACCCAAAGGATTATAAATTATGCTGCTATAAAGACGCATGCACACATGTGTTTATTGCGGCACTATTCACAATAGCAAAGACTTGGAACCAACCCAAATGTCCAACAATGATAGACTGGATTAAGAAAATGTGGCACATATACACCATGGAATACTATGCAGCCATAAAAAATGATGAGTTCGTGTCCTTTGTAGGGACATGGATGAAGCTGGAAACCATCATTCTCAGCAAACTATCGCAAGGACAAAAAACCAAACTGCATGTTCTCACTCACAGGTGGGAATTGAACAATGAGAACACATGGACACAGGAAGGGGAACATCACACACTGGGGACTCTTGTGGGGTAGGGGGACGGGGGAGGGATAGCATTAGGAGATATACCTAATGTAAATGACGAGTTAATGGGTGCAGCAGACCAACATGGGACATGTATCCATATGTAACAAACCTGCACATTGTGCACATGTACCCTAAAACTTAAAGTATAATAATAATAAAATTTTAAAAAAAGGATTCTAATCAAAACAAGCAGTTTTGTTTTGTTTTGTTTTTTGTCACACCTAGCTGACCATTTTTATTCCAAGCATTTAGAAAGAATCAATCCTGTACCAACAGACAAATGCAAACCAAAACCACAATGAGATATCGTCTCACACCAGTTAGAATGGCAATCTTTAAAAAGTCAGGAAACAACAGGTGCTGGAGAGGATGTGGAGAAATAGGAACACTTTTACACTGTTGGTGGGACTGTAAACTAGTTCAACCATTGTGGAAGTCAGTGTGGCGATTCCTCAGGGATGTAGAACTAGAAATACCATTTGACCCAGCCATCCCATTACTGGGTATATACCCAAAGGATTATAAATTATGCTGCTATAAAGACACATGCACACGTATGTTTATTGCGGCACTATTCACAATAGCAAAGACTTGGAACCACCCCAAATGTCCAACAATGATAGACTGGATTAAGAAAACGTGACACATATACACCATGGAATACTATGCAGCCATAAAAAAGGATGAGTTCATGTCCTTTGTAGGGACATGGATGAAATTGGAAATCATCATTCTCAGTAAACTATCACAAGAACAAAAAACCAAACACCACATATTCTCACTCATAGGTGGGTATTGAACAATGAGAACATATGGACACAGGAAGGGGAACATCACACTCTGGGGACTGTTGTGGGGTGGGGGGAGGGGGGAGGGATAGCATTGGGAGATATACCTAATGCTAGATGATGAGTTAGTGGGTGCAGCACACCAGCATGGCACATGTATACATATGTAACTAACCTGCACATTGTGCACATGTACCCTAAAACTTAAAGTATAATAATAAAAATAAAATAATTAGAAGATAATATTGCCAAAATTAAAAAAAAAAGAATATGACCCCTAGAGTTTTCTAAATAGTTGTCAGCATTTTAGTTAATTTCCTAAACTAATTTTTGCTTTTACAACCCAAACCTCAAAATCATCCATCCTACACTAATTTAATGTAATGAATAAGAACAACTGTAGGCATTTCAGTTCTAATCTGTACGGTATACAAAAATCTAAGATCTTTCCCCTTTGATACATGAAGGAATGGTATCCAAAGTTCATTCTCACTAATATATGAGGACATGCAGTTCCATCCTGCCTACGTAGTTAGATTCTTAACTGCTAAAAATAGGCAATGTAACTTTGTAAGGGCTACATTACATGTCCCCACTTTCCTCCTTTATCCTGCTTGTAAGTTTCCAAGGGTAATGGGTGGCTACCCACTTAATAACATTATTAAGACACGATGAGAGATTTGAACCTTCTCTGTCCCAGATTGTCATCTTGCCTAAAAATCTCAAGAATTTCTTAAAGTTTACCACCTGATTCTTTTTTCTGTTTAACAGTTCATAGCCTGCCTGCACTAGTACCATTGTTCAGCCATGCAATACAGTGGTAACTGCTCATAGCACCTGCACATCTATCATTGCTCAAGCTTCATGCTTCAAAGAGCTCTTTTCTTTGGCATTTTATCAGGAGGGTGATTTCAGTTTTGTGATTTCAGCATTTCACAAAGCAAGACAATTTCTCCCACCCAAGAGCCTACGTTTGCATTCACATCAAAACTAGAGTCCAGAGAGTTCATCATCTGAAATAACACTACAAGATTTTGTAAGCAGAGTGCCAAGGTAACAGTATTATATAGAAATAAGTACAGAAAATATATTATAGCAGCTGTTTCACTTATAAACATTTCTGTAGAGTATTTTAAGCTTTTCTTAAAATTTTTAAAATATGTTTATAAATCTTTCGCAAGAAGTTCTAAAGGCCCTCTGTATGTGAGTTAAAAGCTATCTGAAGTCTCTGTTCCATTTTCCACATGCATTTTAATTTTTGCATGTTTTTCTGAACTTTTTGCACTATGAAAATTGAAATTTATCTAAAAGGACTGATAGCCTTAGTAGGTTTTCAGCAATTGTCGGAAAACAATTTTGTGCATAGGGAGTTTGTAGTCAGTCTGTATAAAAGATTCAAATACAATATATGTTAACATTCTCAAAGATATTTTACTTGCTCTTAACATTTGCTTAGAATGAAATCTAATGCTTTCATGTGCCCCATGAAAATAATTATATTAGGCCGGGTGCAGTGTCTCACACCTGTAATCCCAGAATTTTGGGAGGCCGAGGTGGGTGGATCTACAAGGTCAGGAGTTTGAGACAAGCCTGGCCACTATGGTAACACCCTGTCTCTACTAAAAATACAAAAATTAGCCAGGCGTGGTGGCACGCTCCTGTAATCCCAGCTACTTGGGAGGCTGAGGCAGAAGAATTACTTGAACCCGGGAGGCAGAGGTTGCAGTGAGCCAAGATCGCACCACTGCACTCCAGCCTGGGTGACAAGAGTGAGACTCTGTCTCAAAAAAAAAAAAAGGTTATTTTTGGACTCATTCTCTTTTTAAATTTGTTTGCCTTGAAAGCAGAAATAGCAGTAAATTCCATGCTTATTTTACATACACATGTCCATCTTAAATGAAAACCAAATGATACTAGTAATAACTGACTAAAATCTTAGACATTACTTAACTGTCTGCGTCTTTCAGTTTCTTTTGTTTTATAGTCACTTTCACCTGTTCATTTAAAAAATTTCTGAGTACCCTTTATGTATGAAGTCCAGTCTAGGTGCCCGAAATATACAAATGAACAAAACAAACAGAAAATCCTTGCTCTTTTGTAGTCCAGCATCAGGAGACACAAAATAAAGAAAAAACATAACAAACTGAAGAGAAAGAGCAAGCTAAGAGGTTCTGGGAGGGCTGGAAGGGCAGACTGTGATTTTAAATTAATTGGTCAGAATAGCACTCAAAGAAAAAATGACAATTGTGCAACGGCTTGAAGGAGGTGAGGTACTTAAGCCCTGGGAATCATGGTTAGAAGAGTGTTCTAGGTAGAGGGAGGAGCCAGGGAAAATAATCTATGGCTGGAGCTTAACTACCCTGTTCAAGGAATAGTAGAATGCTCACAAATTCAACAATGAAAACATCAGTAGACTAATTTCATTTAGTCTAATATCCTCTGAGCCTACAGTTAGTAGGCATGTATTGAGTCATTCTTTATTACAATAAACTAGTACATTCTCATAAATATTATTTTAAATTTTATCTGCACATGTTCATACTCACCACATTTCAATGCATGCATTTTTATTAAAATTATACATTTCCTTTTTTTCATTACATTGTAAACTTCAGGATGAGGAATTGGTCCTCAACCACTATATTTTCAATGTTATTTTCTAGACTCAAGATATTCAACAGATGTTTTTATCTGTAAATAGAGGGTAAAAAGACAAGAAAGATCTTAGTTACATGAATCACAGTGGTCAGATCTTTGGGTTTTTGCCTCAATTTCCTAATGCGCAATTGAAAGACAATTAATTAATTGTTAAATACGTAAAATATTGCATAAATGTAAATTAAATCATTTGTTTTTCACAAATATATGAATTATGAATAGGAAATCTGAGAAATAAAATGCAGAAATACAAAAGCAGTTCTTCAGAAGAAAGCAATGTAATTTAAAGAACACTGGGAAAATCAAAAGATATTATGTGATGTGGCCAGTGATGACATTTTGTGAGCTGTTGACCTGGATTTTCAACTCTGATGGCCAATTTCCATCTGCTCAATGCTGGCCACCTGGATGGTACAGTGATTTGGCCCTTAGGGAAGAGTTACCTTCCACATTGATCCATTTCATGCTTTGCCTATTTCTAAAATCATGTCTCTCCTGACTAAACCTTGCCAACCTTCATCTGAATCCCTAATTTGCAGTCAAATGACAAGTCCATTTCATAAATACTGTATCTTCCTAGTTCTGAGGTGCCTCATAGGCCCTTTACATCAGAGCTTTCCCTGATTTGTTTTAATCTGACTGCAGGTAAGCTTCAAAATTGTTTAGCTTAAAGTATCTTATTTTAAACTTTTTACTATTTCCAAATTCCCAAAAGAGATATGAACATTGTTCATTGTACATTGCTATTTATTATTCATTCATCCTATATATATTTATCTCCAGCTATATATCAAGGACTGTGATAGATGCTGGGAGTAAAAAGATAATTAAGACATTCTGTCTTCAGGAATTTTAGGCCTAGTGGAAGAGAAATAACAGCTGACATTCTACTTTGATTAGAGCTGTCCAGGATATTATCATTCACAAGTATACAATCAAAGGAAATGGCTTATGCTTACCAAAGTCATAAAAGCTAATGCATAAAACAGTTGCATAAACCAATAATCTATTTGCAAATCTCAAGTTAGTATTTTCCTCACACTAACGTGAATATTTACACATAATCACTATTTGGGGAAATCTTCCCCAATATCAGATTATAAGAGAAACCAAATTAATATTCATAAGGTTACGTAGTGAGCAGGCTATTAAAGAAATCTAAATAGTCTTAAGCTATAGTCAGGCTATAGAAGAGTACTGACTTGAACAAACCCAGCCCTAGCAGCCTAGTAAACCTCCATAGTGACTTAACAGTTGATTTCCTGGAGATAATATCTCCACTATCGTACAATGCAGGCTACACAGCCACATCCTAGTTCCTATCTCTCTCTGTTCCAGGCTCTCTGGGTTTTTGTAAACACTGATTTTCTTCAGGCCAATCAAAATATATTTGTCCGTGTTTGAGTTAGCACTACCCATTCACTTAGATAGGTAGAAATGAATAGTGACATAGCATAATTTCTTGAGACTTACCTTAGGCAACTGTCCGTATATTGCTTCACCATTTTTTAATATATTGACTATTCCCTAGGCATGATGTGTATTTAACTGTATTGGCAGAAAAGCATGATTTGCAATAAGCTATTGGAACTATTATGAGTATTATATTTGTCAAAAATGACTTTTTTTCTTTATAGGTTGTCAAAATGATGATTATTGTTGTCATGACATTTGCTATCTGCTGGCTGCCCTATCATATTTACTTCATTCTCACTGCAATCTATCAACAACTAAATAGATGGAAATACATCCAGCAGGTCTACCTGGCTAGCTTTTGGCTGGCAATGAGCTCAACCATGTACAATCCCATCATCTACTGCTGTCTGAATAAAAGGTAAAAACAAAACTACGAAATGCAAGTTGCTTGTCACACCCACCTTCACTGGAAACATACAATGTTGTTCCATTTTCTTGGTTCAAATTCAAAATGCAGAAGGAAGGGAAAATTTAAGAATTCACTGAGAGAGGCACAGGCTTTATCTTTCAAGACCCCCATACACACTTTATAAAGCATCCCACATTAATAATTAGATGCCCCAAATAATGATCTTGGGGTTCTAACTGGATGATTCTTCTATGGGCCAACTTCTTCCTCCAAAATCTCAGAATTTTACCTGCCAAAGAAAAAGAAGTGCCCTCATGATTAAAGGAGAATTGAAAATATGCTCAAATCCTCAATGAAATGAAGTTACTTCCTAGAAATTCTTGAATAATTTCTATAAGATGGAGAGATGATGGCATATGTGAGCGGACTTTATTAAAAAGGATATGTTGTAAATAAATAAACTTTGAAGTAGAAGGTTTTGTAAAAACAATGGGAACTCCAATCCTCCTTCCTGCATTGTGAGGTGGGGTGAGTAAGAGAGCATGCAGCCTCTATGGAGATGGCTTGTGAAGAAATCACAGTGGTCAAGGGAAAGATGTTTATAAAGTTAAAAAATGAAAAGTGAGAATATTTGTAGTCAAATGTAAGACTAGAAAAAAAAGATAAAATCTGCTTTCCAGATAAAAACACCTTGGTTGTACTGGTCAGCACATGAAGGGATAGGGTTAAATTTCATAGGGCTCGTAAGTCCTGTAATAAACCAATGTGTTTTTTTCACAAGTAGAATTGGGACTTTATGTAAGTAACTGCATGAATTAAATCCTAAGCTCTCTTCTCAGTTGGGGTTCTACCACACTGTGCCTTAAGTTTGTTAAATACTTAATTAACTCTTGCTTTTTTTTTCACTAATTGCATAAGCCATATCTCAATTCCTGACACCCCACAAGCATTACATCCACTTTTAATTAACTTCATTTAATGGTTTACAAAGTTAAGGATTTTGCACTTTCATATATAATTAGATAAAAATCATCAAGATTAGCAATTCTAACATTAAACGAGACTTTAATTTATAAATGTGTAATCATTTCTGAAAGAAACTATTTTGAAATATATCATTTTTAAGTGCCTTAACTGGCCAGCCTAATTCAATTATATTTATGTAAATGTATACAATTATTTTAGAAAAATGTACTGTTTCTTTAACATATTGATTACCTGATGCTATGCATTCGCTATTGATGACTTCTCACTGATGGGAATGAGATGCTTTTCATTGCTGGGAATCAATGCTTCTCATTAATGGGAAATTAAGATTCAATTCAAACAAGAACTAAACGACTAACAACAGTACTGTGACATAAATTCTAAGAGTCTGGCTAAAAACCAAACTCAAAAACTGAGTTGTTATAACTGCCTTAGGTAGAATTTTCTGTGGCAGCTGAAAGACATATCTGCTTGAAAAAATAACTTTTTCTTTCTGTGGCCTGCTTTTCCTCAGATTTCGAGCTGGCTTCAAGAGAGCATTTCGCTGGTGTCCTTTCATCAAAGTTTCCAGCTATGATGAGCTAGAGCTCAAGACCACCAGGTTTCATCCAAACCGGCAAAGCAGTATGTACACCGTGACCAGAATGGAGTCCATGACAGTCGTGTTTGACCCCAACGATGCAGACACCACCAGGTCCAGTCGGAAGAAAAGAGCAACGCCAAGAGACCCAAGTTTCAATGGCTGCTCTCGCAGGAATTCCAAATCTGCCTCCGCCACTTCAAGTTTCATAAGCTCACCCTATACCTCTGTGGATGAATATTCTTAATTCCATTTCCTGAGGTAAAAGATTAGTGTGAGACCATCATGGTGCCAGTCTAGGACCCCATTCTCCTATTTACCAGTCCTGTCCTATATACCCTCTAGAAACAGAAAGCAATTTTTAGGCAGCTATGGTCAAATTGAGAAAGGTAGTGTATAAATGTGACAAAGACACTAATAACATGTTAGCCTCCACCCAAAATAAAATGGGCTTTAAATTTATTCTTTGAAAACTCTAAATTATTATATGCAATGAACAAAAATATGTCAGGAAAATACTTGTAAACTCGCCAGTCTATCTCATTTACAAATTGCAATATACATTTGTGACATTAAAATGATATATAGTTTTTCCAAGAGATTAAAGAATCTTTAAAACATAATATTGTAAGTGAAGGGAAACAAAATCTGTATAAAATCTGTATAAAATAGGCTTTTTTGCCTAGAGATATAAAATGGGAAAAAAAGTTAAATGATTCATTTTCCCACTAGAGTAATGGAAAATTAACCTCAAGAAGTAGGAACTGAAAATCTTTGCTCAAGAAAACTCATTTTGTAGAATGTAAAGATTTAAAGATTTAAAGATTTCTTCCATGGCATTTAACTGAAAAGGAAATCTAGTTAAATCATTAGGCAAATGTATATTTCATTCTCTTGATTTTTTTTCTGAGAAAGTGAAATTTTAAAAAATTATATACTTTTTGACCATTACTTATTTTTGAATACCAAGCTAAAAAGTAGTCAGTTAAGACCCTAAAAATATGAAGAAAATTCCTATCATTTTTTATTTTTCACAGATTTTTTAAATAGCTAGATTATAAAACAGTAAAGGTACATTCCAATAAATAGAGGAAGAATACTATTTATGTTCTCTTCCTCTCCCCTCACTGAAAATAGAATAAGGACTAGGAGAAAATATCTTCAAAGGCAACTCCTTAGGGAAAAAAAGTCACAAGTGTGACAAAAGACTATATGGTTGAAAAATACCAATATATGTTACATATGAGTAAACTAGGCAAGGTGTAGACAAGTGAATTACCTCTTAGAAAACGAATCTGCACAATAGTTTGGATACATGTAAACTAATAACAGCTGAGCAAGAGGGTGAGTTTAACACACATCCTTCCACAGAAAGACCTTTTCTTTCATTTGCTTAGATTATTCAGAAGTCTTACCAGAAAGAAATGAGATAATAGTCCTAAGAAAGCATCACATTTACTACAAGAAGATATATACTAGCACATTTCTGAGACTCATAACATAACAAGAAATACTTTTAAGTGTAAAAAGTAACATCCAGGCCTCAGTGCTTACAGATCATCTTTCCTTGAATTAGGGATACTGTTAATCCTGCTCAAGAAAGCAGAAACTTTTTGAGAATGTGAATGTGTAGTACAAACTTCTCCTTTAAACTCTTCAGTTTGATTTTTAAAGATATTTGTCTAAAATAATACTCTCTAACAAACACTTTACTGTTGTGCCTCCACCGATATTAAAACAAAATATTTTTGAAGAACAGAATAAAAGCAAATATTCAATGGCAAATCATGGTCTATTTCTCAAATCTCTTCCCTATTTTGAAGCCAAAACCAGAAATATCCAATTGTTACAAAAAGTTCGGAGTCTAAACAAGCTAAACATATGTGTTCCAGCTGAATTTCTTCTGATGATACCAATAAACAAAGAGACACACACACACACACACACACATACAAATGTGCCTACACATTCAATCATTTAATGAATGCAACAACTTCAAAGAATTAAAATCAAATACTGAAATGATAAGTGGTCATTACAGCATTGCCATATGCTCAATAAAGTCTGTGAAGCTTGTGTGCATGTTTTAAATAAGCAAATTTAATATATAGTATCTAATTGTTTGAATATAATGTTTTTGAATGTTCATTCTTAAAACATATATTTATCATACAATGTTAAAGTGTCAAGAAAAAGCCTAATATGTAAAAAGTTATTATTTTCTTAAATTTATGAATGATATGGTACTAGCATTAATTAATGTTTTAGACATATGGAACCATATTCAGCTGTAAAATATGAATATGAAGTTTAGCCCTCAAATTTAATGTCATCAGCCACTACCAAAGTATCATACATTTGAAAAATATAACTCCTGGCCCTCACATATTAGAGAAATTCAGTAGAATTTTCTAAGACATTTATTTCTAAGGAAAAATACTGGCCTCGTCAGTTGGATTGTTGGTTTGCTTTGGCTTCTGTGAACATACATATTGTTGTGTTGCTTACCGAGCACCTCCCTTCTAGTGTGACAGAAATACCCAGACAGTATTTTTTCAATGCTTTCCAGAAAAAAACTGGCATCATTCACTCACTACTCATGGCCCTTAAACTGAGACCTATAGGCAGAATTTTTTAAGTTCAAAAATTTAAACGACAATAATAAAACAAGAGTGAAATATAAAAGAGAAGATTTTTCACTCTTTTGTCTGCATTTTGACAATAAGAATTACAGAATAATGCACAAAATCAAATTCAGTGAGATTCATTTTTAAATAAAGTCATCCCAGTGTTTTCATATTTGCTAAGCTTGGAAAGAATCTGCCTTCAAAATTTACTCTACCCTCTGTTTCTAAAGTTCAGTATGAATCTTTCCATTGTTTGAAGGCAAACACTGGCTCAGACTACTAGGCAGATGGTTAAAACAGCCCAGGTTTTTTTACTTAGATCAGTATCAGAAAAATTCAAAATATTTTTAAACAAATATGAAAGAATCAAAAAGGCTTACATCATTGTAAGTATTCTCTTTTAAACAAAATACATTAAATCAAAAATAAACATTGCTTACTATTTTGCATCTGGACAAAGTACAAGATATTGAAATTACCTGTATGGGAAAATATTAAAGCGGACATAATTGTTACAGAATTCACTCTCACACTTTTTTATTTTTTACCAAGTACAGCACACTGTTGCATTATTCCATCTTCTAACTTCATGATGGTGACATTTCTGACCCAGCAGCTGAATTCATGTCCTTTTCCAAATCCTGCCAATGTCTTAGAAACAGTGAACTGAGCAATTTCAGAGTGAACCCCGCCCTTACAAAGCACATAAAGAATACCAAGAAGCTTGGTATCAAGCCTATGAAATACAAAATAAATGTGAAAAATAAATGCTGGCCAGCTCAACATTTGAATTTAGTTTTTGCAAATGCAAAATTTCCTCTAAAAATTTATGATTAGTACCTGGTAAACTATTTCATCAAATAGAAAAGCAGGAGACTTACAAACATTTCTCACACTTCTAACAGTAACAATTTCCTACTTATCATTGATAATATGTCAAAAGCTAAGGAAATCCAGAATGACATGGACCATGTAGAACAATAAGGTTGGAATAATTTCCCTTAGGGCCAAGCAGGAATAGAGAATAAAGTTCAGAAGGGCTGTACAAGGTCATTAGTTTTGTGTTTTCATACATATATATATATATATGAAAAATCTGTTTATATAAGAAGTAAATGTATATAAAGTTTGTAGTGAATAAAGTATTTTCAAGTTGTGGTAATTATATTGAATATGTTTAATGTATTTACACCCTTTGCATATGTGATAATGTGACAGATTTAATTTCTATTTTTTCTTTAAAAACATTAAAACTAATATTAAAAGTAAAAGAAGTCTTACTACTTTCCTATTGGCTAGTAAAATATATGTCATGGAGGGTTCTCTCTTTTCTAAACACACTCACCCAGCCATTCCTCAAAAACTACATTGTGCTTCCTTGTTGATTTTTTCCTCATAGAAATGTCTAATTTTCCTGTTATTGATTCAGAAAAAAAATTTATGGGGACAAAATTCTCAAAATATAAAAAAAATTCTGCTTAGAGAGCTGGTGAATTGGAAGGGAGGGCCAAAAGTGCATGTAGCTGAGTAATGAAGCATAGAATTTTTGAGTTGTGACAACCGGGATCGTCCAACCAACAGACTTGGGTTACATCCAATCTTCACCAACAGTTTACCAGAGGACTTCAAGCAAGGGATTCTCTGCTCTGAGCTTCACTTAACTCATCAGTGAAGAAGGGAAAAATAACAATTTCTTCAAAGTGCTGATATGAGAATTAAATGAGCTAAAGCATAAGTAGGGCAGAGCCAAACAAAAAAAATAAATGTTCAAAAACATTATTACAATAGTGTCCACACTGTTTCCTTTATACAGTTGATTCTTAATAAAGTAACCAGAATGATTATTTTAAAACTGCATCACACCATCTTGCCCCTCTACTCAAAACCCTCTACTGCCTTCCCATTTAACTCAAAGGAAAAGCCAAAATTTTTACAATGGCCTAGAAGCACTTTTATGATGTAGCCTTTTCTAACTTTCCTCCTTTCACCTATTCTTTCCTGTGCTCATCAGCATTCACGGATCCATCTACATTAGCTTCCTTATTGTTCTGTAACTTTGCTAAACATGCTACAACCTCAGGACCCACACTGACTATTCCTTCTCTATAGAATGCTGGCCACCAAGATAGTGGCATGACAAACTTCTTCATTTCACCAAATCTTTCCCCAATAAGGCCAATCCTGATTACCTTATTTAAAATTGCATATCTTCTCCCCCTCAGCAACATGCACAATTTTTCCCTATCCTCCATCCTGATGTTTATTGTTTCATAGCATTTATCACCTTCCAGAATACTACATAATTTAATAATTCATTATATTTATTGTATATTTCCCCAATTAAAGTGTAAGCTCTATTAGGGTCTGGACTCATTAATAGTTATTGAATGAATGAATGAGTTTTTAAAAATAATAATCTGAAAATAAATTTTAAAAGAATTGATTTCTGAGAATGATGATTTTATGAGAATATGAAAATAAAAAATTTATTTTCAGCTTATTTTATTATTTTTAAAAACTCATTAATTCATTCAATAACTATTAATGAGTCCAGACCCTAATAGAGCTTACACTTCTCAGCAAACTATCGCAAGGACAAAAAACCAAACACTGCATGTTCTCACTCATAGGTGGGAATTGAACAATGAGAACACTTGGACACAGGAAGGGGAACATCACACTCCGGGGACTGTTGTGGGGTCGGGGGAGGGGGGAGGGATAGCATTAGGAGATATACCTAATGCTAAATGACGAGTTAATGGGTGCAGTACACCAACATGGCACATGTATACATATGTAACAAACCTGCACATTGTGCACATGTACCCTAAAACTTAAAGTATAATAATAAAATAAAATAAAATAAAAAAAGAATTGATTTCTTATCAGAAATTATGAAGGCCAGAAGGCAATGGGATGATATTATTTAAGGTGCTGGAAAAAAATATTCTAATCCATCATAACTATCCTTCAAAAAATGAGGAAGAAATTAAGATGTTCTCAAATAAACAAAAACCAAGAGAGTCCTTTATCAGTAGGCCTGCCCTATACAAAATGCTAAAGGATGTTTTTAAGGTTGATATTGAAGCACACTAGGCCGTAACTCAGTGTCATTGAAGAAATAAAGCTCTCTGGTGACTACCTGGGCAAATATAAAATCCAGTGTTACTGTATTGTAGTTGCATTTTTGATTCATAATTTCACTTTTAATTTACAACACAATTTAAAAGACAAATGCATAAAAATAATTATGATCTGTTGTTAAGAACATGATGTATAAATATATAATTGATGATAACAACATACAAGTGGGGACAGAACTGTCCTGGAGCAGAGAATTTTCTATGCTATTGAAGTTAAATTGATATCAATTAAAACTAGATTGTCATAAACTTAAGATGTTAAAGTATTTCCATGCAACTGCAAATAAAATATCTTTAAAAAATAATACAAAAAAGGAAATGAAAGGGGACACAAAATGGTTTAACTACAAAAAATACATTGAATACAAAAGGAGTCAATAAAAGAGGAAATTAGAAACAAAAATGGCCTAACGCTTACAGAAAACAATTGCAAAATGATTGAAATAACCCTTTCTTCTCAGTAACTGCTTTAAATGTAAGCAGATTAAAACTATCCAACCAAAAGGCAAAAACTGGCATAATGAAAAAAAACAGTGATCCAACTACACACTTTCTACAAGAAACTCCCTTTAGATCTAGAGCTACAAATAGGATAAAATATATTTCATGTAATACAGTAACTAAACAAGAACTGAGTTAGCTATACCAACAGACAAATTAGACCTCAAGTGAAAAACTATTTCAAGGGACCAAGAAGGATATTACACAACTCTAAAAGGCTCAACCCATCAAGAAGATATAATAATTGTAAATGTAAAAGCACCTAACAACAGAGCTCCAAAATGTATAAAACATATATTGACAGAAATAAAGAGAACAATAGCTCTACAGTAATATAATACTTGAAGACTCCAACACCCTCCCCTTTCAATGATGGACAGAACATCTACAGAGATAGTTAATAAGAAAATAGAGAACATACGCAATACTATGAACCACCTAGTTATAACATACACATATAGAAACCATGGAAAGTGAAATCACAAATAAGAGGGGACTACTGTACACCACTGTCTTATCTGGTTCCCCAGCTTGTGGATAGCAGATTATGAGACTTTTCAGCCTCCATAATTATTTGCTCAATTAGGGAATTGGAAATCAAAACCACAATGAAATACCACTTCATGCCTACTAGGATAGCTATAATCAAAAAGACAGGCAATAACATACTGTGGCAAGAATGTGGAGAAACCGAATGCATTGAATGTGGATACATTAAATTGAATTGAGTGTAAAATGGTGCAGCCACCATGGCAAACACTTCATCAGTTTCTCAATATGTTAAACACAGAGTTACCATAGGACCCCAGATGTTCTACTCCTAGGTATCTAACCAAGAGAAATGAAAGCATAAATTCACACACAACTTATACACAGACATTCATAGCAACATTATTTATAATAGCAAAAAAGTGAAAGCAACCTAACTACCTATCAACTCATGAATGGATAAATAAAACATGGAATTGCAATAAAATGAAATTTTATTTGGCAATCCATAATAAGAAATTAAATACTGATATGTATTATGACATAGACTAATCTCAAAACCATTATGCTAAGTGGAAGAAGCCAGCCACAAAAGACGATATACTGTGTAATTCCAATTCTATGAAATAAAAAGAGTAGGTAAATCTAAAGAGAAAGAAATTAGCTTTGCAGTTGCCTGGTTGCCTAGTGCTAAAGGAGAGAGGAAGGAGTGTAAAAGGATAATGACTGTGAAGAGGCACACAATTTCTTTTTGGAATGATGAGAATGTTTTAAAATTAGATTATTGGGTTGGCTGCACAACTCTGTAAATATACTAAAAACTACTGGATTGAACATTTAAACGTGTACATTATATATCAATAAACCTATTTTTTTTAAAAAAATAGGAGTTTTATTAAGCAGAAGTCAATGACCTATGTCTTTTAAAGGAACTCTAAGGAAGAAAATTATCAAATCAGCAAGCAAAATAGTTGAAGAAACCTTAAAAAGTAACTTACAAAATAATGAATCAGTTTCTGTCTTTGCAAATGGAACTGGAATTTTTTATTAATATTTCCTTTAATTATGAACATAACTCTGAAACCATACATAAAAATTTCCTTCAGAAAATTCCGGTCCCTAGGTAGAATTCACCCCAGACTAAGAAACATGATAAATAGGATTCCAACCACATAATAAAAAATAATCCACTGATTCAGTGTTTTTAGTTGTGAGCAGTATAAACTAACTCAGATAATCTTAGTAAAAATAAATTTTTATTTATTTACTTGTGTTTGTGTGTTTGTTTACAAGAGGGTTTACTCTCTTGCCTAGGCTTGAGTGTAGTGATGTGATCATAGCTCACTGCAGCCTCAAATTCCTGGGCTTGAGTGATCCTCCCACCTCAGCCTCCCAAATAGCTGGGACTACAAGCATACGCCACCACACCTGGATACATTTTTTTAATTTTTTTGTAGAGACAGGGTCTTGTTATGTTTCCCAGGCTAGTCTCAAACTCCTAGCCTCAAGTGATCCTCCTGCCTCAGCCTCCCAGAGTTCTAAGATTATAGGCATGATACTATGTTAGGAAACTTGTAAACTTTGAGAGCTAGAAGAACAAGTGTGGGGCCTGGTAGTCACTGTCAATACATAAATCACACCTCAGAACCATTAAAGTAGCTACACTGCCACCAGAACTGCAGGGCATAGTCACTGTCACTCAAAAATGTTTTATCACCAAAACCATGTAAATGATGCTAACACTGAAATTGTTGCTTCTTCTCCCTCTGGAAATTGGATATTGATGCTACTGCCTCTCCACCCCAATGGGAATACATTCTCCTGTGTCTCTGCTGCTTTGCCTCAAGAATTCTCAATCCAAAGCCCAGAGTGTGCATATCAAATTGGGATAGCCGAAGTTAATGTGCTTGCACTTAGCTATGGGACCAACTGAAAATAAGCCTTGGGTTTTCTGCTTCTAAAATGAGAGGCAAGATCTGCTTCATAAGCTGGAAATTCCTCAAACACACATGCTGAGAATTCAACAAGAATGGCAAATATCTTTTATAGATGCCTTGAGAAAAGAAACTGTACCTAAATGTTATGTAGACGTCTTTAGTAAAATTACAGTTTACAATTTTCCTTTTATTTTCCTGTGTTAACCATATTTTCCTTAATAAGCATGTACTGCATAAGCAATAAAAATTTTAAAAAGCATTATTCTGTGGAAAAAGTGAGCATTCTATTTTAACTGAATTCACAGGAAATGTCTTTATTTTTTTCCAACGTTATTGTCACTTTGAGTTTCAAGCATGAAAAATTGCTACATGTTTTAAAGTTTAGAATAGGTGGCTATTGATAGGCAGATAATATCACAATTAGGGAAATTAACATAACTATCGTCTAGATATAATGTCACACTCACAAAGGTTTTGTACGAATTAAAAAGGAACTGACAAGTCACATAGGCAATTATGAACAGCCCAATCTTCCCCTAACTGAATTGAGCCTCCACCTTGTCTGAGTTTTCAGGAGGAAAATTGAAGACCTCTTTTGATTACCTATATCTTTTATTTTCATTGATTTGTTCTTCTCAGTTTGTAGCAAGCCCACAGTTTATTCTAAAATGTACTGGAAAGATTATAGAAAAGGATAGTAGTGCATGAATGCAAAGTCACCAGAATATTGTTATACGTTCTGAATCATAAATCCTTTCTGTACTAGAAATATCCATTGTTGAGTTTCCTCTTCCTCCTGTTTTCAAATAGCCTGAGAATGGATGCATGTGGGCAATCCTAAGTGGCCTGAGAGGATGAGTGCATTTTAATGAATTCATCTCTGAGCACGTGTTTAAACACTAAGCTGTGGAAAGCACTAAAACATTTAAAGCTTCAGTTTTGTGCTCTTAAAAGGCAGTGACCCCCAAACATAACCCTTTATTTAGCAGAGCACCATGAATTCTCATATATGCAAGCGTAATGAGCGGAGAGAGTTGGCAGTATGCATGACTGAATTCATTGATTTCAGCATATGCAATCATGGTAACAGCAAATTCTGAGCACCCAAGAAGTAACTGAGAACCTGAAATAGGGAAGGAGAAACAAGGTGGAACAGCCCAGTGGTGGTTCAGTGAGGATGCTGGACTTTAGGCAAGTATGTGGGCTTTAGGCAAGAAAAACTAACTCAAAATGTTGGGTCCTAGTGGCAGAACCCAGGCGTCTCAAAGAAAATTTTGCATACTTAAAAGTTGTTTACATATTGAAAGAATGGGTGCTAGAATGCAAATCTTGACTAATATGGCTCATTATTAAAGAATAAAAGAATTGGGCTAAAATTAAACTCTCTCTGCCTACACAATAAAGAGAGAAAACAAAGAGTGTAAATTCCCTAGCCAAAGCCTTTTAATCCAAAGCCAAGCCAGAATAACATTGTTTTTTTGTTTTTGTTTTTGTTTTTTTTAATGAGATGGAGTTTTCTCTGTCGCCCAGGCTGGAGTGCAGTGGCGCAATCTCCACTCACTGCAAGCTCCGCCTCCCAGGTTCATGCCATTCTTCTGCCTCAGACTCCTGAATAGCTGGGACTACAGGTGCCCGCCACCGTGCCTGGCTAATTTTTTTGTATTTTTAGTAGAGACAGGGTTTCACCGTGTTAGCCAGGATGGTCTCGATCTCCTGATCTCGTGATTCGCCTGCCTCAGCCTCCCAACATTGTTTCTTTACTTAAGAATAGTCATCCAGGCTAATGTGGTCCAAAAATTTGTGATACTTTTGAGTTACTACTACACAGTTATTCCATCTCACCTTACCTCATTGCTTTGTGTTGCATCTAATCCATCCCATCCTATCCATCCCATGCTACCCCTTGTCAAGTGAGTGCTCTGCCTTTACCCTACCTTTACACTATCCCAGGGTTGCATCTGCAATATTAATAGTAGGAACAGCAAAGAGATAGTTGTCTGCAAGCTCATTAAAAGCTTTAAAAAGAACATGAAGAACAAATAATTTCAATTTAAAGATCAAGGTGATAGTACAGAAAACACAGATCTGTGAGGAAAACGCTAAAGTTGACAGTTTAAGTACCTCAATAAAAAATGAAAAATAATTTTAAAATCAAATGCACCATTCATTTAAAGACAAAAACTACACTGCCAATTCAAAGCCACCAAAAAATGAAAGTTACTTTTAAGAAATTGACTTTTAAATGCCAAACATATATTTTTCAATAGTTATAGTAATAATCATTTAAATATATGATACTGAAAATGTATAACACCTTAAGTGGTTTATTTTTCACACTAAGCTCCAAAATAAGATTTTTGCTTTTGGAGGATGTGGTTCTTCTCCAAGATATGAGTCAATGAATTGAACTCTTTCCCTCTTGTGGTTTTGGTACTGCCAAAATCCAACTCTCAATGTGTTTTCTTGCATCAAGGCATGAGAAAAGAGAAGTCTTAGAAAAGATACATCTAATTCCTAACTGCCTTCCACTGGCAATACTGGATATATGATACCACCTAATTGCAAGGGATCCAGAGAAATACAGACCCTGACTAGGCAGCTACTTCCCAGCAACAACTTAGCACTGTGGGGGAGGCAGCATAACCGGTGAAAATCTAGCCTTATGCTACAGATTACCTACCTGGCTACCAAATATCTAGGAGCACCATTAGTGCCCAACACAGAACATACCCTGTCACATCCCATTTTTGACATTCCCAAATAGCTTCCAGTTACTTCATCCTATTCAAAGTTGAGATATCCAGCTGGTGTGTGGTCTTCTCCATCTGACCTTAATGGGGCTACTCGTAGTTCTATAATCTACGATCTAAAATGCCAAGGCATCTGTCCTGCTGTACATCTAATATACAGTGGTGGAGAAAGGGTAACATACATAACATAAACATAATTACAAACTCAAATTCAGAAAAGGGAACAATGGAAAGACACAGCAGGCACTGGTCTATAGCAATGACAAAGTTCTAGAGGTTAAGTATTGTGTGCATTTCCTCTCCTGGCAGTGGTGTATTTCAATATCTGAATTTAAATGGCTGTGCATCACAAAGATATATGTAGATGTAAAAATGTATATCATTAGCTTCCCTTACTGATAATGGATATTTAAACATAAAATAAGTGAAAATATTCCTTATATGGATATAAGCATAAAAATGAGGTCAAATCCTAATTATTTTTCACTATGCAAAAATTTTTATTAATCTTCTGGTCTGTAATGTTCATAAATCAACATTCAATCACTTATACTTAAATGCTGAAAGCTGCTGTATTATCTTAGGTGTACAACTATTTTAACATGCCTTATATAAACATGGAAAAATGAAACTCTTTAAAATAGCATATTTAAATATTTCCAAAAAAAATCTATGTTTAGGTTTTGTAAATATGCACACAAGAAATATTTTAGAGAAAGTTTCCTCCTTTTTCCATGAATTATGAGAAACCTTCTTTTAGGCTTAGAGCTCCAAATTCATAGTGAAATAAAATCAGACCGGGCGCAGTGGCTCACCCCTGTAATCCCAGCACTTTTGGAGGCCGAGGCGGGTGGATCACCTGAGGCTGGGAGTTCGAGACCAGCTTGACCAACATGAAGAAATCCCATCTCTAGTAAAAGTACAAAATTAGCCAGGTGTGGTGGCGCATACCTGTAATCCCAGCTACCTGGGAGGCTGAAGCAGGAGAATCACTTGAACCCAGGAGGCAGAGGTTGTGGTGAGCCGAGATGACACCACTGCACTCCAGCCTGGGCAACAAGAGTGAAACTCCAAAAAGAAGATAGAAAGAAAGAAAAAGAAAGAAAGAAAGAAAGAAAGGAAGGAAGGAAGGAAGGAAGGAAGGAAGGAAGGAGGGAAGGAAGGGAAGGAGAAAGAAAGAAAGGAAGGAAGGAAAGAAAGAAAGAAAGAAAGAAAAAGAAAGAAAAGAAAGAAAGAAAGAAAGAAAGAAAGAAAGAAAGAAAGAAAGAAAGAAAGAAAGAAAGAGAAAGAAAGAAAGAAAGAGAAAGAACGAACGAACGGCGGGCAGGCAATCAAGCAACCTCTTTAACTACTTTGAAATTTCTTTTGACCTTGAGCATGACAACTAAAGTACACATGCTAGCTGTTCTCAGGCTGAAAGACCTGTCATCCCATCTTAATTTCAAAAAGATAGCTGCCTCCTCTCGATGGCTTAATATTTCTTAGATTTCACCTCCTGATTTTTCTCAGGAATTGAATGAACTTCCACAAACACAAATCAGCCATTTATCTTTTATGCCTGTCAAAATCCATGGAATTCATGGTTCAATACACAATGTAGTTCATCTACCTTGTATGATAGCAACCTACCTCACATGATAATCTTGTAAACTATGATTATTAAGGACAACCCCTTATAGATAAGAGTGAAAGCAACTAAAAATATCTAAGCACTATATAAGTGCATTGCTAATACTTTTAAATGATCACATGAAATTGCATTGCTAAGAATGGGGTTGAGATCATTGTGATATTTCAATCTACCATTATGATCATCCTCAGAGAATATGAGTATATATAGAATACAAAGTCCATAGAACATTCACAGTGGTCCATAATATTATACCAAGAACAAGAGTTTCCTTTCCATGTAGTCTTAGAGATTGTTCAATTTATGCATCTTATCTATTTTTTGTAGTTCAACTTTATTTTAATAAAATCAGAATATTCACAGCACATGCATTGCTAGCATCTGAACTATTATACTAAGCAATTACTAAAGGTACAGTGACTTGAGGTGCAATCTTTACATTCAGCAAGTTTAAAACCTTACATGATTTTGAAATCTTATTTATTAACTGAAAATACTGCCTGCTGATAAAACTTGCTCAAACGCTATCACTGAATGTACAAGTCACTGATTATGCCAACTAAATTGCCAACTAAAGATAATCACGTTTGAGGATTGCAATGTGCCAGACATTCACTGAAAAAAAATACATAAAATTCAACAAAACTCACACAACAAACATCTGAAAATCTGGACACTTCGTATCAGTGTGGTGAAGTGTTTCATTAATATCTTAAGACAAGTGTATCAATACCTTGGCATGATTTAATTTCAAGTTGTCAATTTTGTTTTTACTAATATCAGAAAATTATAGCTATACTGCCAATGCCAGGTCTGCTTAATTTGACTTAAGAGTTTAATATGACTTAACATTAAAAGCTCACACTACCCTGAAATATATAATTTCACGAATATGGTGACATTCAACATTCAAGTGCCATTGTGTTTGTACTGTCTTTTAGTCAAGTTTCTTTAAACTTTCAAAGAATCACTTTTAGGCTTACAAATAAATATTTGTCAAAATGTTCAATAAATATTACATAAAACTAGCAGCAAAAAGTATCTAGAAATCTGTCGTGTGCAAATAGTTTTCTTCCCAATGGTCCCAAATAAATTTTAGAAATCTAGTCCCATCCCCTTCCCAGACAAGCTGTGTTCAACAATCTCCAAGAGACAAAATAAGATTGGAAGTTTAAGGACATGCACACAAGACAAGAGAAGACGTATATGCATATATATCTTAATGTGCAATAAAAGAAGTACTTTGTACAAATTATGGACAATAAGTACAAGGGCCTAAACCTAGACTAATTAAATAGCACCATGACAAATGACCTCAATACTGTCAAGTGTACCTACTTAATAAAAGTTCTAGAACAAGGCACAATACACTTGAAAATCTACTGCACTTTAGGAAATTTTTGCCATTTTCCTATGCCACTGTAAAAAGACTGAGCGCTTTAATCACCACATTCTGGCCACAAAATTAGATCAGAATTCAAAGTGGCAGAGGCATTTTAGTGGTGAACAATGCTCATCTTTGGCCAGATTTAACTTAAATTGACTATAAATACAATGGAAACCTATGCAACTAAAACTGCGCTGTAGAGTAAATTGACACCTTGTGCAATTATGTACATATTTCCAACCTGTGTGAGCTTAAAGATTTCAGTTAGTTACTCTTCTGGAGCCATTTTTACAAAGTCTATAGTAAGCCAGTTTAGCATCTCAACTCAGCTTGAACAATCATGTGAATCAGCATTTAAAGTAAAGCCTGCTGCATAATTCTTCCTGTTCATACCCTCTTAACCAGAAAACATCAACACTAGCATGTGTTATTAGACCAAAAATCATCCAGGGCCCTAACGAGGGTTGGTCTTTGCTGTGGTCCCCATCTACCATTTCAATTTCATTTATGGCAGGCATTTAAAAAGTCTAAGCAGATGAGTTCTCCTAAAAACCTATTTCAAGTTACCGGATCTTTAAGCATTCCCTGTAATAGTATGCCCACATTTGGCTAGCTCATAGTTAATAATCTGCCTAAACACTGAAAGAGGAGTTGCTGTATTTACTTGAGTTAACTTTGAAGACAGTGTTTGAATGTATGCATGTATTCATACATCACCTCATCGTGACTGGAATGGCTTGTTTAAAGGCTGTGAGGTTACAAATACCTATCCAGGACAGAGTGAGAAAATCAGAACTTTAACTTAATACAGTTTGCAGCAGTAGAAACTAATTCCATTAATATACTTTACAAGATTTGTTGTTTGTTTTCCCCCAGTTTTCAAGTATCAAAAAGCCCTAATGGAGGCTACCAAATAGGTTTATCCTTAAAATATTTATGGATGAATCGATGGTTCCTATTAAGTTGTATCACACCTGTGTCCCAAGGTTTGACTTTAGCCCAAGTTCAGTAATTTTTTCAAAACAATTGATGTATTGAGCCAACAGGACATCAAAATAAAAAGTTATCTAAAGTTAACATTAACAAACAAATGATCCTCAGTCACAAAATTATAAATGCAGTTTGGGTTGGAGGTAGGCAGGAGGGGAATTAATCCAAACAATGGCAATGAAGTCTTCAAACCACCTTCCAAACAAGGTTGTTAATTGTTCTTTTTTTCTTCTTGTGGAACCTTGAGCTCCCTTAAAAAAGAAAAAATTAGTGGAGAATCACAGCTGGTAATATACTGCAAGTTCTTCAAGCTACACAAGGTATCATCCAGCTAAGTTACATATGGTTTCCATATTAGCTTGTTTGGCAGGATGACCTACTGCAAAGCAGGCTCAGTTACCCACCAGTCAACTCTCTGGGAGTTATAATTTCCTCCATATCTATTAGTGTTGCAAAAGCCTCCATAGCCACCTCCACCAAATCTTCTGCTGCTGCCGTGGCCACCTTCACCACTGTGTCTGCTGCTTGCATGGCTGCTGCTGAAACTGGAACGGCTGGCACCACTATTTTGTCAGTAGCCTCTGGCACCAAATCCTCCACTAAATCTGCCACTCTTAGAACGTCCACAATTACTACCCTGGTAGTGGTGTTCATAAGCCATATTTTCTAACCAAGATGGCACTTCTTGTTTAGCTTCAACAAGAAGATGCAACAAATCCTTAGTGATATTTATGTTCCCCTCATTAAAGAACGAGGTGGCCAGGCCAAGGTTTTCTACACATCTTGTATGGCCAATGCCATATACATATTCTTCAATATCACTTGGCAAATCAAAATTGATAACATGTTCCACATTTGAAAGGTCCAGTCCTCTTACTGCTACTGCTATAGCCACTAGCATTGGGCTTTTTCCTGAGGGTAACTGGTGAAGAGCTTCTTCCCTATCCCTCTGAGAATGGTGTCCATAGATACTGGTACATGACTATCCTTCATGGTATAAGATATCCTCTAGAGAATAAAAACCCTTTTTGGTCTCCATAAACCTAAGGTTAGTGCGTACTTGCCTGGGATCAAGTGGATGTATTAGGAGGTCAAGCAGAAACAACTTTGTCTGATTCTTCCACCCAAACAACTTTCTTTGTGATGTTCTCAGAGGTAGAGCCAACTCCTCCATACAGCCAATAAGGTATTAATATATTCATTGAAGAAATCATGAGCGAGCATCTGTATGTCCTTAGGCCAAGTAGCACTAAACATCATAGTTTGGTGGACACCCTTTGGAGGCATGGTATCTTGTTCAACTTTTCTATGTATCTGAGGCTCAAACCCCATATCCAACATCTGATCAGCTTCTTCTAACACCAAGTATTCATAAAAGTTTAATCCAATCTTTCCTCTTTCCATCATATCCACTAGATATCCTGGAGTGGCTAGTAGCAAGTGCCATCCACCTTCTAAGACTCAAATCTGCTGAACAATAACAGCACCACCATAAATCACACAAGGAGGAACTCTAGATCAGTACGAAAATTTTCTTGCTTTCTCATTGATCTGTATTGCCAATTCTCTTCTTGGGGCTAATACCAAGAAGATTGGGTACTGTTTGCTGCGCCCTCACCTTTAATTTTCCTTCATGGCCCTCAAAGCCTCCTTTGGACCATCTGAATACATCTGACTCAACATGGGCAAGAGAAATGCTGCAGTTTTCCAGACCCTGTTTGGGCACAAGCCATCAAGTCTCTTTTCTCTTTTCTAATAGTAACAGCATGCTTTTGCACTGGAGTCAGGCTAGTATAATAACCTCCATGTTTCCCATGATAGTTTCTCCCATCTCAACATCACTGAAACTTTCAATATGTGGAGGACAATTGCTGTCTGTTGCCTCAACTAGAATGTCATCGTATTTCTCAAAATTAATCCCAGTGTTGCCTCCAGAAAAGAGTTCCTGTTCCAGCATTCACTTGGTGGGAGTGGTTTTGACCAATCATCTTCATCTTATTTGTCACACCAGTGACTGTTTTCACCACATGCTAATTTGCCAAAGCCACTTCTGTCACAATGGCTGCCAGTGCCATCATAATCACTCCATCCATGATTATCAAACCCTCCCCTTGATCCACTTCCATGATCTCTGAAGAAGCTAGACTTAGTGCTTGAATCATTAGGAGATTCAAAACTGCTGTAGGCATCCTTATCTTTGCTAGAACGCCACCCTAAACTGTCTTTATGGTAGAATCCTTAGTAGCTGCTCTGTTCCTCAACGAAAAGGGATATAGTGCCCTTTGCTGGCTGTACTTCCCCCACTCTGATTATCTGAATAGGCCAGGTCTAGGCCAGCAAACTGCTGGTCCAGCCCAAGCACATTTTCAATCACCACATGACTCATCCCTGAAGAGTACCCAGGAGTCTTCCACTGCTGAGCTAATATGTTTGTTTCACTGCGAAGGCCCTCTCATGAAAGAACTGTAGCTCTATTTTATCTGTCTTTAACAGAAAATATGTGTAAGAAGGCAAAACAACTATGTTCAGTTTAGTAAGAGTTGTTAAAAGTTAACATTTATTTTGCCAAATATAATTTATTATCTTTAATCAGCCTCACACCTCATATTACCAACTTAAGCATTTAGTCAGTATTTTGAAAGTCATACATGGCTTATTAAACACAACTTAATGAACTAGAGTATTATCCCAATCTTATAAATGAAGAAATTAGAACAGAAATTTTAAGCATCCTGCCCAAACTACAGTTTGCTACTCATGAAACTAAGCTTTGCATCCAGGTAGTTTGACTCTAGAACCTACCCATGGCTTTAACTAATAGTTTCTGAGATGCAGCCACATGAACTTGAAGTAAATGCTATGTTTATCCATCTATGACTATCATAATAACCCTAGGAAACAAACAAGTGTTTTGCGTTCTGATGTTTTAATCTTTAAAGAGTAGACATTATGCATTTCGTGTAGTAGTTTTGAAGTAGATGAACTACCACCTATAAGTGTTTTTTTGTTGTTGTTTTGTTTTGTTTTTGAGATGGAGCCTTGCTCTGTCACCCAGGCTGGAGTGCAGTGGCGTGATCTTGGCTCACTGCAAGCTCTGCCTTCCGGATTCACGCCATTCTCCTTCCTCAGCATCCTGAGTAGCTGGGACTACAACGCGCCCGCCACCGTGTCCAGCTAATTTTTTGTATTTTTAGTAGAGACGGGGTTTCACCGTGTTAGCCAGGATAGTCTCAATCTCCTGACCTCATGATCCACCTGCCTCGGCCTCCCAAAGTGCTGGGATTACAAGCGTGAGCCACTACCTGGCCCACCTCTATGTGTTTTAAAGCACATAGTGTTTTCAGAGAAGAGGCTGATCAGATGAATGCTTAGACATTGTATGAAGCCTGGTTACCATGATCAATTAACCCCAGTTCTGGTTCTTATTCTAAGCCTTAGGGTGTCCCAGTATTGATTCCAAATTAAGATAGTTAAGCAATATTAACAAAGTTCCCAGAAACTGGAGAAAATATCAGAATACTGACTAGTATATTGTCTTCCTACATGGAAAGACAAATTTGAGAACTTATGAAAGAATAAGTATTATTATATAGTCATTTTCATTTATTTATTTTTTATATATTGTTCCTTGGATAAAAATTCTAATCTATGCCTGACAGACTTGATTAATATTGCATCTATCCTTGATGAATCTATCTTGTTGAACCATCAAAATGCAAGTTAACCTCCAGTTACATTTGTGAACAAATAATTTCACTACAATATAATAAATTATCAAAGAATATATATAGAGAGAGAGAGTGCCATGAGAGCAGGTTGGGGAGAGGACCTCTGCCTATGTCAAAGAATTGGTAGGAAAGAAGAGATAAACAGGGAATAATTTTCACAAAGAGATGCTTGAGCTGAATCCTAAAGAATAAATACAAATTATCTGAAGAGGAGAAAAAAGGCAAGCACAGAGAACAGAGTATGCAGGAACAAGGAAGCCTAAGTAATACACAATTTTTTTTCCACTAACTGCTAAATAACTTTCGAAGTTAAGAAAGCTAATGGTATATCATCAGGCACCAATAAAACTATCTTGAGATTTGACAATGCCAACTGAAAAATTTCTTCTGCAAGGCAGAGCCAGTTACCTTTTATAATATCAATTTAGATTCACACAAATAAAGACATTCTCATGTCTTCCTCGCATTCTTCTCAGATTCTCTCAGCCAGCCATCAAAGTCATTTGACTGGACACTAATCTGATTACAAATGATCAAAGCCTTTCCTAACTGTAACACGTCAGATCAAACTTGGTGTGCAGTGTGTTTCCTGAATCATTATTAGCAATGAAAAAAATTTTTTTTTAATTTCTACTATATACACAAGCTAGTACATAACATTTTGGCCCAGCAATACTAATGCAGTCATTTTTATTTCAGGAAGGCTTTTGATGAAATATTCAGCTTTGTTTTATTACCACAATTTTTAAAGCAATGTGCTCAGTTCATGTCTGAGACTTACCACTTCAGTTCAGAGAGGGAAATGTGGGAAACAATAAGGGTCAAGTATGAGTGGAGAGATAAAGGGCTTGAGGTACAGGGAGGGGAGATATAAAGATCAAGAACTGAGTGACACCAAGTTCAGAGTGAGGGGCAAAGTTGAAATGAAGATTATGTATGGAGTGTAGACAATCCCCTGTCTCAGAACATTGTCTACTGCTGGTAAGTAATTACTGACCACGGAATGACAAAAAGAACTCTGAAGCATTATTCCATTAACAAAATATCTTCCCATGTTTGTTAGTCATTAATATTTTAAAGTATATGCAGTGCAAAAATAACAACAAAAGTAGATAAAATTTTACTATGAAACTATATATAAACTAGTGTAGCTTTCCTGAAATAAAACTATTTTTATGTAGATATTACAGTTTGATGTTCGATGAGGTTTTTTAAACAGTGAAGTTGAGCACAGAAGCAAATAAGTTAAGCAATACTAATAAACAGAATAGTTTCCATTTCAATAATCTTATCCTATACATAAGGTAATTTTTTAATTGAAATGGATTTTGTCCTTATCCCTACCTTTGAATGAATCCCTTCCATTTCCACTTATGACTGAGAAGAGAAAATCAAAGGAAAAATAGAATCGAACAGTAGTAAACAGTCTGAAGTAAATGTTTTCATCTGTAACAAAAATAAAATAAAAAAGAAGAAAAAAAAGAATTAATAAACTGTCTGCCACCTCCCTCAAAGAAAAACCCTCTGGTATTTATTATTATTTTATTTTTATAATTTATTGTTCACTCCCTTTACACCAGGGCTTGTGCCAAGCACCAGAAATACCGTGAAGAATAAAATATATTGAGAAGATGACTTCATAGAATTTATAGTCGAGTAAAGGAGATAGTACTCAGATAATTATATGAACATGGAATGCAGATGCGTTCAAGAGTTGTAAAGGGAAAAATCAGGATAAGAGTGCATTGCAGGGAAACATAAGCCAATTTATGAGACCAGGAAGACTTTCCTAAGAAAGGGACATTTAAGAAGAAACCTAAGGTGATCCTAAAGTTGAGATCATCCAGAAGAAAAGAGATTATGTTTCCAGACAGAGAGAAAAGTATGTGCCAGTGCTCTGAGATGGGAGCTTGTCTTGTTTGTGAAAATAAAGTAGGTTAGCAGGGCCCCAGTATAACCAATCATGGAGTGTGCCATGACAGAAAGGCAGGGCCATGGGGTGCTTGTTATACTCCTGCCTATGACCATAAGCAATTGCACTATTGGATAGAAAACAGCTCACAAAATCTTACATTGACTTGTGAAAGGGAGATGAGGCCAATTTTCTATGGAATTCTGAGCTTATCAATTTGCCTTTGATTCCATAGATTATTTTTTACATAGTGCGATTAACAGGAAACAGTAACTAGAGGCTACAGACCAGCAGACACCACTAGTTTCAACTAACTATAAATAAGTACCTACCAAGAACATCCAATTTCCCACAACTCTACAGAGACTCTCTTGTCAAGGTTATCACGTTGCAGGTCTGATGATTACTTACCTTCTATGACAACTCAGCAGCATTTGTCAGAAATAATCACTTCCTTCTTGGAATGCTTCTCTCAGCTCATAACACTTCGCCTTCCTGGTTTTCTTCCTACCTCAATAGCTACTCTTCCAAGTCTCCTTGATGCTCCCTTTCCTCTGCTCCAACTCTCAATGTTGAAACGCATCTAAAGCTCAACCTTTTCTCTTCTCTATCTACACATTCTTCTACTCAGTCCCATGATGTTAAATGTCCTTATCGCCTAAATCTTTACCTCCAATTCTGATGTCTCACAGTTTCAGACTTACATATACAACATGATGTCTCCACTTCGATGCAGTCTTTACAGTCATCTCAAATGTAACATGGCCAAAGGGACCTTAATTTCCCCGACGTAGGGTAAGACCTAAACTTTCAAGTGCTGCCTTGACATTTTTAACTTTACAGGGCCCGAAAGGCCTATCTGTGAGTTCTCTTGCTGTCACCAGATATGCCCCTACTCAGTAGGAAATGTTCTCTGCCCAGCTAGTTCTTCCGTCAGCTGTTGCATTCTACCCTGTCCTCAACCTAACAGGTTTAATCTCCCGGCCAACCCATACAATTACTCAAGCAAAGCAATCCAATCCTTCTGCAGGAACCAGGGGACATCTCACCCTCCCATTACTAACAAAGCCTGCCTCCCACAGCCCAGTTCACTCAGCTCCTGAGTGCAACACCTGTGTGGCCCTTCACAGCATGCAGTGTGTTGTGGCTGGATGATCTCATCTGTCCAGTGTCAGGGGTTGTGTGCTTGAACATCTCCTATAATTTTGGGCACGAGATTCCTCCTTCACCAATGGGATGAATAGGAAGTGGTCATAACACCCCAAAACTAATTTTTCCTCTGATCTGCATCTTAATACATGGTGCTATCATTCAATAAGCTGTTTAAGCAGATAAATTCTCTTTCTTATTTTTCTCTCTTACCCACATCTAATCAGTCTGAAAGCCTTTTCAACTCTGCCTCAAAAACATAATCCCAAACTATCTGCTTCTCTCCATCTGCATTACCTTCTATGTTTACCTAATGTTATCTCTCATCAGAATCGCTACAGGGACACCCTAGCTGAACTCTCAGCCTTTACTTTTACCGTGAACAATTCACTGTTTACATAAAAGACATTTTTAAAAACTCTAGTAGTTTTCCATTACGCTTAAGATATGAATTCTTTCCCTAGCTTATAAAGTCTTAAATCATTTAATTCTGCCTGCCTCCTTAACTTATCTTGCCTTATGCTTCACATTACCCACTCATTTCAAGCACATTCAACTTCTCGTTTCCCTGGAACAGGATAAACTGATTTTCGTCTTTGGCTTTTTACACTAGCTGTGTTTTCTGCCTGAAAAGGGGCTTCTTCTTATCTTGTTATGGCTAGTTAATTACTATCATTCAGATCTCAGTTAAAACAAGAGCTCCTCTTAGCTATATGTCCTTATCTATATCATATCACCTTTTAATCTTCTTCATACATTTATTGCCATCTGTTATCTGTTTACTTACTTACTCATTTACTTGATATTTTTGCCCTCTACCAGGCTGGAAACTGGGGAGAGTCAATGCCTTGATTGGCTTATTCACCACTGCAATCTCAGTATCTACAGCCATGCTAGACACATAATGGGAAAATAATATATAATGGCTAAAAGAACAAATGAATGAATTAAAGTAATGCAATAATTAAAGCATAAATGTATGATTTATACAGGCCATTATTCAAATCCCATTAGCTATTTCGTGGAGATATTAGGAATTAAACTAGATATAATGAGTTTTAAATTTCTAAACATCTCCTAGAATATACTACCTACACAATAATATAAACTACTATCAAACCGTTCAGTTGGCTTCTCAAAAAAATCAGGAGACAACACAGAAAAGTAAAATTAGAATCATAAACTCCAATTCACTCAGATCATTTAATTGCTAGACAGTTTTTTTAAAAAACAGATTGAACAGAAATTGCATAACTTCCTTTTCAGCATCTAGTTCATAATCTATTTGTTAAATAATAGCACAAAAAATCTATAAATAAGAAGCATGTAAGAGATAAAGTCTTCACAACTTATTTGACTAAGTTGTAATCTTATTGGCTATTTTAAAGCATATCTCTCAAACTAGGCTTAAGGCTCACTACAAGTGTGTAGAAATATACGAAAGTCATAGTACCATTTCTCATGTCAAGGTGCTTGGAATCACAGTAAAGCAACTTAATATGCAATTTTAAACAGCTGAAACAGAATTTAACTTGCCTTACACTTTTGAGCTGTTATACAAATGCTATACATTTTACATTTTTGGAAAATAGTAGTCTCTGACAGTTATATTTCTGTGTGGTCAGTGATAATATACCCTTTGTCATTTCTAATTGTGTTTATTTGGATTTTAACTCTTTTCTTTTTTATTAGTCTAGCTAGTGGCCTATTTTATTATCTTATTCAAACACCAACTCCTGAATTTATTGATCTTTTGAATGGTTTTTCACATCTTAATCTCCTTCAGTTCAGCTCTGATTTTGGTTATTTCTTTTCTCCTGCTAACTTTGGGATTGGTTTGCTGTTGGTTCTCTAGTTCTTTTATTTGTGATGTTAGGTTGTTAAATTGAGATCTTTCTAACTTTCAGGTGTGGGCATTTAGTGCTACAAATTTCCCTCTTACCACTGTCTTAGCTGTGTCCCAGAGATTCTGGTATGTTTTATCTTTGTTCTCATTAGTTTCAGGGAACTTCTTAATTTCTGCCTTAATTTCATTATTTATCCAAAAGTCATTCAGGAGCAGGTTTTTAATTTCCATGTAATTGTATCGTTTTGAGCAATTTTCTTAGTCTTGATTTCTAATATTATTGCACTGTGGTCCAAAAGAATGGTTGGTATATTAGTTCTTTTTTATTTGCTGAGGATTGTTCTATGTCTGGTTGTGTGGTCAGTTTTAGAGTATGTGCCATGTGGTGATGAATGTATATTGATGAATGAAGAATGTATATTCTGTTGTTTTGGAGTGGAGAGTTTTATAGGTGTCTATCAGGTCCATTTGATCCAGTGCTGAGTTAAGGTCCTGAATGTCTTTCTTAATTTTCTGCCTTGATGATCTGTCTAGTCAGTGGGGTGTTGAAGTCTCCCACTAGTATTGTGTGGGAGTCTAAGTCTCTTTGAAGGTCTCTAAGAAATTGCTTTATGAATCTGGATGTTCCTATGTTGGGTGCACATATATTTAGGATAGTTAGATCTTCCAGTTGAATTGAACCCTTTACCATTACGTAATGCCCTTTTGTATCCTTTTTGATCTCCGTTGGCTTAAAGCCTGTTTTTTCTGAAATTAGGATTGTGACCCCTGTTTTTTTCTGTTCTCCATTTGTTTGGAGATTTTCCTTCATCTCTTTATTTTAAGCCTATAGGTGTCATTGCATGTGAGATGGGTCTTTGGAAGACAGCATACAATTGGGTATTGGTTTTTTATCCAGCTTGCTACTCTGTGCCTTTTAATTGTGGCATTTAGCCCATTTACATTCAGTAACATGTATCTAATAAACTTTTGTTAACAAGAAGAAGATAATTTTATTATGAAACATGATTTTCTCCATGGACTTGTGTATAACACTTAAACAAAACATTTATCAGAAATAGGTATTGAGCATTTTTCTCCAAAATTATTCCCCTTTACACTATCCCCAATGTATAACATATATGACAATAGAAAGTGCTTGATGATTTTAGGTTATAAGAGTATGTCAAATCCAACTTTTCACCAAAAATAAAATTCAACATTGGACTCAAGACTTTAACATTTAAAAGTAACTGCTTTGAACTTCCTTTTCTGTGTGAGATTTGAAATTTTTATGTTAGTTTAATGCTATATAGTACTCCATTGTATGTGTATGCCATACTTTTATCTATGGTTGATGGGAATTGAGGTGTTTTTAATGTGGACTATTACCAACAGTGATGCTATGAAATAGTCTTATACTAGGTTTTAGATGCATAGGTCATAGAGTTGTAGGAAATATGCATGTTCAGCTTTAGTAGGTATTGCCAGTTTTCAAAAGTGGTTGCAATAATTTACACTTCCACTAACACCATATGAAATTCCAATGGCTCCACATCTTCAATTACCTTTGTATTGCTGTAATTTTCTATGTTAGCCATCTTATCAGGTGTGTAAAAAATTACATTGTTGTTTAAATTTGTATTTTACTGATGACCAAAGCTAAGCACCTTTTAAAGTTGCTCACCTTTTAAAACAAGTATTGCCGCTTAAGGTGGATCACCTTTTAAAACACTTATTGTACAAGGTTACTCACTTTTTAAAACACTTACTACACCTATGGCATTTGATGATCAAAGTTGAGCACCTTTTAAATATTTATTGGCCATTTGGAGCTATTCTTTTGTGAGCACTTAACATTTTTGCTCATTTTTTTTAAATTGGATTACTTTTTTCTTCTAATTGATATGTAGAATATTTATATATATATTTTTTAAGTATGAATGCTTTATCAGTTATATACATTTAAGTATAGTCTTCCACTCTGTCACCTGAATTTTCTGACATTTGAGTGATATCTTTTGATGAACAATAGTTCTCAATTTTAATGTACTACAATTTACCAATCTTTTCCTTTATGGTTAGTACAGTGTCCTCCAAATAAACAATTGCCTACCCAAAACCCATGAAGATATTCTTCTTGGATTTCTTTTAGAATAGTCATTGTTTTACTTTTGACATGTAGATCTACATTCTGTACAAAATAATCTCTGTGTATAATGTGAGATAGGTATCAAAATTCATTTTTTGCACATATTTAATTGCTCGAACATAATTTATTTAAAAGACCAGCTTTTCTCCCACTGTATTGAAGTGGCATTTTGTTTTAAATCAGGTGGCAGTATGAAGATGTGCAGGTGTTTTTCTGGATGCTATTTTATTACATTGGTCTGTTTGTTTGTGTTTCATTATCACAATGTCTTGATTACTGTAACTGTATAGTAAAGTACTAATGTGTTAGTGAAACTCTTCCAACTCTTTTCTTTTACCTCGTAAAGACTGTCTTGGCTATTCTGAGTTCTACAAAGTTTTGAATTAGCTTTGCATTCTCAACAAGAAAATCTGATCAACTTTGAATGAGATTGCATTGAATGTAAGAATAAATTTGAGCAAAGTTGACATTAAAAACAATATTGAGTTTTTAATTCACAACCACTATATATATGTCCATTTACTTAGGTTTTCTATTCTCCCCAATAATGACTGATAAGTTTTCTGTGTAGAAGTAATTAAATTATTCATAATACTCCATTTCAGATGCTATATTGATTTTATATGAATTTTTAATTTTATCCTATCTCTTCTGGTATATAGAAACACAATTGATGTGTGTATGTTCATCTTGAATCTGGATGACTTGCTTCTTCACTCATATGTTCTGAAAATATGTCCATAGATTCTTTAGGGTATTCTACAAACAGCATCAGTCATCTGCAAATTGTGACAATTTCATTTCTTCCTTTCCAATTCTTTAACATTTCATTTTTCTCTTGCTTTTTTTCTTTCTCCATGTCTTATTTATTTATCTTAAAATATCTAATTGGCAAATAAAGATTGTGTATATTGAAGTTGTACAACATGATGATTTCATACACATATACATTATGCATTGATTGTCCCAATCAAATTAATGCATCCATCAGTACTCATGTTGTACAAGAGATCCCTAAAACTTAATTATCTTATAATGAAAAGCTTGTACCTTTAATAAACTTCTCCCCTTTTTCCCCACTTGCCAGGCCCAGACAACTACCATGCCACTCTCTCTTTCTACAAGTCAGACTTTCACAGATTCCAAGTATAAGTGAAATCATTCAAAATTTGCCTTTCTGTGCCTGGCTAATTTCACTTAACACAGTGTCTTGCAGGTTCATCTATATTGTCACAAATAGCAGAATTTTCTTCCTTTTTATGGCTGAATAATATCCCATGGTATATACCACATTTTCTTTATCCATACATTCAATGATTAACACTATGGTTGTTTCCATATATTAACTATTGTAGATAGGGCTGTAATAAACATGAGGGTGTAGATATATCTTCCAGATACTGATTTAATTTATTTTAAATATAAACACAGAAGCGGGATTTCTAAATCATACAGTAGTTCTATTTTTAATTTTTTAAGGAACCTCCATACTGCTTTCCATAATAGCTGTACTAATTTGCACTCCCACTCAAATATATGAAGCTTCCCTTTTCTCCACACCTTTGCCAACACTTGTTATCTCCTGACATTTTTATATTAGCCATCCAACAGGTGTAAAATGATATCTAATTGTATTTCTCATTTTAATTTTTTTGATGATTAATTATGTTGAGCATCTTTTTGTATACCTGTTGGCCATTTGTATACTTTGGAAAAATGTCTGTTCATTTATCCTATGCTGATTTTTTATAAGGTTGTTTTCTTGAGTTGTGTGAGTTCCTTATACATTTTGGAGATTAATCCCTTATAAGATACATGGTTTGCAAATATTTTCTCCCATTCTGTAAGTTGCCTTTTTATTTTATTGTTTTCTTTGTCATGCAGAAGCTTGTTATTTTGATGTAGTCTCACTAGTTTACTTTTGCTTTTGATAACTTTATTTTGGGTATTATATTAAAAGAATCATTAATAAGACCAATGCCAGAAGGCTTTTTTCCCATATTCTAGAAGTTTTTTGGTTTCAGGTCTTATATTTAGATCTTTTATCTATTTTGATTTTTATATATGCTATAAGATAAAGGTTCAATTTTATTATTTTGCATGTTGATAATTCAGATTTTTCTGTGTCCTTTATTTAAGAGAGTTTCCTTTCTTTGTTGTGGACTTTTGGCACCCTTGTTAAAGATTAGTAGACCATATATGCATGGGGTTATTTCTGAGCTGCCCTTTCTGTTCCATTAGTTTATGCATCTGCTTTTAAGCCAGAACGATACTGTTTTGATTACTATAGCTTAGTAATATAGTTTGAAATTTGGGAGTGTAATGCCTCCAGCTTTACTCTTCTTTTACAAGATTGCTTTGGCTATTTGGAATCTTTTGTGGTTCCATGTGGATTTAAGGATTGTATTTCTATTTCTATGAAAAATGCCATTGGAATATTGATGAGAATTGCACTGATTTGTAGATCACCTTGGGTAATATGGACATTTTAATAATATTAACTATTCTTATTCATGAAGATTAAATATATTTCCATTTATTTGTGTCTTCTTCAATTTCTTCTATCAATATCTTATAGCTTTTAGTGTACAGACCTTTCAGCTCCTTCACCAAATTTACTTTTAAGTATTTTATTCTTTTTCTTGTGTTTGTAAATAAGATCATTTTCTTAACTTCTTTTTCAAATAGTTCTTTGTTAGTGTATAGCTATGCAACTGATTTTTTATATTAATTTTGTATCCTGAATATCAAAACCAGATTAAGATGCCGCAATAAAAGAAATTACAGGCCAAAATCCCTAATGAACATAAATGTGAAAGACTCTCAACAAAATATTATCAAAGCAAATTCAGCAGCATACTTAAATGATCATACACCATGATTAAGTGGTATGGAAGGATGGTTCAGCATCACAAATAAATGTGGTAAACCAATTGACAGAATGAAAGACAAAAAACATATGATCATCTCAATAAATGCAGAAAAAAATTATTTGACAAACTTCAACATTATTTTATGATTAAAAAAAACTCTCAATAAATTAGGTACAGAGGGAATGGGCCACAAAATAATAAATGCCATTTTTGACAAGCCCTGGGCTAATATCATACTCAATGAAGAAAAGCTGAAAGCTTTTCCTCTAAGATCAAGAACAAAACAAGGGTTCCCACTCTCACCATTTCTATTCAGCACAATGCTGAAGGACCTGCCTAGAGCAATTAGACAAGAAAAAGAAACAAAAGGTGACCAAATTGGAAAGGAAGAATTTAAATTGCCCTGTTTGCAGATGACATAATCTTACATACAGAAAATCCTAAAAGCTCCATCTAAAAAACCTTTTAGAATAAACATTTTTTTTTTGCTATTTTTTACTAAGAATTCTAGCAAAATGCTCAACAGATCTACAGTATGTACAATATACAAAATACGTGTTAATTGCTTGTTTATGTTACCAATAAAGCTCTGGTCAACAGTAGGCTATTAGCGATTATGTTTTTAGGGAGTCAAAAGTCATATATCAATTTTTAGCTGTGCAAGGGGTTGGTGCCCCAACCTCCACATTGTTCAAGAGTCAACTATAATGATAGTGAATTATTGTTTTGCTCCCATTCCAGAAGAGAGGGTTATAATCATCATTGAACATACTGTACAGGACCCTTGCAATTACATTTCACCCACTAAGTTAATTGTCCATTAGCTTGTAATATATATGGTTATCATCAGTTCTTTTAATGGTTAGCCTAAAAATTACAATATTCATCCTTGACTTATTAATGTAGTATTTCTAGAGAACAAAGAGATCTTATCTTAATTTCATTTACCCCAAAGCTGAATTTGGTGATGAAACCAGGCACTTCTGATGGCTGAGGAAGAGCAAAATTTCAACTTGACAATCACAGATGACTGCTGAAGCAGATACAACCACTGAGGCAAAAATCTGATTGCAAGGAACCTGAACTCCCTGACTTGAACACCTGCAAAGGACAGGGATTAGGGCCCTTAGGTACACTACTCTGCACCCAGGAGTTACAAATCACTAACACTCTGAACTGTGACTTTTCTGGCGTCCCATTCAGATGATTTTTATGATGTATGTGGTTTTTATTTGCTCTGTGGGCTTGCACAAGCCATCCTAAGACCTTCATGGTAAAATTTCAATCCTGTCTCAAATTGACAGTTTAAACCCTTAATAAAGCCTTATATTTTAAAGCACACATACACACACACACATACATGTCAGGCCTCTGAACCCAAGCCAAGCCATCGCATCCCCTGTGACTTGCATGTATATGCCCAGATGGCCTGAAGTAACTGAAGAATCACAAAAGAAGTGAAAACGCCCTGCCCCGCCTTAACTGATGACATTCCACCATTGTGATTTGTTCCTGCCCCACCTTAGCTGAGTGATTAACCCTGTGAATTTCCTTCTCCTGGCTCAGAAGCTCCCCGACTGAGCACCTTGTGACCCCCGCCCCTGCCCACCAGAGAACAACCCCCTTTGACTGTAATTTTCCATTACCTTCCCAAATCCTATAAAACGGCCCCACCCCTATCTCCCTTCGCTGACTCTCTTTTCGGACTCAGCCCGCCTGCACCCAGGTGAAATAGACAGCCATGTTGCTCACACAAAGCCTGTTTGCTGGTCTCTTCACACTGACTCGAGTGAAATTTGGTGCCGTGACTAGGATCGGGGGACCTCCCTTGGGAGATCAATCCCCCGTCCTCCTACACTTTGCTCTGTGAGAAAGATCCACCTACAACCTCAGGTCCTCAGACCAACCAGCCCAAGAAACATCTCACCAATTTCAAATCCGGTAAGCGGCCTCTTTTTACTCTTTTCTCCAGCTTCCCTCACTGTCCCTCAACCTCTTTCTCCTTTCAATCTTGGTGCCACACTTCAATCTCTCCCTTCTCTTAATTTCAATTCCTTTCATTTTCTGGTAGAGACAAAGGAGACACGTTTTATCCGTGGACCCAAAACTCCGGCGCCAGTCACGGACTGGGAAGGCAGCCTTCCCTTGGTGTTAAATCACTGCAGGGACGCCTCTCTGATTATTCACCCATGTTTCAAAGGTGTCAGACCACGCAGGGACGCCTGCCTTGGTCCTTCACCCTTAGTGGCAAGTCCTGCTTTTCTGGGGAAGGGGCAAGTACCCCAACCCCTTCTCTCTGTGTCTCTACCCCTTCTCTGCTTTTCTGGGGGAGGGGCAAGTACCCCTCAACCCCTTCTCCTTCACCCTTAGTGACAAGTCCTGCTTTTCTAGGAGGCAAGAACCCCCAATCCCTTATTTCCACACCCTGACCTCTTATCTCTGTGCCCCAATCCCTTATTTCCACACCCCAACCTCTTATCTCTGTGCCCCAATCCCTTATTTCCGTGCCCCAACCCCCCTTCCCACTTTTCTGGAGGATAAGAACCCCCGAACCCCTTCCCTCCGTGTCTCTATGCTCTCTTTTCTCTGGGTTTGCCTCCTTCACTATGGGCAACCTTCCACCTACCATTCCTCCTTCTTCTCCTTTAGCCTATATTCTTAAGAATTTAAAACCTCTTCAACTCTCACCTGACCTAAAATCTAAGCATCTTATTTTCTTCTGCAATGCCACTTGACCCCAATACAAACTTGACAGTAGTTCCAAATAGCCAGAAAATGGCACTTCCAATTTTTCCATCCTACAAGATCTAAATAATTCTTTTCGTAAAATGGGCAAATGGTCTGAGGTGCCTGACATCCAGGCATTCTTTTACACAATAGTCCCTTCCTAGTCTCTGTGCCCAGTGCAACTTCTCCCAAATCTTCCTTCTTTCCCTCCTGCCTGTCCCCTCAGTCCCAACCCCAAGCATCGCTGAGTCTTTCTAATCTTCCTTTTCTACAGACCCATCTGACCTCTCCCCTCCTTGCCAGGCCAAGCTACGTCCCAATTCTTCCTCAGCCTCCGCTCCTCCACCCTGCAATCTTTTTATCACCTCCCCTCCTCACACCTGGTCCTGCTTACAGTTTCATTCTGTGACTAGCCCTCCCCCACCTGCCCAGCAATTTACTCTTAAAAAAGTGGCTGGAGCCAAAGGCATAGTCAAGGTTAATGCTCCTTTTTCTTTATGCCAAATCAGAAGTGTTTAGGCTCTTTTTCATCAAATATAAAAACCCAGCCCAGTTCATGGCTCGTTTGGCAGCAACCCTGAGACGCTTCACAGCCCTAGACCCTAAAAGGTCAAAAGGCCATCTTATTCTCAATATACATTTTATTACCCAATCTGCTCCTAACATTAAATAAAACCCCAAAAATTGGAATCTGGTCCTCAAACCCCACAACAGGACTTAATTAACCTCACCTTCAAGGTGTACAATAATAAAAAAAAGTTGCAATTCCTTGCCTCCACTGTGAGACAAAGCCCAGCCACATCTCCAGCACACAAGAACTTCCAAACCCCTGAACTGCAGCAGTCAGGCATTCCTCCAGAACCTCCTCCCCCAGGAGCTTGCTACAAGTGCCAGAAATCTGACCACCAGGCCAAGGACTGCCGGCAGCCCAGGATTCCTCCTAAGCCACGTCCCATCTGTGTGGGACCCCACTGCAAATCGGACTGTTCAACTCACCTGGCAGCCACTCCCAGAGCCCCTGGAACTCTGGCCCAAGGCTCTCTGACTGACTCCTTCCCAGATCTTCTCGGCTTAGCGGCTGAAGACTGACACTGCCCGATTGCCTCGGAAGCCCCCTAGACCATCATGGACGCCGAGCTTCAGGTAACTCTCACAGTGGAAGGTAAGCCCGTCCCCTTCTTAATCAATATGGAGGCTACCCACTCCACATTACCTTCTTTTTAAGGGCCTATTTCCGTTGCCTCCATAACTGTTGTGGGTATTGACGGCCAGGCTTCTAAACCTCTTAAAACTCCCCAACTCTGGTGCCAACTTAGACAATACTCTTTTAAGCACTCCTTTTTAGTTATCCCCACCTGCCCAGTTCCCTTATTAGGCTGAGACACTTTAACTAAATTATCTGCTTCCCTGACTATTCCTGGACTACAGCTATATCTCATTGCCGCCCTTCTTCCCAATCCAAAGCCTCCTTTGCATCCTCCTCTTGTATCTCCCCAACTTAACCCACAAGTATAAGATACCTCTACTCCCTCCTTGGTGACCGATCATGCACCCCTTACCATCTCATTAAAACCTAATCACCCTTACCCCACTCAACGCCAATATCCCATCCCACAGCACGCTTTAAAAAGATTAAAGCCTGTTATCACTGGCCTGCTACAGCACAGCCTTTTAAAGCCTATAAACTCTCCTTACAATTCACCCATTTTACCTGTCCTAAAACCAGACAAGCCTTACAACTTAGTTCAGGATCTATGCCTTATCAACCAAATTGTTTTGCCTATCCACCCCGTGGTGCCAAAACCATATACTCTCCTATCCTCAATCCCTGCCTCTACAACCCATTATTCTGTTCTAGATCTCAAACATGCTTTCTTTACTATTCCTTTGCACCCTTAATCCCAGCCTCTCTTCGCTTTCACTTGGACTGACCCTGACACCCATCAAGCTCAGCAAATTACCTAGGCTGTACTGCCGCAAACCTTCACAGACAGCCCCCATTATTTCAATCAAGCCCAAATTTCTTCCTCATCTGTTACCTATCTTGGCATAATTCTCATAAAAACACACATGCTCTCCCTGCCATTCTTGTCAGACTGATCTCTCAAACCCCAGCACCTTCTACAAAACAACAACTCCCTTCCTTCCTAGGCATAGTTGGTGCAGTCAGAATTCTTACACAAGAGCCAGGACCGCACCCTGTAGCCTTTCTGTCCAAACAACTTGACCTTACTGTTTTAGCCTAGCCCTCATGTCTGCGTGCAGCGGCTGCCGCTGCTTTAATACCGTTAGAGGCCCTAAAAATCACAAACTATGCTCAACTCACTCTCTACATTTCTCATAACTCCCAAAATCTATTTTCTTCCTCATACCTGATGCATATACTTTCTGCTCCCTGGCTCCTTCAGCTGTACTCACTCTTTAAGTCCTACAATTACCATTGTTCCTGGCCCGGACTTCAATAAGGCCTCTCACATTATTCCTGATACCACACCTGACCCCCATGACTGTATCTCTCTGATCCACCTGATATTCACCATTTCCCCATATTTCCTTCTTTCCTGTTCCCCACCCTGATCACGCTTGATTTATTGATGGCAGTTCCACCAGGCCTAATCGCCACACACAAGCAAAGGCAGGCTATGCTGTAGTACAAGCCACTAGCCCGCCTCTCAGAACCTCTCATTTCCTTTCCATCCTGGAAATCTATCCTCAAGGAAATAACTTCTCAGTGTTCCATCTGCTATTCTACTACTCCTCAGGGATTATTCAGGCCCCCTCCCTTCCCTACACATCAAGCTTGAGGATTTGCCCCCACCCAGGACTGGCAAATTAGCTTTACTCAACATTCCGGAGCCAGGAAACTAAAATACCTCTTAGGCTGAATAGACACTTTCACTGAATAAGTAAAGGCCTTTCCTACAGGGTCTGAGAAGGCCACCGCAGTCATTTCTTCCCTTCTGTCAGACATAATTCCTCAGTTTAGCCTTCCCACCTCTATACAGTCTGATAACAGACCAGCCTTTATTAGTCAAATCAGCCAAGCAGTTTTTCAGGCCCTTAGTATTCAGTGAAACCTTTACATCCTTTACGGTCCTCCGTCTTCAAGAAAAGTAGAATGGACTAAAGGTCTTTTAAAAACACACCTCACCAAGCTCAGCCACCAACTTAAAAAGGACTGGACAATACTTTTACCACTTTCGCTTCTCAGAATTCAGGCCTGTCCTCAGAATGTTACAGGATACAGCCCATTTAAGCTCCTGTATAGATGCTCCTTTTTATTAGGCCCCAGTCTCATTCAACACCAGACCAACTTAGACTGTGCCCCAAAAAAACTTGTCATCCCTACTATCTTCTGTCTAGTCATACTCCTATTCACCATTCTCAACTACTCATACATGCCCTGCTCTTGTTTACACTGCCGGTTTACACTGTTTCTCCAAGCCATCACAGCTGATATCTCCTGGTGCTATCCCCAAACTGCCACTCTAAACTCTTGAAGTAAATAAATAATCTTTGCTGGCAAGGCTAGGCTGAACCTCCTTGGGCACTCTCTAATCAGATGTCCTAGGTCCTCCCAATTCTTAGACCTTTTATACCTGTTTTTCTCCTTCTCTTATTCCATTTAGTTTTTCAATTCATACAAAACCGTATCCAGGCCATCACCAATCATTCTATACGACAAATGTTTCTTCTAACAACCCCACAGTATCACCCCTTACCGCAAGATCTTTCTTCAGCTTAATCTCTCCCACTCTAGGTTCCCACACCGCCCCTAATCCCACTCAAAGCACCCCTGAGAAACATCGCCCATTCTCTCTCCATACCACCTGCAAAAATTTTCGCCGCCCCAACACTTCAACACTATTTTGTTTTATTTTTCTTATTAATAAAAGAAGGCAGGAATGTCGGGCCTCTGAGCCCAAGCCAAGCCATCGCATCCCCTGTGACTTGCATGTATATGCCCAGATGGCCTGAAGTAACTGAAGAATCACAAAAGAAGTAAAAAGGCCCTGCCCTGCCTTAACAGATGACATTCCACCATTGTGATTTGTTCCTGCCCCACCTTAGCTGAGTGATTAACCCTGTGAATTTCCTTCTCCTGGCTCAGAAGCTCCCCGACTGAGCACCTTGTGACCCCCGCCCCTGCCCACCAGAGAACAACCCCCTTTGACTGTAATTTTCCATTACCTTCCCAAATCCTATAAAATGGCCCCACCCCATGTCCCTTCGCTGACTCTCTTTTTGGACTCAGCCCGCCTGCACCCAGGTGAAATAGACAGCCATGTTGCTCACACAAAGCCTGTTTGCTGGTCTCTTCACACGGACTCGAGTGAAAATACACACGCACACACACACAAATGGACATTTACCCCACTCCTGCTTTTGTGCTATTGTGGTCATGCATAGTATTTCTTTTTTGCTGTTGTTTTTCTTGTTGTTTTCACTGTCATACAGGTATTTATGATGGAAACAGAATCAGAGTCTGACCTTCCTGACTTGAAGTACAAGGTTTTTGGGGTTTTTCATTCGTGTTTTATGTGTTTTTTAAAAAATTATTTGTGTTTTTAATCGACAAATAAAAACTGTATACACATATGCTTCCTGATTTATAATGGGGATACATCCCAAGAAACCTACTGTAAGTTGAAAATAATGTAAGTCAAACATGCACTTAGTAAACCTAGCTTACCAAACATCATAGCTTAACCTAGCCTAGGTTAAACATTCGTGGGACACTTACATTAGTCTACAGTTAGGCAAAATCATCTAATACATAGCCTACTTTCTAATAAAGTTATTAGAAAGGATTTTTATTCAAAAATCAAAATATGGTTTCTACTTAATGTTTATTGCTTTCACATCATCGTAAAGTGGAAAAATATAGGTCAAGCCATCGTAAGTCAAGGAATGTTGGTATATCGTAATGGTGTACATGATATTTTGAAATATGTATACTTTAATAGCTATAGTGAGCTAATTAACATATGAATTGCCTCACATTCTTATCATTTATTTGTGGTGAGTAGATATAAAATCTACTCTTTTAGCAATTTTTAAGTATGCAATACACTATTGGAAGGGTCTCTGGCTAAGTTAGTTTTCTTTCTGAACGGACATTTCTCACTAACAAGTGCAGAAATTCCCTGTGAACAGGGGAAGCGGTAATGCTGACAACAAAACTCAGATGTAAATTTAGAATAAAAAAGGGCTCATGGTTGACTGCTTTGGGCTATACTTCCATAATCTCTCAAAAAAAAAGTAAGGTATTGTCCTCTGGAGTATTTTGATGGAAAATTTTAGGAAGACTTGATAATCTGTAAAAGTTGTAGGCTTGAGATCCTAAAAGATCTGTATCTAAATTCATGTATTCTACAGAAGTTTACTTAATTACTCCAGGTTTATTTTTCCTTACTTGTGAGGTAAATGTTGTAATACACATCTACCTCACAAAGGTGTTGTGAGAATTCAATGATATGTTATTTATAAAGAAAGTATTGATTACCTTCCTTCTGTCCCAGTGATAGATCACAACAAGAGATCATGAAGAGGGCATGGCCGCCATGTCATTCTGGAGAGAGACAGAGTAAAACAAAGAAGGTGATGGGTAAAGCGCAGTCGCCTGCTATATATTGTCTATTTTTGGTTTTTCACTTACCTTTTATATTTATGCCTTTTATGTACAACAGGATTATAAGCAGCTTGAGTCCAGTGAATATACCATTTCATTTTGCTATCCTTCACTGCACTTAGCTTAGAGGAAATAATCACAGCTTATTATTGATTAATTAATTAATAGATGAATGGTGAACAGATGATTATCATCCCAAGAAATGGGATTTTTTTAATTCTGGGCAACTAGGAAAGTTTTTAGCTACAGAGAAATATTGACATGGGCAACAACTTCATCTTACAGCAAAAAGTCCTTTTTTTTTTTTTTTTTTTCTTTTTGGAGACAGAGTCTTGTTCTGCAACCCAGGCTGGAGTGGAGGGCAGTGGTGTGATCTCGGCTCACTTCAACCTCCGCCTCTTAGGTTCAAGTGATTCTCCTGCCTCAGCCTCCCGAGTAGCTGGGACTACAGGCATGCACCACCGCGCCCAGCTATTTTTTGTATTTTTAGTAGAAATGGGATTTCACCATGTTAGCCAGGCTGGTCACGAACTCTTGACCTCAGGCAATCCACCTACCTCGGCCTCCCGGTGTGCTGGGATTACAGGCATAAGCCACCATGCCCAGCCCAAAAAGTCATTTTATTTATTTTTTAAAAAGATATTGCCAAGTTTGAGAGGGAAAAATGATTCATTTTACAACTGTGACTAGTACCAGATCACAGATAACATATGTATAAAAAACTTGCCTTTGTGGTAGTAACAGAGGCAGTTGGAAGAAAGCAAGCAGAGAAAACGACCAACTGTTGAAGCTTTTATCACCACTTTGTTCAAACATGCACTAGAACAATTTGGAATGGTATTAATTTTCAACTTAAACCTATAATGTAATATCTCAAGAATTGTTACAGAAAGACTGAGTAAATATATACGAGAAAGAGCTCTATAATTTAATTATATTATATATTAGAGAAAGAGCTCTATATTCCACTATAACATGTGATTTAGGCATACCTCTCTCCTAGAAGAAAATGCAATTCAAGAGGCAAATTCATGATTTCTTTTTCAGTGGGTTGGGTGGGCTAGCTTACACTAACTTTCAAAAACTCAACTTATGACCAAAATTCTACAAAGAAGTTTTATGACTCAGGATGTGTGTGTTAATGTGCTTATTTTAACAGCAGCCTCTCTACAAGTCTCCTAACTTAACCTGATGGGAAAACACTTCCTACCACTAACAGCATCTACTTGATTACTGATACTTTGATCATGGAGTTTGGGCATGCCACTTGATAGAAATTTGAAGAGCAATTATATTTTTCAAAAAGAGTTTTGAATAATGTTAAGATAGATTGCAACATGACTATCAATTCTTCCCTTCCCATCAAAGGAGAGAGTCCGTTTATCCAGCCTTTGAATCTTGATTATTCATGTGACTTGCTTCACCCAATGTAACATTAATAAGCACAATACAAGCAGAGGCTTGCCAAGAACTTGGTTTGTTTCTAATGCTTAGAAGAAGAATGGTGTATGCCATATTTCTGCATTTAGAACTCACGTGGAGACATGTGTGGCCCAATTGCTTCTCTTTCATCTCAGGCAATAACCAGACACGGGACTGAGGCCATCCATGACCAGCCAGCCCTAGCCAACACACAACACACAAGCTGATCACAGATGCATGAGTAAGCCTGAGACCAGCCAAGACCAGCCTAGAATAGAACTGCTCAGCAGCAATAAAAACTAAATAAATTGTTACCTTAAGCTACTTTTAGAGCTATTTGGAAGTGTATTTTTGTGCAGCTAACATTTACTAGCAGATAAAATGGTGATTGTTTATCTCTGTTTTATTGATGTTTTAAGGAAATTGTTTCTATTAAAAGGAAATATCTGGTCTTTGTCACGTTAAATCAGGTTTAGCCTGAAGTTGTCTCCTTAAATTTGCGGCACAACTCCCACCCTGCAATACTTCAAATTGTTTCACCTTTTTTGACAGAACCAAGGTATATCTTAAATGTACTTGATTGATGTCTCATGTCTCCCTAAAATGTATAAAACCAAACTGTGCTCTGACTACCTTGGGTACATGTTCTGAGGGTCTCCTGAAGGCTGTGTCACAGGCCATGGTCTTTCATATTTGGCTTAAAACAAATCTCTTCAAATATTTTATGTAGTTTGACTCTTTTCCTCAATAGAACTCATCATTTAACCAGTTAAGTATTTTGAGTTAGTTTGGGATTAAACACGAGAGTTTTGACAGGGAGCTGAAACAATAGTAGTTTCATCAAAAGTTGATTCTTGGTGCATGTAATTTTCTATTACAGTGAACACAGATAATAATGATGCATATGTCTTTACCTAGATTAGAGAAAGGAAGAGAAAAAATAAAAATTTTGGAAATGAGATAAAAAGATATTGATCTCACTGATGTTTCTGAATCTAAGACTGAACTCAATTATTAGTTGTATTTACTGCTTATTAGATTTACTAAGAAAGTTCTTTAAGGTACTTACAGCCCTAAAATTATTTGCAATATTCAATAGCAAGGGACTTAAATACAGTCCTGATTACTCCATCACAAAATGCCAAAAACAATTAGGATCTTAAAGGAACTACCCAAATAGGTTTAAGATATCACTCAGGCCATAAAAATGTTTTTAAAATTCACATCACAAAATAGCCAAATGACATATCAGAAACAAAAGCAAAAAAGTCATCCTAATTCAAGGCAATTACTTTAGCAATTCAAAATAAAATGTTAAAAGTGACCAAAAAACAAATGCAAAATATTTTAATGACTTTAAATGGCTGTATAATTTCCTCATCACTTCACTTGGCAGAGTTAAGATGGCATTTAACCTAAGTTCACATCATTAAAAAAAACACTGCACCATGATGCTTTTCTTAATATGCATTCTCAAATTAGCATACAGAGAAAAATGAAACTATAGTAGAGACGTAAATTTAATCCCTATTTAGGTCACTAGGCATTTATTAGCCCCACCACAGGTTAATACACTTGCATTTGCATCTGTTTCTAAATGCTAATTATCTGACCTCAGAACACTCACTTATGGGCTTCATTTATTGAAAAACAAATCCCTATGATTTGATCGTAGAGTAACTTTTAATGTCTAACTTTACGTAGTATATTACAGTTTTCAAAACATTTTTATAAAAAGTATTTTGTTTATTTACAGCAACTATATATCATAGATATTAATGTGTATATTTTGCATTTAAGCAAGTTGGAGTTCGTAAGGTTGAATTACTTGAAATGTACAAATAGATAGTAGTGAATATTTAAAGTACATTTTTAAAAATATGACCCAGAAAAATAGGTGGCATTTAAGAAATATAAGCATGGTATCTATCTTACATGTATATTAGGAGTGGACAGTTTTCTAAGATTAGAAGCAAACAGTTGTCAAGCAAGGGTTCTAATTTTTGTAAGTCTTGTGGGAAAGAAAGATAATAGAGGGTTTCATTGCAAAGATATAAAACTACTCTAGATAATTTAAGCAAAAACTAATCTAATAAATTGGGTTTTCCAAATTATTGAAACACCTTGAGAACTAGTGCCTGGGTAGGCCTGGAGAAATGACTCCAGGAACAGCATTACAGAACTCACCTGCCCAGTGGTAACAGTGCCCAGATTGCTCTTCTCCATTATCCAGCCAGAGTTCCAGATCAGCCTGAATACTTCACCTCTGGGAAGACTTTGCAGAACCTCCAGATTTATGCCACCTCTATAACCTGTGTAATATTATTACAATGCATATTATGTTCTATTTCACTTACAGTCAGCCCTCCTTATCTGTGGGTTCCACAAACATGGATTCAACCCACAGTAAAATGAAAATATTTGGGGAAAAAATTAATGTTTGAGTCTGTATTGAACACGTAGACTTTTTCTTGTCACTGTTCCCTAAACAATACAGTATAACAACTATTTACATAGTATTTACATTATATTGGGCATTATAAGTAATTAAAGATGATTTAAGTATATGGAAAGATGTATATAGGTTATATGCAAGTACTGTGCCATTTTATATAAAGCACTTGAACATCACAGATTTTGGTATCAATGAGGGGTGCTGAAACCAATTGCCCATGGATACCAAGAGACAGCTATATTTGTTTCAATGTGTACCTCTCCTTCTAAACTCAGTTCTTAAGCATATAGTATCTTTATAGCTATACACCTAGTGTCTATCAGACCCTAAACTATGGTAGGCCCTCAATACATTTTATTGTTATAGGTAGATAGATAGGCATGAGTAGGGCAGGAGAGGGCTCTCCCTCCACCCACTAGAAATGTCAAGTGATGTTTTAAAAATTGTCACACTGCCTCTCAGAAAATGATAATTCAGCAACCGGGGAGAGACAATCTTCTGATGGTCCACACCTATTAACATTAAAGTGTTATTAAAGGCAGACCCCAGAAAGAAGAAACTTACTGGGCATGCACATTAAGAGATAAAAACGGCAAAATATTATCTTCCACGTACCCACAACTGGAAAAAAGGAAGAAAGCTTCAGGTGGGCATATGTACTCTTCCTAAACACACTGCGCATGCTCACTTCCCAACTGTAGAGAGGGCTCTGCACATACGGGAAGAATCTCGGGAAAGAGGTGAACCTATAAAAGGCCAAGAATCATGGTTGAACGGGACATTTGACCTTCTCTCTTAAACCTTCATGTGCCTGCTTGGGTCTCTTCCAACTGCACCTTCCTTTCTTTCCTGTTCTAAGGCCTTTTTAAATAAACTTCCACTCATGCTCTGAAACTTGCCTCAGTCTTGTTTTCTGCTTCATGTCCCTCAGTCAAATTCTTTCTTTTGAGTAGACAAGGGCTAAAGTTGCTTGCAGACGTATACAGATTTCCTACTGGTAACTTGGGATAACTTAGATCTCTGCCACTACTAACAGTATTAAATCTTTATTTCATATCAGTCATAATTTTAAGCATTTTACATGAATTAACTTATTTAATACTCATAATTTCCCTGTGAAAGAGGTCTATAAGGAAAATGGCTGTTCTTCAGTCAGGAGTAGGCCAAGGTAGACATCCAGTACAGTATGACACAGCAGGTTTGGAGCCCAGGAGCACAACCCCATGCATTACCTAGTGCCCTTATGTGCCTGCCACTGTTATCCCCACATTGCCTAGACACTCACATAACTGGAAGGGACAATGTTCCTGGTTTTTGCAAATCCAGCAAGCCCCCTGGTGGCTCTACCCCTTAGCATTAACCATCCCTGGAGCAGGTGTCATAACTGTAGAAATGTAAGTTACAGCCCTTGCAGAGCACAATGCTCAAGCCTTGAATAACACCTGAGTTGCCTTCGTTCTATTAACAGATGAGGTTGATCAAACCAGGAAGGTGGTACTGCAGACCCGTATGGCCCTAGACATATTAACTGCTGCCCAAGGTGGCACCTTTGCTCTTTTGGGACCACAGTGTTGTACCTTCATCCCTGACAATCAACAAAACATAACAGCAGCTTTTCAAGGAAATCAAAGCAGTTGAGAGCCTTACTCATGAATCCCTACAGATATGGTGGGTCTCTGGGCTCTGGCCCATGCTGGATCCTAATAATAATGGGCAGCATAGCGGGAATATTAGTCATGGGTGTTGCTTCCTGTATTGCTGCTGTGGCCTCTGGGTCCAGGGTTCTGCCCTGCGGGCATGTTTCCCCACTACGAGAACTCCCTCAGCATAGGGGGTGGAGTGTAAGAAAATGGCTGTGCTTCAGTCAGGAGTGGGCTGAGGTAGACATCTGGTACAATATGACACAGCAGGTTTGGAGCACAGGTGCACAACCCTGTGCATTATGTAACCATTTAATGTAACCTGTTTGAGCTCTTACCTGGCTTTGAGCTACTATTGCCTGTGAATAATATAACTGCACTGCTGACTCTGTAGGAGAGAGAGAATAAAGCCATGTCCCAACTTTCTTTTTTTTTTTTTTTTTTTGAGACGGAGTTTTGCTCTGTCGCCCAGGCTGGAGTGCAGTGGTGCGATCTCGACTCACTGCAAGCTCCGCCTCCCGGGTTCACGCCATTCTCCTGCCTCAGCCTCCCGCGTAGCTGGGACTACAGGCGCGCACCACCATGCCCGGCTAATTTTTGTATTTTTAGTAGAGACGGGGTTTCACCGTGTTAGCCAGGATGGTCTCAATCTCCTGACCTCATGATCCACCCGTCTCGGCCTCCCAAAGTGCTGGGATTACAGGCGTGAGCAACTGCGCCCGGCCCATGTCCCAACTTTCTACAATCCCTCAAGAGTTCTTTCGGCTACCTGCCACCCATCCCCCAATTCCTCTCAGACCCCAGCTCAGGTTAGAACCTGACAAGGTTTAATTTGAATATAGGCAGTCTAGATCCAGAGTTCACATGCTAACCATCAAGGTACCTTTCCTCATTGTAAAGATAATGTCTCCCAAAGATCACACCTTTAGAAGGTTAGAGGAAAAGCAATAACAAAAATGAATGGAATAACACTACATAAGAAGACTGAAGCTCCAAAGATTCAATCAAGCTGTAGAGATTAAGCTAACTTAATGGAACTTTACAGGAAAGATTTAAGGAGCACATATTGATGCAAATAGTCATCTATCACAGATGATTACTTTTTTACAATCACGCACAGAAAAAGCTAGAGCCTTTTTTTAAAGGCTTTAAATGTGACACTCAAAATAATTCAGATATGACAGGTCATGATTTAACGTGCCTTTTGAGCTCACCGCTCCCTGATATAAAGCTTAATTAAACAAAGTGCGTTATTGTTTTCGTTTTGTTTTGTTTTGCCTTTTTTATGATTTTTATTTTAAGTTTGGGGTACATGTGCGGATTTGTTATGTAGGTAAACTTGTGTTATGGAAGGTTGTTGCAGGTTTGTGAGTGGAGCTTTGGAGAAGCATTGCTAGAAAATGCAGTATTTCAGGAAGATAAGAAAAAAGGGCTATTGTCTTTTTTAAACAGTTAAATATTTTTAAATAAATGTTGGGTATTAAGAGGACTGAAGAATAAAAGCAATAAGAGAGTAACCAATTCTCTCTTTCTCCATTTAAAATATGATTTCAGTGAGAAATTCCTAAAAAGATAAGCAGCATGACAAAGAAGACAAAGGGAAGATGCCAGACAACCTGGAAATTGGATAATGGAGACCCAGGGAGGGTATAAAAGAGAAACTACTTTGTAATAATTTATATTGATTATTCCTTTCAATAGATTTTGTGGAGTAGTTCAATATTCCCATAATCCATTCTTTGTCACCTGAAGGAAAGGTGAATGAGATAGCTCAGAAGTTCCATAACAAGGCAGTGGCAGGTTTGAGACCATTGCTTTGTGTTTCTTAATTTACCTGCCTTTTGTGTGTATGATGAGGATTCCTGCCCTCTTAGCCACTAGTAAAAAAAAGAGATAAAAAGTATCAAGGTTTTTTTTTACTATCAAATTTTCTTTTTTAACTTGGCCATCTCTGTCACCAAATACATTCTTACACAGATATAGTCTTAAAATTTGTACATAGTACAAAGCTATCCACAATATTTGTGTTGAATACAACACATGTATATACAAGCAAGAAACTAACATGAATAACAAGTGATGAGCTAAAGATTCATTCTCAATTAGCCTTTTGTTTTTATAAAGGGTGTGTGGCTGTTTTTCATGTCAGTGATCGTTGGTGTGAAACCAATATAGAGTCAGGAGAACATACTCATTGTAATCATACATAATTTAGGACTAGATGATGCTTTTTCAACTTCATTGTGTATAAAATAGATTTAATTATGTTGAAGATGATGTACAGAAATGAGTTACTTAGTTACTGAATGAACTAGCCAAAATTTCAGCATTCATATCTCATCAACTGTTGCTATTTATCATTCAAACCTTTAGTAACTCTCAGGAATCTGAACTTTACTGACTTATGTGAGAAATGCACAAGCCACAGAAGTATTCACAAATTTAGAAATCTACTAAGCTCTCAGAATATGTATTTGCAAGATAAGGTGAACTTTTATCCCCTGGGACAAACCTGTGTTACACTGATTGACTCAGCATTATAATTAGTAGTGCCCTTTCACTATTGATATGCTCTTTATTAGATGATGGATTAAATGGCTTTCTGGGTCATTGATTACAAGATTCTATCTTATAACCATATTTTAATATTAAATATTTATCAAGATGTTCATGTACTATATCAGCAAAAAATTACTAAATGTATATAAGGTGGTTTTGACCTTGCCACTCAATTATTTACTAAAAGACTAAGATGCTCTCTCAAGTAAATACCTCGCTTTGGTAAAGTTCCATTACTAAAACTCTCAAGTATCTGAACTTTTCATTATGCTTCCCTATACTTCTTTTTCAATCCAGTTTGTCAGTGCCTGTTCATAGCCTAATAGAGCAGTTCTCACAGTATTAGGGGTCATCAACACTCTGTCAGTGCGTACACGACTATTTTTAAAATAAACTAAAATGCTGTTTGTCTTTTTCACTCTTATTCTCTAATGAGTGTCTGGTACAGTTTTCCAGAGGTTACATGATGTGTGATGATATCATCACTCTGATAGCTAATGGAAAGTATGACTGTATATTCTGTAATGTTCCAGGAGTTTCTGAGGTTTAGGTTTAGGTTATAAAAGGGGGCATATGTTCAGAGATTAACTCAATTTTTTCTCAGTACTTCTATTGTGTTTTTACTAAGTACCTTTTCTTATATTTGCTATAATCTGTATAAACTTATTGTCATACAATAAATCAATATTTTAAAATCCCAATGATTTCTTTATGACTACACAAAAACAAGTAGTAATCTTGTTTTTCAAAAATGTTTGTAAATTTGGTGAAAGTTTTCTATATTTTATGTGGAGCTGTTATTATCTTAGCATTTTAACGTATGTAATTCCAAAATTAAAAATGCATATTTATTTTTTTTCCATCAATTTTATTTTAAGCTCCGGGGTACATGTGCAGGATGTGCAGGTTTGTTACACTACACAGGTCAACATGTGCCATAGTGATTTGCTGCAAGGATCAACCCATCACCTAGGTATTAAGCCCAGCATCCATTACCTATTCTTCCTGATGGTCTCTCTCCCTCCACCACCACCCCCCAACAGGTCCCAGTATGTGTTGTTCCCTGCCATGTGTCCCATATGTTCTCATCATTCAGCTCCCACTTATAAGTGAAAACATGTAGTGTTTGGTTTTCTGTTCCTGCGTTAGTTTGCTGAGGATGACGGCTTCCAGCTTCATCCATGTCCCCACAAAGGACATAATCTCATTTCTTTTTATGGCTATATAGTATTCTATGGTGAGTATGTACCACATTTTCTTTATCCAGTCTATCATTGATGGGCAATATGGGTTGATTCCATCTCTTTGCTATTGTGAATAGTGCTGCATTGAACATACATATGCATGTACTGTATCTTTATAATAGGATGATTTATACCCTGTAATGGGATTGCTGGGTCAAATGGTATTTCTATCTTACAACCATATTTTATCTTATATCACCTGTATATTAAGGTATTTCTATCTTATAACCATATTTCTAGATCTTTGAGGAATTGCCACACTCTTCCACAATGGTTGAACTAATTTACATTCCCAGCAACAGTGTATAAGTGTTCCTGTTTCTCCACAACCTCACCAGTGTCTGTTGTTTCTTTACTTTTTAATAATTGCTATTCTGATTGGTATGAGATTGTATCTCATTGTGGTTTTGATTGGCATTTCTCTAATGATCAGTGATGTTGAGCTTTACTTCATGTGTTTGTTGGCTGCATGAATGTCTTCTTTTGAGAAGTGTCTGTTCATGTCCTTTGCCCACTTTTTAATGTGGTTGTTTGCTTTTTTCTTGTAAATTTCTTTAAGTTCCTTGTAGACACTGGATATTAGACCTTTGTCAGATGGATAGATTGCAAAAATTTTCTCCCTTTCTGTAGGTTTTCTGTTCACTTTGATACAACAACAGCAAAAAAACCCTTCAGGCCAATATCCCTGATGAAAATGAATGTGAAAAATACTGGCAAACCAAATCCAGAAGCACATCAAAAAGCTTATCCACCACGATCAAGTTCAATTCATCCCCACAATGCAAGGTTGGTTCGACATATGCAAGTCAATACATGTAATTCGTCACATAAACAGAACTAAAGACAAACACTGCATGATAATCTCAATAGATCCAGAAAAGACCATCAATAAAATTCAACATCCCTTCATGTTAAAAACTCTCAATAAACCATGTATTGAAGGAACATACCTCAAAATAATAGGAGCTATTTATGACAAACCCATATTCAATATCATACTGAATGGGCAAAAGCTGTAAGCTTTCCTCTTGAATACAAGCCCAAGACCATGATGTCCTCTCTCACCACTCCTATTCCACATAGTATTGGAAGTTCTGGCCAGGGCAATCAGGCAAGAGAAAGAAAAAAGTGTATTCAAGTAGGAAGACAGGAAGACAAATTATCTTTGTTTGCAGGTGACCTGATCCTATATCTAGAAAATCCCATCATCTAAGCCCAAAATCTTCTTAAGCTGATAAGCAACTTCAGCAAAATCTCAGCATAAAAAAAAAAATCAATGTGCAAAAATCACTAACATTGCTGTACACCAACAGGCACACAGAGAGCCAAATCATGAATGAACTCCCATTCACAATTGCCACAAAAAGAATAAAATATCTAGGAATACAGCTAACAAGGGATGTGAAGGACCTCTTCAAGGAGAACTACAAACTACTGCTCAAGGAAATCAGAAACGACACAAACAAATGAAAAAATATTCCATGCTCATAGATACGAAGAATAAATATTGTGAAAATGGCCACACTGCCCAAAGTAATTCAATGCTATTCCCATTAAAATACCATTAACAGTCTTCACAAAATTAGAAAAAACTATTTTAAAATTTATATGAAACAAAAAAAAGGGCCAGTATATCCAAGACAATCCTAAGCAAAAGGAACAAAGCTGGAGACATCATACTACCCACCTTCAAACTATACTACACGTCTACAGTAACCAAAACAGCATGGTACTGGTACAAAAACAGACACATAGATCAGTGGAACAGAATAGAGAACTCAAAAGTAAGACCACACACCTAGAACCATCTGATCTTTCACAAACCTGACAAAAACAAGCAATGAGGAATGGATTCCCTATTTAATAAATGGTGCTGGGAGAACTGGCTACCCATATGCAGAAAATTGAAACTGGACCCCTTCCTTACATCATATACAAAAATTAACTCAAGATGGATTAAAGACTTAAATGTAAAACCCAAAACTATAAAAACCCTAGAAGAAAATCTAGACAATACTATTCAGGACATAGGCACAGGCAAAGATTTCATGACAAAAACACTGAAAGCAATTGCAACAAAAGCAAAAAAATTGCAAATAGGATCTTATATTTTTTCTTATGAATCATTCATTGACTTCAAAAGAGAGGAATGCACGCCAAAAAAATTTAAAAACTGGGCAAAACTGTAAATGATACACAACAATATGAAAGTTACCTTTCCCTTAACTTTAAACATACTAATAATTTACCTTGCTACGTATTATGTAGTATCATGCAACAGAATATTTTCAAATAATATTACACCAGTTATGCTTCAGTGTCATTTTGAGACTATCAACAGTTTAAAATAAAAGAAATTTAGAACCATTTAAAGGCCAATATATTAAGTGCTGACAAAGATATGGAGCAACAAGGATTCTCATTCATTCCTGATAGGAATGCAAACTGGTTTGACCACACTGGAAAACCATTTGACAGTTTCTTAGAGAGGTACACAAACCGTTATCATACAACTTACAATTTCATTACTAAACAGTTACCCAAATGAATTGAAAATTTATATTGACACAAAAACCTCTACATAAATATTTGTAGCAGTTTTTTCATAATTGTCCCAAACTGGAAATAACCAAGATGTCCTTTAATAAGTGACTAAGTAAAAACCCTGTGATACATCCATGCAATGGAATTCACTACTCAGCAATAAAACAGAATGAACTATGAATTCATGCAACAACATGGATAAATTTTAAATACATCTTTCAAATAGAAGAAACCATAACCAAACCTTATGTATTATACAATCCCATATATGTAACATTTTGGGAAAGGCACAAAAACTATAGGAACGTGAAACAAATTAGTGATTGTCATGGCTTGTGGGAAGATTCCTACTATAAAAACACTGTATGCGGGAAGTTTTAGGGTGATAGAATTGTTCTGCATGTTACTGTGGTGATGGATACATTTCTTTATGCATCTGTCAAGACCCAAAGAACTGTATACCACACAGAGTAAATGTTACTATATGCCAACTTTTAACAATTAACTAGATTTTGGGGATCCAAACCCATTTGTTTCTAGTTTTGAAAGCAGACTATGAAAAAATGAATCTAACTGTATTACAAATGTATTGTGTAAAATCTCACTGAAGAGGGTGAGGGAAAATAGTCTGATCTATGTAACTTTGGGAAACAGTGTATTAACTGGGTATTTTAAGGCTAAAGTTTTTTTTTTTAATTAGAAAACTGGCACAAGACAGGGATGCCCTCTCTCAACACTCCTATTCAACATAGTGTTGGAAGTTCTGGACAGGGCAATCAGGCAGGAGAAGGAAATAAAGGGTATTCAATTAGGAAAAGAGGAAGTCAAATTGTCTCTGTTTGCAGATGACATGATTATATATCTAGAAAACCCCATCGTCTCAGCCCAAAATCTCCTTAAGCTGATAGGCAACTTCAGCAAAGTCTCAGGATACAAAACCAATGTGCAAAAATCACAAGCATTCTTATACACCAATAATAGACAAACAGAGAGCCAAATCATGAGTGAACTCCCATTCACAATTGCTTCAAAGAGAATAAAATACCTAGGAATCCAACTTATAAGGGATGTGAAGGAAATCTTCAAGGAGAACTACAAACCACTGCTCAAGGAAATAAAAGAGGATACAAACAAATGGAAGAACATTCCATGCTCATGGATAGGAAGAATCAATATTGTGAAAATGGCCATACTGCCCAAGGTAATTTACAGATTCAATGCCATCCCCATCAAGCTACCAATGACTTTCTTCACAGAATTGGGAAAAAACTACTTTAAAGTTCATATGGAACCAAAAAAGAGCCCGCATTGCCAAGTCAATCCTAAGCCAAAAGAACAAAGCTGGAGGCATCATGCTACCTGACTTCAAACTATACTATAAGCCTACAGTAAACAAAACAGCATGGTACTGGTACCAAAACAGAGATATAGACCAATGGAACAGAACAGAGCCCTCAGAAATAATGTTGCATATCTACAACTATCTGATCTTTGACAAACCTGACAAAAACAAGAAATGTAGAAAGGATTCCCTATTTAATCAATGGTGCTGGGAAAACTGGCTAGCCATATGTAGAAAGCTGAAACTGGATCCCTTCCTTACACCTTATACAAAAATTAATTCAAGATGGATCGAAGACTTAAATGTTAGACCTAAAACCATAAAAACCCTAGAAGAAAACCTAGGCAATGCCATTCAGGACATAGGCATGGGCAAGGACTTCATGTCTAAAACACCAAAAGCAATGGCAACCAAAGCCAAAATTGACAAATGGGATCTCATTAAACTAAAGAGCTTCTGCACAGCAAAAGAAACTACCATCAGAGTGAAGAGGCAACCTACAGAATGGGAGAAAATTTTTGCTATCTACTCATCTGACAAGGGGCTAATATCCAGAATCTACAATGAACCCAAACAAATTTACAAGAAAAAAACCAACAACCCCATCAAAACGTGGGCGAAGGATATGAACAGACACTTCACAAAAGAAGACATTTATGCAGCCAAAAAACACATGAAAAAATGCTCATCATCACTGGCCATCAGAGAAATGCAAATCAAAACCACAATGAGATATCATCTCACACCAGTTAGAATGGCAATCTTTAAAAAGTCAGGAAACTACAGGTGCTGGAGAGGATGTGGAGAAATAGGAACAATTTTACACTGTTGGTGGGACTGTAAACTAGTTCAACCATTGTGGAAGTCAGTGTGGCGATTCCTCAGGGATCTAGAACTAGAAATACCATTTGACCCAGCAATCCCATTACTGGGTATATACCCAAAGGATTACAAATCATGCTGCAATAAAGACACATGCACACATATGTTTATTGTGGCACTATTCACAATAGCAAAGACTTGGAACCAACCTAAATGTCCAACAATGATAGAGTGGATTAAGTAAATGTGGCACATATACACATGGAATACAATGCAGCCATAAATAGATGAGTTCATGTCCTTTGCAGGGACATGGATGAAGCTGGAAACCATCATTCTCAGCAAACTAATGCAAGGACGAAAAACCAAACACCACATGTTCTCACTCATAGGTGGGAATTGAACAATGAAAACACATGGACACCGGAAGGGGAACATCACACACCGGGGCCTGTTGTGGAGTGGGGGGAGAAGGGAGGGATAGCATTAGGAGATATACCTAATGTTAAATGACAAGTTAATGGGTGCTGCACACCAACATGGCACATGTATACATATATAACAAACCTGCACATTGTGCACATGTACCCTAAAACTTAAAGTATAATAAAAAAAAATAAAGAAAAACAACCACCGCAACCAACACCAATCAAGCCAGAAATCTATATCCGGTGAAATATTCTTTGAGAATAAAAGTGTAATAAAGATAAAAAATAAAATAAAATAAAATTAGACACAAATACTGTACCCAATGGCAAATTTGATTCTCACAAGAGTATAGTTTAGTTATTCAGAAACCATTTTAGATGTATACTGGGGTATGCATATAAATAAATCAATGACTCATTAGTTAAATGAATTGTAGATAATGGGAGTCAGAGTTCCTACTGTCAGAAAAAGAAATTACAATAAATAATACAGAAGGCTAGAATAAACTCTGTGGTGCTGAATTTGAGCTGGATATACCAGTATATACTCAAACATTTTAATAAATAGACAAACAAATATAGATATATCTATATAGGCACAGGCAAAGTTTTTTTGGATTTTTTACATACAAATATTTCCTGACTAAATCGGCCTATCAGACAGGATAGAGGCTTTAGAGTCAGTGACACTCCCATAGCAGTGAGCATGCTCTGTGCCCAGATAGTCTTTCCCAAATACCATGCTTTAATGAAGTGAACCGGGTACCCTCAGAGAAATGGTTAATGATAGGGATGAGGGCAGGGAAAATTCAGGATGAGCTTGGAGGAACTGTCATTCCAGAAAAGATACAGGAGCCAACCTAAAAGAGCTCCCAATTGCCAAAGATGAAACACTTTGAGCAACAAAATAATGACAGTATTAAATTATATTCCAAAGATTGAAATAATCATTCATGAACCCATGCTGATATATATAAATAATTACATAAATAAATAAATAAGCAAACAACTGGGGAAATGGAGAACTCTTCTTTACAAACCAATTTCAAATAATAAATGTGGAGAAATGAAGGAACCATTAGAACATCACAATAATTGCTGCAAGCAAAATCCTCTGACAGATGCTAAGATTAGTGGAAGAAACTTTTAGGAAAAATGAGTATTTACATATCTCTCCAAAAGTACTGTTTAACTATTGTATTGGTACTTCTCTGAAATATTTATTAATTATTATGGTGATATTAGCCTACACTCGCAAACTTTTTATACTCCTCCTTCCAGAAGGTGAAGCTTAATCATTCCCAAACCCCTTGAATATGGGCTGAGTCTAGTTACTTAATTCTAGGAAATAGATTATATGACAGGAAAAATATTAACTTTAACCAAGTGATCAAGATCAACATCACCAGTAAGAAGTTGTTGAACAAATGTATTACTGATTTGATATGAGGAGAGCACTTCGCTGCTGTGTTATTCTTCCCCAAAATGTATAATCAATCTCAGTCTGGTCATGAAAAAAAAAAAAATCAGACCAACCTAAACTGAGGAACATTATACAAAATACCTGGTCAATACTCTTCAAAAGTGTCAAGGTCATAATAAAGAAGGAAAGCTGATAAACTGTCAGACTGGAGGAAACCAAGAAGACATAACTGGTGCCACCTTGGATTAGCTCCTAGAACAAACAAAAGACATGAATGAAAACCAGTGAAATTATAAATGAAGTCTGTAGTTCAGTTAATAGTATTGTATCTATATTAATTTCTTGATTTTGATAAACGTACCATGGTAACATAAAATGTTAACATTAACAAAAACTGGCTGAAGGGTATATGAGAACACTCTATGCTATCTTTCTAAGTCTTCTATACATATAAAATTATTCAAAATAAAAAGTTTAAAAAATGATTGGACTTATTTAATTGGTAATAATAAATGGCAAGGTAGTAACAATAAGTGTAAAAAATACTGATTAATAAATATGCATAGAATATGAAAATTAATTCTTTTCATTTTCAAATAGAAAGTGACGGGCCAAAATCCAGGTAAATAAATTGATTTATCTGACTTACTTATATAAATTAGAATTGAAATTCTCTGCACATTTTTATTAAGACTAAAAGCCTGAAAATAATCCTGTCCTTGGTTTCCGTTAGAAGCTTATTCATACAGTTGGGCTTAGGAAGCTACTAATTTCTTCAAAAATCCTCTTAACTCTGATTTTATACTTCTAATTAAAGCGCATTATAAACAGACAAAAACGTTGTTTGTCATGGCAAAGAATCACATAACCATCAAAATCTTTGTGTCAGTGTCAACATTTCACAAAATTGGAAGAGACTGATAGTGTTGAAAAATGTTTATATTGAAGTTTTTCACATAGCTTTAAGGTTATATTTGTAATAAATTTGGATGCCTGGATTAATACTTTGCACCTTTCATTACAAAACAGTGATGTTAGTGAATGATGTTATAGCAACACCAGCAGTTTCACTGCTTTTCATTTCAAACAAAAATTTTGTCTTATTTTAAAGTATTTGTTATTAAATTATAGCATTAGCTAATATTTACTGAGCACCTGGGTCCAAATACTGCAATATTTGCTTCATCTGCATTTTTCTCTCTAAGTTTTACAAATATACTATGATAATGGTATTATTACTACATCATTTTACAGAGGAGGGAAATGAGATTCAGTAAGGCCAAACAATGCAAGCAAACCATGCAGTCAGTTAATTGAACAAAAAGCCAGAATTTGAACCTAAGTAGAGTAACTACAAAACTCACATTTTTCATTATTATGCTTTTTTACCTTACAAAAATATATCTCATGTCCTTTGACAATTTCCTGGATATAATTTTTTTTTTTTTTTTTTTTTTTTTTTTTTTTTTTTTTTTTTGAGACGGAGTCTCACTCTGTCGCCGAGGCTGGAGTGCAGTGGTGCAATCTCGGCTCACTGCAAGCTCTGCCTTCTGAATTCACGCCATTCTCTGGCCTCAGCCTCCAGAGTAGCTGGGACTACAGGTGCCCACCACCAAGCCTGGCTAGTTTTTTTGTATTTTTAGCAGACACAGGGTTTCACCATGTTAGCCAGGATGGTCTCGATCTCCTGACCTCGTGATCTGCCCGCCTCGGCCTCCCAAAGTGCTGGGATTACAGGCGTGAGCCACCGCGCCTGGCCTTCTTGGATATAATTTTTATATGTAATTATACGCAAATATAAAATTTTCTCTGTCCAAATAAAGAGGTACTTTGCTCACCACTAAAGTTTATGCAACATGTAAAATATTCAGTGTGATGCTACAGAAAAGGAATGGCAACTTTTCACAACTCCTCTGTACGTTGACAATGCAAGAGCCACTGAAAAAGTACACCAATCTCATGGTTTAAGGTCAATTCACTTCCCAGGGGATCCCCACAGGATAGCTATTTGCCTAGCAACCATGTTTAGAGCAGCCAAATGCTTATATCGCCAAACCTCGGTATTTTAAAGTGACTTTAGAGATTCTAGAGCAATCCATGATTCAAAGAATCTGCTCCACTTTAAAATTTCCCATTCCATATTTACTGCATGAAATTACACCAAGTGCTTAGGTTGCTGAGTGTTTTAGAAAGTTTACCCCATACCCTAACTTCTGCCTGGAAGAACCTTACTCAGAATTATCCAGATATACTGAAGTGGTGACACAGCCAACAAATCTGAAATCTGTATAGACTAAAGATCTATAAGTACTTAGTTCTTTTTGAATCTGAAGTATCTGTAGGTTTACACCCTTTTGCATTACAAAACAGTAATAGGGTTCTTGAAAAGCACATTCATATATATTATTTCATTTGATCCTCACAAGTTCCCTGTGAAATAGTTTAGACAGCTAATACAATTCCTCTATTACAAATTAAAAAGTGAGAGAGAGAGATTCAAAAACGGTAGGTTATTTGCTCAATACTTCACAATTGTTAGTTAATGGTTCATGATGCCTTCATCTAGTTTTTTAAATCTGTATCAGGTATGGGCAACATCTATTACAATTTCTGTCTTTTACTTTCTTTTACTTTAACCAAATTTGTTATTCATTATCTTGTATGACTATTGAAACTCACATCCTACTCAGAAACTCCTAATGAATTATCTAAACAAGTTTGTTTAGAATCCAGAAAAATCTTGAGAGATAAGTGTTAAAAGTTAAACAATAGGAGTAGATACATTTAGCAAATGCTAACCAAATAAAGCGAGGATGAGTATCCTTATAGTTATTTAGTTGAAAGAATAGAAGCTGCTTAAGACGCTCAAGGGAATTGATAGGAAATAAACTGAGGAGAAAGAACAGCTGAGTATCTAAAAAGACTGGAACCAACAACCAAAATATTTTTAGCACCAGGCAAACACTGCCCTCTACGCTCTCTGGATTGTATGGTCTTTGGTCCCTGCTTCTCTCTGCATGTCTACTCCAAACTTCATTCTCTCTGAACACCATATTTTCTTGCTTCACCCACTCAAAATTCAAACATAGTCACTTAAGCTCCAGCGTTGCAATACCTTTCTGTTCAAAGTACCTAGCAAATAACAAATCAGTCTATCTCTCAGCTAAAACTCTTAGTAGCACTAGTGTTTAATCAGTTCTGACCTTGGGAAGGAGTCATAGGGTCCAAGGAGGGCACTGAGAATAGAATAAGGGGTGAGTGTGAGGTTAATGTTAGTTTCTTCCAGAGTGAGTTGTGCAAGAAATGATAAAAATGAGTTTGTAATGTTAACATCGTAATTTTAATTTAATTTTAATGTTTAAAAAGTATCAGTGTAGACTCAGTCAATTGTTGGGTTAATTCAAAATTCTAGTCCATAATGTGGGTGTAAAAGTTGATACTAGTATTAACTTTGTGCATCAAATGAAAGGGCATCACATACATAAGCAAAGTCTTTCAGGAAAAAAAAAAGAAACTGATAGCAACAATCAGAGTACAAATTGTTCCCAAATCTCTATCTATCTATGACCTGTGAAATGGCCAATTAACAAGACATAGATTAGTTTAAATAATGAGACTGATTTAAATAAATTCATATACACACAAAAATATATACCCTTCGAATATAAAACATATCATCTTCTCAGTTATAAATATTCATAACAATCATAAAAATACCACAAATAAAATTTCAATAATTTGTCATAATTAGAACATTTATGATCATCTTATCTCATATCACCCTGTGGTTAAATTAATTAATTTCAAAATTGTAAGTTAACAACAAAAGTATTAGCAACAATATGCACTACTTGCAAGCAACGGGGCCAAAGTGCTTCTATTAAAAAAGAAAAACACTACATATAATAGGTTACAAATTAACAAAATCATAGTTCAAGAATGGTGCTTTTTTCTGCTTATTGTAAATATTTTTCATCTAAGAGAACAAATCATTGTTTATACATATTTTAACCTTGTTTTGAGATTATCAGAGAAGTCAATACTGGCTAAATTCATACTAGCAATGACTGTCATGTTCAGCATATAATACGTATTTAATATTCCTATTGTGATTGACTTAATTGATCACAAAAATGAGTAAACCTCTTTTCTAAGTAAGTTGTAACAGCTTGGATTTTCACCCAAGCATGTTAGGCATGTGCTTTAGGCATCTTCTACACATCATATACACTTTAGGTATCTTACATGCTTTAGGGCCATGTAAGGGACATCATCATTTAAATTTTCCATAGCCAGATATGTAAGAGACAACTTTAGTTAGGTGAGCCTACAAGTGGGCAGTCCACTGTCTGCTTAGGAACAGATACTGAGTCAGGCAACTGTAAACACATAATAAAGATGATCTTCTCACAATGCAGGTACAACTCACGCTGGCCAGCTGCCTTGGGGCTAATGTAGACCTCCCAGGAAACCTAGTGGTATAGAAATCCGTGGATCTCATATGTTTGTGAGGGGCATTATCAGATGAACAACCCACAACCCACATTTTTACCTTCAATGAAAAGGAAAATAATGGATTTCATGTTGACTGTCTCAAGACTATGTTTCCAGGGAGTATTTGTTCTTGAACTTGTTTTTCTCTAAATGCTAATTTTCAGCTCATTTTATTAAAGATTGGCATGTTCATATATGGCATGATATGAATAATTTAATAGGATAGGAAGTAAATCAAGGTGTAACACATTAGCCAAGACTATCACAAACTACATTGACAAAGTACAACAACAGAGGTCTGTCAAGAGCGTTTTCTCCATATTTTTAAGTCAGGGGTTGTGGTTACTGTGAACTGCTGTGGGCAGCACAGTATGCTCGACACCAGGTAGGTTAAAGACATTTTATATGTGTACTGTTCAACAGACTCAAGAAACTACATAAAGGATTACAATGTTAGTTCTGCTATGCACACCATCACTATATTCAATTACTGTAATATTGATAATTATAATTGGATGCTAATTTGCATAAAGAATTTAAGTAAGCTAGATGCAAAAGTTTACAAATGCTGATATTTTGAGGAATTATAAGTAGTTGCTAAAATGTTTTCATTTACTCTAATATTTTAAGTACCTCAAAATAAAAACCAGGTTTCATGCTCTTGCTACAGTACAAATTCATGGCAGGATTTTCAATTAGGTATGCTGCTAGATTATTTTTCCCATTAGATTGTAACTCTTAGTTTAAAAAAAATTAAATGAATGAATAAATGACTATAATAATCAAAGGCCAATCAGCCAATTTCTTTTTTTTTATTATTATACTTTAAGATTTAGGGTACATGTGCACACCATGCAGGTATGTTACATATGTATACATGTGCCATGTTGGTGTGCTGCACCCAGTAACTCATCATTTAACGTTAGGTATATCTCCTAATGCTATCCCTCCCGCCTCCCCCCACCCCACAACAGGCCCCAGTGTGTGATGTTCCCCTTCCTGCGTCCATGTGTTCTCATTGTTCAGTTCCCACCTATGAGTGAGAACATGCGGTGTTTGGTTTTTTGTCCTTGCGATAGTTTGCTGAGAATAATGGTTTCCAGTTCATCCATGTCCCTACAAAGGACATGAACGCATCATTTTTTATGGCTGCTTAGTATTCCATGGTGTATATGTGCCACATTTTCTTAATCCAGTCTATCGTTGATGGACATTTGGGTTGGTTCCAAGTCTTTGCTATTGTGAATAGTGCCACAATAAACATATGTGTGCATGTGTCTTTATTGCAGCATGTTTTATAATCCTTTGGGTATATACCCAGTAATGGGACGGCTGGGTCAAATGGTATTTCTAGTTCTAGATCCCTGAGGAATCGCCACACTGACTTCCACAATGGTCGAACTAGTTTACAGTCCCACCAACAGTGTAAAAGTGTTCCTATTTCTCCACATCCTCTCCAGCACCTGTTGTTTCCTGACTTTTTAATGATCACCATTCTAACTGGTGTGAGATTGTATCTCATTGTGGTTTTGATTTGCATTTCTCTGATGGCCAGTGATGATGAGCATTTTTTCATGTGTCTTTTGGCTGCATAAATGTCTTCTTTTGAGAAGTGTCTGTTCATATCCTTCGCCAACTTTTTGATGGGGTTATTTTTTTCTTGTAAATTTGTTTGGGTTCATTGTAGATTCTGAATATTAGCCCTTTGTCAGATGAGTAGATAGCAAAAATTTTCTCCCATTCTGTAGGTTGCCTGTTCACTCTGATGGTAGTTTCTTGCTGTGCAGAAGCTCTTTAGTTTAATTAGATACCATTTGTCAATTTTGGCTTTTGTTACCATTGCTTTTGGTGTCTTAGACATGAACTCCTTGCCCATGCCTATGTCCTGAATAGTAATGCCTAGTTTTCTTCTAGGGTTTTGATGGTTTTAGGTCTAACATTTAAGTCTTTACTCCATCTTGAATTAATTTTTGTATAAAGTGTAAGGAAGGGATCCAGTTTCAGCTTTCTACATATGGCTAGCCAGTTTTCCCAGCACTATTAATTAAATAGGGAATCCTTTCCCCATTTCTTGTTTTTGTCAGGTTTGTCAAAGTTCAGATAGTTGTAGATATGTGACATTATTTCTGAGGGCTCTATTCTGTTTCATTCATCTATATCTCTGTTTTGGTACCAGTACCATGCTGTTTTGGTTACTGTAGCCTTGTAGTATAGTTTGAAGTCAGGTAGCGTGATGCCTTCAGCTTTGTTCTTTTGGCTTGGGACTGACTTGGTGATGCAGGCTCTTTTTTGGTTCCATATGAACTTTAAAGTAGTTTTTTCCCAATTCTGTGAAGAAAGTAATTGGTAGCTTGATGGGGATGGCATTGAATCTGTAAACTACCTTGGGCAGTATGGCCATTTTCACAATATTGATTCTTCCTATCCATGAGCATGGAATGTTCTTCCATTTGTTTGTATCCTCTTTTATTTCCTTGAGCAGTGGTTTATAGTTCTCCTTGAAGAGTTCCTTCACATCCCTTATAAGTTGGATTCCTAGGTATTTTATTCTCTTTGAAGCAATTGTGAATGGGAGTTCACTCATGATTTGGCTCTCTGTTTGTCTATTATTGGTGTATAAGAATGCTTGTGATTTTTGCACATTGGTTTTGTATCCTGAGACTTTGCTGAAGTTGCCTATCAGCTTAAGGAGATTTTGGGCTGAGACGATGGGGTTTTCTAGATATACAATCATGTCATCTGCAAACAGAGACAATTTGACTTCCTCTTTTCCTAATTGAATACCCTTTATTTCCTTCTCCTTCCTGATTGCCCTGTCCAGAACTTCCAACACTATGTGGAATAGGAGTGGTGAGAGAAGGCATCCCTGTCTTGTGCCAGTTTTCAAAAGGAATGCTTCCAGTTTTTGCCCATTCAGTATGATACTGGCTGTGGGTTTGTCATAGATAGCTCTTATTATTTTGAGATATGTCCCATCAATACCTAATTTATTGAGTTTTTAGCATGAAGCGTTGTTGAATTTTGTCAAAGGCCTTTTCTGCATCTATTGAGATAATCAGGTGGTTTTTGTCGTTGGTTCTGTTTATATGCTGGATTACATTTATTGATTTGCGTATGTTGAACCAGCCTTGCATTGCAAGGATGAAGCCCACTTGATCATGGTGGATAAGCTTCTTGATATGCTGCTGGATTCGGTTTGCCAGCATTTTATTGAGGATTTTTGCATCGATGGTCATCAGGGATATTGGTCTAAAATTCTCTTTTTTTGCTGTGTCTCTGCCAGGCTTTGGTATCAGGATGATGCTGGCCTCATAAAATGAGTTAGGGAGGATTCCCTCTTTTTCTATTAATTGGAATAGTTTCAGAAGGAATGGTACCAGCTCCTCATTGTACCTCTGGTAGAATTTGGCTGTAAATCCATCTGGTCCTGGACTTTTTTTGGTTGGTAAGCTCCCACACAATAATAATGGGAGACTTTAACACCCCACTGTCAACATTAGACAGATCAACAAGACAGAAAGTTAACAAGGATATCCAGGAATTGAACTCAGCTCTGCACCAAGTGGACCTAATAGCCATCTACAGAACTCTCCACCCCAAATCAACAGAATATACATTCTTCTCAGCGCCACACCACACCTTTTCCAAAATTGACCACATAGTTGGAAGTAAAGCACTCCTCAGCAAATGTAAAAGAACAGAAATTATAACAAACTGTCTCTCAGACCACAGTGCAATCAAACTAGAACTCAGGATTAAGAAACTCAATCAAAACCGCTCAACTACCTGGAAACTGAATAACCTGCTCCTGAATGCCTACTGGGTACATAACGAAATGAAGGCAGAAATAAAGATGTTCTTTGAAACCAACGAGAACAAAGACACAACATACCAGAATCTCTGGGACACATTCAAAGCAGTGTGTAGAGGGAAATTTATGGCACTAAATGCCCCCAAGGGGAAGCAGGAAAGATCTAAAATTGACACCCTAACATCACAGTTAAAAGAACTAGAGAAGCAAAAGCAAACACATTCAAAAGCTAGCAGAAGGCAAGAAATAACTAAGATCAGAGCAGAACTGAAGGAAATAGAGACACACAAAAAAAACCTTCAAAAAATCAATGAATCCAGGAGCTGGTTTTTTGAAAAGAGCAACAAAATTGACAGACTGCTAGCAAGACTAATAAAGAAGAAAAGAGAGAAGAATCAAATAGATGCAATAAAAAATGATAAAGGGGATATCACCACTGATCCCACAGAAATACAAACTACCATCAGAGAATACTATAAATACCTCTACGCAAATAAACTAGAAAATCTAGAAGAAATGGATAAATTCCTCGACACATACACCCTCCCAAGACTAACCCAGGAAGAAGTTGAATCTCCGAGTAGACCAATAAGAGGCTCTGAAATTGAGGCAATAATTAATAGCTTACCAACCAATCAGCCAATTTCTTTGTGTCTGCACCTCAGTTTCTTAACTGTAGTGAACAAAATCTCAGGTTATATATAAACAAGAAACTAGAATAATGTTGTCCAAATGGTGCAGCAATCCATGCAAGACAAATGTTTGATTTCCAAAGAACTTTTTTTTTCCACTAAAGTTTCCTCACCAGCCCTCTCACAACCAGACTGGTTCTACAGAATTGCTGCATAACACATTACATCAAATAAGTGAAAAAATTTTATATGACACACACAAAATCCCATAAAAGTATGAATTTACTATGATTTTATTAAAATATTACTGAAATTAGTACATTTTCTATGTTCTAACTAGAATATAACTGGAAAATATAAATTCAGACAATGCATATTGTCATATATGTACATATATTCATGCATATGTATGTATTATGTATGTCTATACATACATGAACACACAATATTAATTTAAAATGGATGACTCATATTTCTCACTTTTTGACCCAATACATAAATCTAAATATTGTAGTATTCAAATCAAGTGCTATTAGTCACCTCAGTAAGAGGTGAAATAATGATCCTAGAATGAACTAAAAAAAAAAAAAAAAAAATGAACTAAAAAACATCTAAGACTTGGACTAAAAATTTGTCCCCTTTGGAGAAGTATAAATTTCATAGAGCTGTTAATACAGATTATCAGTATCTTCAAAAGGAATCTAAAATGATGGAACACAGTTTAAGTTAATATTTTAATGGTTAGAAAAGCAGAAAAATTCAGGACCTCAGTTTTCCTTGATAAAGACAAGTATATGTGGAGAACTAAGGTAGGATCTTGAACAACTCAGGAAGAGATCAGCCAAAAGAAAAGGTCAATGGCCAATAAAGGTGCAAGGAAAGATAAATGTTACATAAAAATTATATTAAATGAAACAGTAGGAAAAATTTTAACCTCACTCTTTTTTTCCCAAGAGTAACATTCTTTGCTAAGAGCAAAACTATTGCTCAAATAGAAATTTGGCAACTTTGGACAACCAAGACAAAAGATTGTCATTAACAGTAGTATATGGATCTGCCTATCAATTCATCTGCATGCTCATGCAATGAAAAAGTATATGGATTATTTGGATACCAGAGTAAACCCACCTGAAAGAATAGGGTTAATTTTAGAAAGTTGACAACTAAAAGCCATAACAAAACATAAGGATTGAGCATTTTGAAGGAAAATTATGACCATCAAATTATGAGCATCAAAAAAAAGTATGAATCTGAATTTGCTAAATTAAAAAATAATAAAAGGCAATGGTGCACATAATATAATTTGGATGTGTGTCCTCTCTGAACCTCATATTGAAATGTAATTCCCAATATCAAAGGTGAGACCTCATAAGAGATATTTGGACCATGGGTGCAGCTCCTTCATGAATGGCTTGATGTCATCTCCATGGTAAGTTCTCATTCTGGCAGTTGACAAGAGCTGGTTGTTTAAAGAGTGTGGCACCTCCCCGCTTTCTCTTGTTTTTTTTTTTTTTTTTTTGCCATGTGATATGCCTTGTCCCCCATACCAGCTGCCATGACTGTAAGCTTCCTGAGGCCCTCACCAGAAGCAAATGCTGGCACCACATTTCCAATATGGCCTGCAGAAACTTGAGCCAAAATAAACCTCTTTTCTTTATAAATTACCCAGTCTTAGGTATTCCTTCTTAACAATGCAAATGGACTGATATACCCTGACATGATAAACATTTCTGAAGTTCCTTAAACTTGAAATTATACATAAAAAATTAAATAGTTTTGGAATTTTCTATCAATGATTTTACCTTTTTTGTAATCCTGAGTTTGAAATCATACATTATATTTTCCATAATAGATGGATTTTTTAAGAAGGTGACAAATTATAGGACATTCACTTACCTAAAGTCTTCTTTAGTTCCTATTAAGCAGACTTTCAAGGAGAAAAGAATCTAAACACATCTTTAGATTAGAATTTTATCTTAGCTGAGTTGAATGCCTGGAGTCGCTGATAAAATCAAATAATGAAATAAATGCCAGGGTTATCTATTTTTTCTCTCTGAAATACTTTGTAGAAAGTAAAGAGTGTCTTGAGTCTAAACTAAGACAGTTTACGGCTGTCTTGATAATTTTTTTGCTCTTTATAATCATTTAATATTCTACCTGCATTAAAAATTAATTCAGAATTAATCAGATTTTCAAGTAATTACCTCCCAGAGCACAATGGCTAGTAATTTAATTTCTGGATACAAGCTTTGGACTGATGTAAAATTTATATTTTAATAGAGTGTAAATAGAATTCCACTGTCTCAGAAGAAATTACTCCTTCTGTGTAATGGTCTAGCCACCTTTTTGGAAAAGATAGTAAGCAGCAGCACACATTTCTCACCTTTGAAATTCAACATTTAACCTAATTAACTACCTAATCTATTGTATGGCATAAATGTGCCTTCGATTATGGTTAATAGGTCTTTTTTGTGTTTGCTTTCTTATATTTTCAACACAGTTAGCCTTCATGCCACAGCTCTGAATGTGCAATCACTAAACAAAGGATGGTTCTGCACTGAGTGCTGACGAAGAAATTTGAAGCATGAAAAATATGTAGAAAATAGACCTGGTGTAATTAGTGTTAGTCATTAATACATACTTTACTGCTTTATAATTTGCACAACTCAAGTAAATTATTATACACTTCTTTTTCAGGAACATACCTGTTTCTCTAAGAATTATATAGTTATTTTAGAAATTCAAGGACCAAAATTACAAGTAATGAAATTTGAAAATTGTAGTTACCTTATAAAATAACTTTCCATAGAAAATAGAAGAATATTTTGTAACAGTGAATTGAGAAGACATGAGAGCAATTAAAAATATAAATCACAGAAATAGAAAGCAAACATACAAAAGTGAACTTTAATAAAACCAAAAGATGATTTTTCAAAAGTTAATGAATTGATAAGTTCCTAAAAAGATTGCTGAAAAACAGCAAAAACTCAAATTATCAATCATAAAAAGTAAAAATGGGGAATAATCACAGATCCATTAGACATTTAAAAATAATCAGATATTATCCCATTAATTTTGACAGTTTACAGAATATAGAAAATTCTTAGAACCACAACTTGTCAAAATATGGTACTGGCATAAGGATAAACAGACCAATAGAATAGAATAGCCCATAAATAAATTCTGACTTAAAGGGACAAATGATTTTTCACAAGTGTGTAAAGACTACTTAACAGGGAAGAAACTATCTTTTCAACAAATGAAGTTAGGAAAACTGGATATCCATGCAAAAGAATGAAATTGAGCCCTCATACCATATACAAAAATTAAAACAAATCAGAGGTCTACACATAAGGGCTAAAACTGCAAAACTCTTAGAAGAAAACATAAAGGAAAAACTTCATAAGATTGGAATTGGCAATGATTTATTGGCTAAAACACCGAAGACACAGGCAACAACAGAAAAAGTAGACAAATTGAACTGCATCAAAATTAAAAACTTGTGCATCAAATGACATTATCAACAGAATAAGAAGGCAACCCGCAAAATGAGAGAAAATATTTACAAATCACATATCTGATAAGGAAGTAATATTCAAAATATTAAAGAATTCCTATAGCTCAGCAACAACAAACCCTGACTTTAAAGTGGGCAAACGACTTGAATAGACATTTCTCCAGAGAAGATATGCAAATGCCAATGAGGACATAAAAGGATGCTTCACATCACTAGTCATTAAGGAAATGTAAAATAAGGTACCACTTAAATGCACAGTCAAAACCACAGTAAGATACCGCCTCACATCCATTATCATGTCTATTTAAAAAGAAAGAAAAAGAGAGAGAGAAAAAAACAAGCAAAGCAAGACCAACAGGAAGGAAGGGAGGGAAGGAAGGAAGGAAGGAAGGAAGGAGAAAGAAAGAAAGAGGAAGGAAGGAGGGAAGGAAGGAAGGAGAAAAAAGAAAGAGAGAGAGAAATAGGAAGGAGGGAAGGAAGGAAGGAGGGAAGGAAGGAAGGAGATAGAGAAAGAAAGAAAGAGAGAGAGAAAGAAAGAAAAGAAAGAAAGAGAAAGAAAGAAGAAAAGAAAGAAAATTAAGTGTTGTTGAGGATGTGGAGAAATTGTAACTCTTATACACTGTTGATGGGAATGTAAAATGGTGCAGCCACTACGGAAAAAAGTATGGCAACTCCTAAAAAGAACTAAAATTACAATTACCGTGTGATTAAGTAATTCTACTTCTGAGTATATACCAAAAGAATTGAAAGCAGGGACTTGAACAGATATTTGTGCACCTATACTCAAAGCAGCATTATTTGTAGTTGCCAAATTTGAAAGAATTCCAACCTATATGTTCATTGACAGGTAAGAGGAGGAACAAAACATATATATATATACACAACAAAATATTATTCACCTTTAAAAAGGAAGAAAATTCAGATATGTAACATGAATGAATCTGAAGTCATAATGCTAAGTGAAATAAGCCAGTCCCTAAAGGACAAATACAGTTTGATTCCACGTAAGTTTACGCAAGGTACGCTTACAGTAGTCGAATTGATAGAGACAGAAAGTAGACTGGTGGCTGTTAGAGTGTGGGACAGCAGAAAAGGAGAGTTATTGTTTAATAGATACAAAGTTTCAGTTTTGCAAAATGAAAAGCGTTCTGTGGATGTGTGATGTTGATGGTTGCATGACAATGTGAATGTACTTAATGCCACTGAACTGTACGTTTACAAATGATTAAAATGGGGGAAAAACTGTCCTCCCCCCAAAAAAGAAGTATTTAAATATTATACTCCTATATGGTTTTTTGTTTGTTTGTTTGTTTTTTGTGTTTTTTTGAGACGGAGTCTCACTCTGTTGCCCAGGCTGGTGTGCAGCGGCGTGATCTCGGCTCGCTTCAAGTTCCGCCTCCCTGGTTCACGCCATTCTCCTGCCTCAGCCTCCCGAGTAGCTGGGACTACAGGCGCCCACCACCACGCCCGGCTAATTTTGTGTATTTTTTTAGTAGAGACGGGGTTTCACCGTGTTAGCCAGGATGGTCTCGATCTCCTGACTTCATGATCCGCCCGCCTTGGCCTCCCAAAGTGCTGGGATTACAGGCGTGAGCCACCGATTTTTAACTGGATTCATTATTTAAACTATTCTGTAAGAAAAACTTGAGGCCTAGGAGATTTAACCGATAAATTACTCTAAATTATTAAGAGCTACATAAAATGAATCTTATACAAACTTCCAGAGAATAGCAAAAGGAAAGTATTTCTCAACACCTATTTTTATGAGAACAAAAATAAATTTGATTCTAACACTGGATGATAATATGAAAAGAAAAAAATTAAATACCTATCCAACTCATGAACATACATACAAACCTCCTAAATAAAATGTTAGTAATTTGAAGGCAGCAATTTATAAAAAGGATAGTATATTGCAATCATTAGTCTTTATCTAAGAATGCAAATGTGATTTTTTTTAAAAAAATCAATGTAATTCATTATATTTACAGAAAAAAGGAAAATTATATGATTTTTCAGTCACCTCAATAAATGTGGAAAGGAATATGATAAAAATTCAATAGCTATTTATATAAAACACTTTACAAGCAATAAATAGAAAGAAACCTCCTTATCTGATAAAAAGTATTTCAAAAGAAATATTAAATGGTCAGTTATTGCATATTTTTGTGCTGACACTGAGAATAAATCAAGAATGCTCACTATCACCGACTCTAGTCAACATTGTATTAGAGATAGTGTAAAATGGAAACTCCAAAAGAAACTACAAGAAAACTTCTGAAATCATTAAGAGGATTTATAGAGGTCAACATGCATTTATATGTATAATTTCAATATACATATTCAGTAAATATATATAAATGAAAATTATATGTATAATGAAATTATATATATAGAAATCAATGAGGATTTACAAAGACCAATATGCATATATATGTTTATAATGCATATATATGCATGTTTATAATGCATATATATATGCATGTTTATAATGCATATATATGCATGTTTATAATGCATATATATATGCATGTTTATAATGCATATATATATGCATGTTTATAATGCATATATATATGCATGTTTATAATACATATATATAACTGCCCCACACTCTAACAACCACCATTCTACTTTCTGTGTCTCTCTCTCTCTACATGTATATATCAGGAAAAAAGAAAACACAAATAGACAATATAGTTTTAAAATAATACCATTTGTTTCCATTTCGGTTACAACAGAATAAGATCATATTAGATGACTGTATCACAGAAAATAAGAATTCAAAAAGCAACTCCCTGAAAGAACTAGAGAGTGAACAAAAGCAAACAGATTCTGGTGACAATTTAGGCTTAAAGAGAGGAGGAGGAGAGCTGTACAATATACTTTCCCCGTTTTCATAACTTTTATCCTTTTTTATTTTTTTAAGTGCACACTGGTGTCAAAAGCAATGCTAGAAAAAAATCCAGCCTCTTTAGATGGGGAAACCATAGTTTCAGAAGAGAATGGAAGAATTAAGAAAAGAAAATTTAGAATGGGGTGACACAAATTCTATCAGTTACATCCTTGCTGACTTCTGAGCCATGGGTGTCCTGAATAAACTCAAAACGACTAAGTCAAAGACAAAGTGTCTAACATTAGACTGGAGATGCCATCCCCAAAAAAAAGTTTGTAATACAACCTCAGTCAAGATAATTACTTGCTAAAACCAACAAAACACTGCCCACTGTACAAAAATAAAAGAATACAGAATTTCCATAATTTAATATTTATATTGTCTAGAATTTAATCCAATATGATCTAATATATAAAGAATCAAGAAAATAAGCAACTTCTTAAGAGAAAGAAAATCAGCTAAATCCAAACATAAGATGAAGTCAGTACTAAAACTAACAGGCAAGGATTTTTAAATGGCTATTGTAATTACCCTCAGGAAATGCAATATGGTTTCATGAATGGAAAATGGGAAATTTCAGCAGACTAGAGCCAATAAAAAAGAACAAATGTAAACTCTAGAACAGAAAAAGGTAGTTCTAAAAAATGCTAGATCTGACATTAAAAATTTCTGTGGCTGTGGTTTGAACAGCCTACAGAGCGCACAATAAAAAAGTAGGTAAACTTGAAGACAGCTCAATAGAAATTATCCAACACTAAAATACAGACTAAAGAATCTTGAAAGAAGGAAACAGAGCCTCGGGGATCTGTTAGATATCAAATGGCCTAACATACAGGTAATGGCAATGTCAGAAGGAGGATGAGGAAGAATGAGACAGAAAAAATATTTTAAGAAATAACGACCAAATGACTATTGAATAATCATATTACCATATAAATTTTGGACATGTAGTACATATAACAACTATAATATACATAATCAGTTAGGAAACGATCTATACATTTGTAAGATTCCTGTATTTTACATGGATCTGTACAAGTTTAACACTGACTGGGCTACAAATGTTAACAATGTTTATTATAATCCCTAGAGCAAACTTTTTTTAAAAATAATTAATTAAAATGAAGAAGTACAACCTAAAATAACCAAAACAATTTTAAAAAATTTAACATGCTTAAATAATCCAAAAAAGTCAAGAGTGTAGAACCAACAGAAAAAAAAATCAGAAGAGGAAAGTAGAAAAAACAATTATGAAGACATAGACAAAATCCAGTCATATATATAATTACATTAAATACTATAGACTAATCAAACGAAAACTAATAACTAAAAAAGAGTAAAATTGTTGGAATGAATTTTTTTAAAACACAATTACATGCTGTAAAAAAAAAGTATTCTTTAAAGACACAGATATGCTAAAAGTAAATGGATGGAAAAGAATACGACATGCAAACAATAAACATAAAAGGGCTGAAGTGGCTGTATTTATATCACATAAAATATAAGACTAATGTATAAGCAGAGAGAGGAATATTTAATTATAATAAAATGTCAATTTATGAGGAATAAAAATCACTAATGTGTATGCATCTAAAGACAGACCAAAAATTGACATAATTATAGGGAGAGAGAGATAACTCCATGGTCATAGCTGAACATGCTGACGCCTCTTTCTCAACAATTATTAGAACAACTAGATATACAAATTAGCAAATATGTAGAAAAATTGAACAGTATTATCAACTGTCCTGGTGAAAATTACAAAAAATTATGCCTAAAAATAGTAGAGTTCACATTTCTTTCAAATGTACATGGTACATTACTAGGATAGAACATAAAACAGGAATTAATAAATTAAAAAGATTTCACTACATTGGAATAGGAAACCACCAAATACTGCAAATTAAACAACACATATTTAAGCAATTCACAAATCAAAGAAGAAATCACAAGGGAAATAAAAATTATTTTTAACTAAATGTAATAAAATCTAACATACCAAAATTTTAAAAATGCAACTAAAGCAGTTCCTAGAGGGAAATTAACAGCACTAAATGCTAATACTAAAAAAAAAAGCAAAGAAATGAAACCAATAATCTGAGCACCAAGAAATTTGTCAAGAAAGGCAAAATAAATCCATATTCACTAAAATAAACAGTGACAAGAATAAAAATCAATGAAATACAAATGAACAGTAGTGAAACATCAATAAAGCTAAAATTGGTTCATTTAAGATATTGATAAAACTGATATATCTCTACCCAGAATAATCATGAATAAAAAAAAGAAGATACAAATTAATAATATTAGAAATGAAAGAGGGGACATAATTGCAGACTCTTCACACACAAAAAGTATAATAAGGAAATAATTTTACCAACTTAATGCAAATAAACTTTACAACCTAGATAAAATATACATATTTCTTGGAAGACATAGATGAACCAAAACTAATTCAAGAAGAAAAAAAAGAATGAATACTCTTATATCAATCTTAAATATTGATATTATCACTTAAAACCTTCCATCAAAGAAAACTTCAGGTCCAGATGGCTTCACTTCAAATTCTATCAAAAATTTTAGGAAGAAATACTACTAATTTCACACAAAAAACTCTTTCAGTAAATAGAAGAGGAAGTTTCCATTTTATTTTGTGTGGTCAGCATGACCTTGCTATCAAAATCAGACAAAGACATTATAAAAGCAGAGAACTGCAGATAAGTATCTCTCATAAACACAGATCTAAAATCTTGAAAAGAATTTTAGCAAATCAAATCCAACAATATATATAAGGGATAATACATAATGACTAAGTGCAGTTTACCGGGGAATGAAGATTGTTAGCAACCATATATCAAATAATAGATTTTATTATATTACTAGAATACAGAAAAAGAGCTATATGATAATTTTAACAGGAGCATTAATTGTTTTTATAAAGTTCAACAATCATTCAAAATAACAACTCTCAGCAAGCAGAAATAGAAAGAAGCTTCTTCAACATGATAAGGTGACCTATAAAAAACCTATAGCTAGAATCCTGCTCGATGTTGATAGCCCTTTCTATCTATGGTAGGAGTAAGACAATAATATATGCTCTGTCACCTTCAATTCGACATTATTCTGAAGGTCCTAGCCAGTGAAATAGGACACAAATAGTTATAAAGATTAAAAAGAATATAATTATTTGTAGAAGTCATGGGTGTGCATAGAAAGAATAAGGAATCTACAGCAGAAAGCTGTAAAAACTTAAAAGCGGTAAAAACAGAAAAATAAAAACTAAATAATTTCACAGATTTTTGAAATGCTTAAATATGTTTTTGAGTAACAATATTAATATTCTATTTTCATCTATCACATTAACAAGAATTAACAACCATTTTTAAATGATATTGCTGTAAGATAGAGATTGGATAAATGGGAATCTTTTGATGGAAATGAAGAGAAAACTTTTCTGGAAATTTATTTTAAAGGTAAAAGTGCATATACACAATATAAAAGTATATAACATGATATCAATTATGGGAAGGAATAAAGAGAAACCAGAGAAGGCAGGAGAGGAGGGAAGGAGGTTGGGGGGAGGGGAGGGGAGGGGAAGGGAGGAAAGGGGGAGGGGCAGGGGAAGGGAAAAGAAGGGAGGAGAGGGAGGGAGGCAGGAAATGTATATTTAAAAATATTAGAAAGAGGCTGGGCATGGTGGCTCACACGTGTAATCCCAGAATTTTGGGAGGCCGAGTGGGTGGATCACCTCAAGTCAGGAGTTCAAGACTAGCCTGGCCAATATGGTAAAACCCCGTATCTACTAAAAATGAGCTGGAGTGGTGGCACGTGCCTGCAATCCCAGCTGCTTGGGTGGCTGAGGCAGGAGAATTGCTTGAACCCAGGAGGCAGAGGTTGCAGTGAGCCGAGATCACACCACTGCTCTTCAGCCTGGGTGATGGAGCGAGACTCCGTCTTAAAGAAAACAAAAAATAGAAGGAAATACAGTCCACACTAAATTATAAAAGCAGGTGTCTAGTGATGGAGTTTTGAGTGTGTTTTTACTTTTATTCTTATACTTCTCCTAATGATCTATAATAAGCATTCTGTAATAATTATTAAAAAACGAACACCATATAATCAAGCAGAAGCATAGAGAAAAAAAGAATAGTGAAGGTATACTTAGCTAGTGGACTTGTTAGATAATTTTTGTGGGTAGGATGCTGCTTTGGCCATCTTTTCTCTAGGGTCCCAATATGTGGGTGTTGATGCTACCCATAACCTCTGAGACTGGAATTGTGGCCAATAATTTATAATATTCTTTATCAAATATATTGTAGTGCAAAGGCATGAAACAGAGTATAATTTATGAGTGAATTAAATTTACAATGTATTGATTGAACAAATATTTATTGATTACATACTATGCGTCAGGCATTGTTACATATTCTGGGCATATTGTTTGTGTGTGCATGTATGTTTATGTGTAAGTGTACATACATATATGTGTGGTTGTAAAGATATACACATACATACATATATTCACCAAATGTCATGTAGAAATAAATCCCTCATCAAAAAAAAATTGAGGGAGGAGGGAAAAGGCATAAAGATTAATGGGAAAGAAGGTGCTACAACAGTAGCCCTTCATTATTGAATAATGGCATGTCTGAATATGTGATAGTTTAGAATACCCTGCCCAAGTAAAGGCAAGAGGTAAATAAAAGCAGCAAATTAGAATCCAGGTTTGTTTGACAACAATGTCCATGTTCTTTATAAATGTTCTAGGCTAACTGTAAAGTTTATTCTCCAAAGTGCTAGGGTTACAGGCTTGAGCCACCATACCTGGCCTCTAAAGGGAAAAATATTTAAAAGTCTTTCTTTACATTGGTTTTATTATATTCTATTGATGCTTACAACACATTGACATTTGAATAAAGAGTATTTCTTTCTTTTACAAAATAAAATAATATACAGATTTATTCACATAATCTTAGCCAAAAGGCTAAGAAGAGATTATAAATTTCTTGAATTTTTTAATATCTTGCTTAATCAAAGTGACCTCTCAAGAAAATGGCAGGATTTTTCTGCAAAAATATTTATCCATCACTTTCTGGAAGTACCAGTCAATAAAGAGATTCAAAAAATGAAAACACTAATGCTCAGAGATACCATTTCAGTTACTGATGTAGTAAAAGTTGCCAAGTTGACCAAGTCTTATCAAAATGACCAAACACATTGTTTAGAAACATTAATTTATCTTGTATAGAGAATATTTGGAAATAAGATTATTTCATAAATTGGATTCTTTCATTGTTACAGACTTCATGATAGCATCCATATAGAAAAATTTAAAAACAATAGTGAATATTCCTTGATCATTTAGACTTTAAGTCAAATGAAATTACTCAGCACTACTTATTTTTGAGAAACCTGTATTTAAAAAATGATTAAAATAAAATTAAATAATACAAAGAAATCCTAAAATTAGGCATTTTTCCATAAGGTATTCAGAAACAATATATTATTGTATATCCTGGCATTATATTTCTATCCCATCATCCAAATTTTTTTTTATCTGGATAACAAAGGCCACTTGACAAAATTCCATTAGCATGATGTTACTTTTCCTGAAATTGACATCTTCAGTACATCTTCCCGATCTTCCCAAAACCTTCAGGTATTCGCCCACAGAAAATAATCAGAAGTATTTATTGGAGCTAAGATGACCAACTAGATGCAGCCAGGAAGAACTTCTCCCACCAAGAGGCCAGATCATCAAGTAGGCTCGGATAGTCCAAACAGATTTTTGAAAACAAGGCACTGAGAGTGGACAAAGGGAGGATTCAAACCTGGCCTGAAAAGGTAGAAAGCTGGGACACCATGCACATGGTTGCCTAGCACCAGGACTCATTCCTGGCCCCAAGGGGATCTTGGGAGAGGGGTGAGTGAAATAGGCATAGAGTGGCCCACTCTCACCACAGATCCCCAGAATCCTAGTTGCAGGAGACCCCACGACCATAATGAACATTTGACATGGCAGGGGGAATGTCCCAGAGAGTTGGCAATGACAGAATTTCAGCCTTCATGAATCCAAAAGATTTTGGTATGTGAATGGCTGCAGTGGGGCACAGTAAAGGGTGCCGATCCCCCAAAGCTCTCTGTACTCATCTAGGTGGCTTTAGCCTTTGTTATCTGCCAGACTGGGACAGAATAGGGCTATCTTGCCCATGGGACAGGGATAGTATGATCTGGGTGTCCCCCATGCCTGCTGGCCTATCCCAGGGTCCCAGCCTGTCTGCCACCTCTTACAGTGCAGCCTCAGCTGCCCATCTGCAGGGCTTACCAGCAGCTAATGCCACAGGCCTTTTGCCAGCAAAACCCACCTAACAGTCAGAGAGCTTCTGCACATAGGTCCCTTTGGGCATGCACCCATGCACAGCCTTCCCCTTCCAGTCTGCACTCACCCATAGCCTCCTTCCACTGCTTTGATGGCTCATGTGCACATGCAGGACCCATCACTGCCCACCACCACTGGTGCAAGCACACATACGGGAACCACTGCAGCCCACCACCTCCCTGGTGAAACAGTTTTGCCAGTACTCGTCATCAGAGTTTTGTTGCCAGCCAACCAGGAACACCTCTGCCCTTCTGAACCTCAGCCCCCTGAAATAATCCAGAAATGAAACCAATCAATAAAACCCAACTCATAACATGAACAAACCCTTCAAGGTCATCAAAGAATATGAAAGCAAAAAGTGCCATCCAAAGGACAGCAACTTTAAAGATTTAAGGAAGGAACATCAGGCCACACAGATGAGAAAGAACCAGCACAAGCACTCTAGCAACTCTAAACGTCAGGAAGTCTTCTTACCTCCGAATGACTGCATTAGCTCCCCACCAATGGTTCTTTAAGTTGGTCTGAAATGGTTGAAATGACAAATGTACAATTAAGAATCCAGGTAGCAACAAAGATTATCAAGATTCAGGAGAAAGTTGAAACCCAATACAAGGAATCTAAAAGAATCCAACAAAATGATACAAGAGCTGAAAGATGAAATAGCCATTTTGAGAACCAAACTGACCTTCTAGAGATGAAAAACTCACTACAAGAATTTCATAATATAATCAGAAGTATTAACACCAGAATAGACCAAGCTGAGAGATTTTCAGTGCTTGAAGACCAGTTCTTTGAATCAACTCAGTCAGAAAAGAATAAAGAAGACTGGGCATGGTGACTCATGCTTGTAATCCCAGCACTTTGGAAGGCTGAGGTGGGCAGATCACCAGAGGTCAGAAGTTCGAGACCAGCCTGGCAAACATAGTGAAACCCCGTCTCTACATAAAATACAGAAAAAAAAAATAGCCAGGCATATTGGTGCATGCCTGTAGTCCTAGCTACTTGGGAGGCTGAGGCAGGAAAATCACTTGAACCCAGGAGGTGAAGGTTACAGTGAACCAAGATCATGCCACTGCACTCCAGCCTGAGTGACAGAGTGAGACTCCATCTCAAAAAAAAAAAAAAAAAAAAAAAAAGAATAAAGAGAATTTTGTAAAGTGAGCAAAACAGCTGAAAAGTATGAAATTATGTAAAGAGACCAAACCTACAACTCACTGGCATCCCAGAGAGGAAAAGAGAGCAAGCAACTGGAAAACATATTTGTAGATATTTTCCATAAAAATTTCCTCAAGCTCACGAGAGGTGAACATGCCAATTCAGGAAATTCAGAGATCACTAGTGAGATACCATATGAGATGAATATGCCCAAAACACATAGCATCAGATTCTCCAAGGTCAACATGAAAGAAAAAATATTAAAGGCAGCTGAAGAGAAGGGGCAGATCACATAAAAAGGAACTCCATCAGGCTAACAGCAGAACTTTCAGCAGAAACTCTACAAGCCAGAAGAGATTGGGGGCCTATATTCAGCATCCTTAAAGAAAAGAAATTCCAAGTAAGAATTTCATATCCAGCCAAAGTAAGCTTCATAAGTGGAGGAGAAATAAAATGCTTTTCATCCAAGCAAATACTAAGGGAATTTATTACTACCAGATCTTCCTTATAAAAGGTCTATAAGGGAATACTAAACATGGAAACAAAAGGCTGTTACCTGCCATGAAAAAAACCTATTTAAGTACATAGTCTACTGACACTATAAAGCAACTAGACCATCAAGTCTACCTAGAAACCAATTAACAATATGATGACAGTATGAAATTTGCACATATCCGTATTAACCTTGAAGGTAAAGGGGCTAAATGCCCCACTTAAAAGGCACAGAGTGAAAATCTGAATAAAGAAACAGGAGTGATGTATGCTGTCTTCAAGAGACCCATTTCACACGTGATGGCACCCATAGGCTGAAAGTAAAGGCACACAGAATAATCTAAAAAGCAAACAGAAAACAAAGGACAGCAGAAGTCTCTATCCTAATTTCAGACCAAACAGACTTTAAATCAACAATAATAAATAAGGACAAAGAAGGGCATTACATAATGATAAAGTATCCAATTGAACAAGAAGACTTAACTACCCTAAATATAAATGCACCCAACACAGGAGCACCAGATTCATAAAATAAGTTATTTGAAACCTACAAAGAGACTTAAATGACACATAATAATAGTGGGAGACTTCAACAGCCCACTGACAGTCTTAGATCACTGAGGCACAAAACTAACAAAGATTTGGGACTCAAATTTGACACCTAACAAAATGTGTAACAGCCATCTACAGAACACTCTACCCAAAAACAACAGGATATACAATCTTTTTATCTGCATATAGCACATAATCTGTGATCAACCACAGGCTTGGCCATAAAGCAATTTTCAACAAATTAAAAAAAATTATACCAACCAGACCACAGTACAATAAAAGTAGAAATAAATACCAAGATCTCTCAATACCACACAATTACATGGAAATTAAACAACCTGCTCCTGAAGAAATTAAGGGAGAAATCAACAAATTATTTGAAACAAATAAAAACAAAAATACAATATACCAAAATTTCTGGGACACTGTTAAAGCAGTGTTAAGAGGAAAACCATAGCGCTAAAAACGTCACAAAGATGTCAAATTAACAACCAAACATCCCACCTAAAGGAACTAGAAAATGACGAGGAAAACAACTTTAAGATTACAGGGATAAAAGAAATAACAAAAATCAGAACTGAGCTGAATGAATTTGATAAGTAAAAATCCACACAAAACATCAATGAAACCAGAAGTTTGTTTCTAGAAGCAATTAATAAGATTGATAGAGCACTAGCTAGACTAATGAAGAAAAAAAGAAGATCCAAATAAACACAATCAGGAATGACAAAGGTGACTTTACCTCTAACCTCAAACAAATACAAAAAATCCTGAGATACTATTATGAACATCTCTATTCATACAAACTAGAAAATCTAGAAGAAATGCATAAATTCCTGGAAACCTACAACCTCTCAAGATTAAACCAGAAAGAAATTGAATGCCTGAGCAGACCAATAACAAGTTCCAAAATTGAAACACTAATAAAAATACTTACCAATCAGATTAAGCCCTGGACCAGAGTGATTTACATATAAACTCTACTAGATGTGTAAAAAAGAACAGGTACCAATCCTACTGAAATTATTCCAGAAAAATGCAGAGGAGGAACTCCTCTCTAACTCATTCTAAGAGGTCAGCATCATCCTGATACCAAAATCTGGCAGAGACACAACAACAACAAAAAATTCAGACCAATATCGCTGATGAACATAGACATAAAAATTCTCAACAAAATACTAGCAAATTGAATCCAGCATCACATCGAAAAGCTAATCCACCATGATCATGTAGGCTTTATTCCTGGGATGCAAGATTGGCTCAACAAACACAAATCAATAAATATGATCCATTACATAAACATAACTAGAAACAAAAACCACATGATCATCTTAAAGAGGCAGAAAAGGCTTTCAATAAAATTCAACATCCCTTCATGTTAAAAACCCTCAATGAACTAGGCATTGAAGAAACATACCTCAAAATATTAAGAGCCATCTATTACAAAACCACAGTCAACAACATACTGAATGGGCAAAAAACATTCCCCTTGAAAACTGGAATAAGACAAGGATGCCCACTCTCACCACTCCTTTTAAACATATTACTGGAAATCCTAGCCAGAGCAATTAAGAAAGACAAAGAAAGAAATGGCATCCAAATAGGAAGAGAAGAAGTCAAACTGTCTCTCTTTGCAGATGATATACCTAGAAAACCTCATAGTCTCTGCCCAAGGTTCCTATAACTGATACTTTCAGTAAATTTTCAAGATACAAAATCAATGTACACAAATCAGTAGCATTTCTATGCTCCAATAACATCCAAGCTGAGAGCCAAATCAAGAATGCAATCCCACTCACAATAACTAAAAAGGATAAAATACCTAGGAATACAGCTACTCAGAGAGGTGAAAGATCCCTACAATAAGAATAACAAAATACTTCTGAAAGAAATTAATGGAGACACAATAAATGGCAAAACACTCCATAGTCATGGATTGAAAGAATCAATATGGTAAAAATGGCCATACTGGCCAAAGCAATTTACAGATTCAATGCTATTTCTACCAAAATACCAGTGACATTCTTTACAGAACTAAAAAAGCTATTCTAAAATTCATATGGAACCAAAAAAGAGGAAGAATAGCCAAAACAATCGTAAGCAAAAATAGCAAAGTCAGAGGCATCCTACTACCCAACTTTGAACTATACTATAAGGCTACAGTAACCATAACATCATGATACTGGTACAAAAGCAGACAACGGAACAAAATAGAAAGCCTAGAAATAATCCCGCTCACCTACAACCATCTGATCTTCAACGAAGTGGATGAAAACAAGCAATAAGGAAAGAATTCCCTAGTCAACAAATGGTGCTGAGATAACTGGCTGGCCATATGCAAAAGATTCAAACTAGACCCCTTCCTTACACCATATACATAAATCAACTGCAGATGGATTACAGACTTAAATATAAAATCTAAAAGTATAAAAACTCTGAAGATAACTTAGGAAATACTATTCTGGATACAGGCTCTGGCAAAGATTTCATGACAAAAGCACCAAAAGCAATCGCAACAAAACCAGAAATTCACACATGGGACTGAATCAAACTAAAGAGCTTATGCACAGCAAAAGAAACCATCAACAGGCAAAACAGACACCCTACAGAATGAGAAAAAAAAATTTGCAAACTATGCATCTGACAAATGTCTAATATCCAGAACCTATAAGAAATTTAAATAAATTAACAAGCAAAAAGCAACTCCGTTAAAAAGTGGGCAAAGGACATGAACAGACACTTCTTAAAAGAAGACATACACACAGCCAACAAGCATATGAAAAAAATGTTCAACATCACTAATCATTAGAGAAATACAAATCAGAACCACAATGAGATACTATCTCATACTAGTCAGAATGTCTACTTATTTAGTCAAAAAATAACAAGATGCTGGTGAGGTTATGGAGAAAGGTTATGTTTATACACTGCTGGTGGGAATGTAAATTAGTTCAGCCACTGTGGAAAGCAGTTTGGAGATTTCTCAGAGAACTTAAAACAGGTCTACCAATCAGCCCAGCAATCACATTACTGGGTATATACCCAAAGGAATATAAATCCTTCTACCATAAAGCACATGCCCATACATGTTCATTGCAGCACTATTCACAATAGCAAAGACATAAAATCAACCTAAATACCCACAAATGGTGGACCGGATAAAGAAAATGTGACACATATACACCAGGGAATACTAAGCAGCCATAAAAGGAATAAAACCATGTCCTTAGCAGCAATGTGGATGTGCGTTAACTTGATTTGGCCATGATGCCCAGATACTTGGTTAAGCATTATTCTGGATATGCCTGTGAGGGTGTTTCTGGATGAGATTAATGCTCGAATCAGTAGACTGAGCAAAGCAGATTGTTCTCCCCAATATGAGTGGGCTTCATCCACTTCATTGAAGGTCTGAATAGAACAAAAATGCTGGAATGAGAATTCATTTTGTGTGCTTGACTATCTTCAAGCTGGGACATCAGTCTTCTTTTCCTTAGGACTTACACTCAGACTGGAAATTACACCACCAGCTCTCCTGGGTCACTAGCCTTCAGACCTGAGCTAGAACTTATACCATCAGTTCTCCTTGGTCTCCAGCTTGCCAACTACAAATTCTGGGACTTCTTATCTTCTATCTGAGAAGCAATCAGAAGGAATGAAGGGTCTGATATCTCATTGTCTGTATACAATGATCTAGTGAGTTTCGGTCCCTTGCCTGACAGAGAGTTTCCTGAAGGTGGAACTCAGATGAGACAAAAGTAAATTTCAAGTTTTAAGACTGGAAGTTTCAATTTCCATGTTTATTCAAAAACCCATAAATACCATTGCTATGGGATAATTGGGTGACTTTCAGGATGCCTTGACGTCTGCTGGAGTGTGTGTGAGCCCTGGCATCAACTATAAATCCGATGGTTTTATTTGTTTCTAAAACACAAATAAATTAGATATTTGTGTATTTTTAAAAGATATCTAGACAAAACACGTAATTCTTTTTTATTTCAACTTTTAGTTTAGATTCAGGGGGTACATGAGCTGGTTTATTACCTGGGTATATAGTGTGATGCTGAGGTTTAAGGTACGATTGATCCTGTCAATCAAGCACTGAGCGCAGTACCTAATAGTCAATTTTTCAATTCTTGCCCCTCTCCCTCCCTGCTAGAGTCCCTAGTTTCTATTGTTGCCATCTTCATGTCCATGAGTTTACCTGCTACTTATAGGTGAGAACATGGTTACTTGGTTTTCTGTTCCTGTGTTCATTTGCTTAGGATAACAGCCTCCCAACTGCATCCATGTTGGTGCAAAAGACATTATACTTTTTTATGGCTGTGTAGTATTTCACGGTGTATATGTACCACACTTTTGTATCCAACCCAACATTGGTGGGCACCTAGGTTGATTTCATATGACATTGTAACTCTTTTATTTAAACAACAACATGTTTTCCAGCCATGTATGAAATGTGTGATAATATCTTAATTCCTTGGTGATTAATAGCTAACATTTCATTTCAAAAATGCTTCTCTCTCTTTAGCTGTAGTCATGTCAGAATACATTTAAAACTCTAGCAGGATACTAGGAATGTGCTTCTTGTCACAGATTGAGTGGGGAGATGGATGGAAGGGATGGAAGAGGAGACAGAGGAGGAGAAAGAACTTGAAGCAGCCTACAGAGCCCTTTTGGTGCAGCCCTAGCTGGGAAAGCACATATGGGAGAGATTCAGTCCCTGACCCCTGCAATCAGAGCTTGGTTTTTACCTTTAAAATTCATTTATCTGAATTAAATTGGTAAATAATCAAGGTAAAAAAAATTCAAATGGAACACTTCCATTCATATACTGTGTGGACAGAAAGCAGAGAACAAGTGTCAATCAACACAGAAGCTCATACAGGCCAAGTAATAGAAACCTCATGTCTGATCACACCACAAAGTAACCCCTAGCAACAGCTTTTTGGGTTACTTCCAGAAATTTAATACAATTAACTCCTGCTATTGGCATCTTGGACAAGAATTTTCTTGCCAAGGGGACTGTCCATCAAGATACCTGGTCTACCCTTCCTCAGTGACAGTAGTGCCTCCCCTACAGCTTGTTATAGCCTGGAATGCAGCCCACTTCTTACATTTAAAAACTCACAAAACTTGCTCAATTTGATGGGTAAGATTTTAAATTGCATTTTTTAGTTTGCATTTTTAATTTAGTATTTTTCTTTTAAAACATTATATTTATTTGTGAATAGATGAACATATCCTGTGCTCATTTTTCTTTTCAGATGTTTCTCTATTTTTCTGTTGATTTGTACCCATCCTTTATCAATGAAGGACATTAAAGCTTTGTCCATCATTTACAGCAAAATGTGAACATTATGTGTGCTTCTGTCATTCAGCAAGAGTTGGAAATATAAGCTCATTTGAATATAAACTTAAGAGAACATATCTTGAATTTTAACATTAAATAAAGTGAATTTTTGGATAGGTTAAATTTTTTTTCTTCATTTCATTAATTAGTATGTGTTTGTTCATCATTATTTACTGTGATTACCAAGATTCTTTGAGGCCTAAGTTCAAAACAGTAGTTTGTATATTCTTGGAACTTCTCAGGTAAATGATAACAGCATAAGGAATAGCCCATCAGATCTTTTCAGCTATTGCATAACAGTTTACTTCGCTTGTTAATTAATGACTAGAGTACTTTGTGTGGGTCTTATTTTTAGACTATGCTATTTCTTTTGCCTCTCAGAAAAATTACGGTTTGAATTAAAATATTCTAATGACAGAGATTCTAATGACATCTCTATCGATAGAACCTAAACTGTATTTTGCAGAGAAGGATGAAAGGGAGATAGTTATGGTGAAATCAACCTCTAACTTTGTCTTCATGGTTGAGTTTGAGGCTCAGTTATAAAGACATACCTATCTTTGGTCTGGTGTACTTTTAGATTAATCCAGATATTTATTAATCCAGTTATTCATTCTTAGAAGTTATTATTTTAGAGCTTCCTTTGAAAATCTTTTTTAATGTAGATATCTTGTTTGAAATAGTATGCAACATAAAATAAAAATGTTTAATATTGTCCAAATAAGTAGCACAAAAGTTGATGTGGCTGTAGATTACCAGGGGTAGTTTCATCCTCATTTTGTGATAATTCGGATGTGCCCCCACTCTCAACAGACAGAAGGCTTGAATAGGAGGGAAGTCACAAAATTAAACAATCTCATGGGGTTTTGCAACTCCAAATAGCTTTGAAATCCTAGTCTGTAGACTTCAGCATTAGCAGAGTTCTTTCAGACTGGCAGTAAGATCTACTTGGGACAATTTCATCACATGGATTTAACTTCTTTAACAAATGGAAAGGGAGCTACAAGCCCAAATCTTAGTTTGGAGGATGGAAATAAATGGATAAGGAATCATTCGTGTAAAGTTTCGTTTCTTTGACATGTCAAATGATACCAGGCTGTTTAGCATTGTTGGCTCATGTATGGTGGTGGCTCTGCTTTTTCCAGCATCATAGGGCATTGTTTGACCTGTGTCTAGTTGTGTCTGATGTACAGTTATTGTATTTTTCCGTTCTAGAATTCCGTTTTTATAGTTTTTTGTTCTGTGCTGAAATTCTAACTCTTGAGTTTTAATTTCTTCAATGTATTAATCATAGTTATTTTAAAGTTTACTTCCAGTGATTTCATTATCCTAATTCTGTGATCTGGTCTTTTGGTCATGACTTGTCTTCTTGTCTGCTTTGGCATTTTTTCATTGTTAGACTTTTTTTATTCAAAAGCTATAGAGAAAATCTGAGCCTATGAATGATGCCCTCCTTCAGAGGAGAATATTTTGCTTTTCTCAGTGGCTAGTCTGTGAATGGTGGTGATGGATGGAGACTACTCCTGAATCCTGAGGTCATGGAATCTGAGTCTGGGCTTTGTTCTCGGTGAAAGCCAAGTTTCCTTCCAGTGTCTAGGTTTCTCTTCTCAAGGTGTGGCTGTTGGGGCCTCCAGCCCCAGAGTTAGATATTTGCCTGAAGCCTCGCTTCTTGGGGGGCCGGTGGGCAGCTCTAGGTTTGGTTTCCAAGCTCTATGAGTTTCAGTTCATCAGTCCCTCTCTTGCTGGACTGGAATAGGGGTGCTCCAGAGCTGGAAAAGTGGTCCTGACTCATTTCCCTGGGTTTCCATTCCCTCCTGGGTGTGGATCCTGGCCCTTTACTTCTCCCTGCCTAAGGAGTGCTCTGATTTTATTACACAGATTTAAATGTATACAAATTTCTTAATTTATTAATATTTTGTCATTGTTTTCAGCAGCAGGCTTGACCTGAAGCTCCTTACCCTACCATTCTCAGATATAGCACTGTTAGCTTTATCTTTTCTACTTCATTCCTTTATCCATTTAGAATATATTTATCAATGAACCTTAGCTCTACCTCAAATCTCCTGGCATAAATTCATTTTTTTATAATCCAGCCATATCCTATTCTTTGTAATAGCACTGTGAAGTCTTCCCTAAAGTGGGGGCTGTGAGAAGGACAGAGGTTGGGGGGGGTCACCTAATATCTCTCTACTCCCACAACTTAGTAACTTGAAACAACATTTATCACCTCAGTTTCTGTCAGATAAGAGCTTAGGTCCTGAGCCCAGAGCCTGAGGGGCTACAGAAATGATCTCAGCCAGTTTGTGGTTGCCCTGAGTGCCACTAGGCAGGACCCACTTTGAGCTCACTTGCCTGGTTCAGGTGGCTCTCAGTTTCTTGTCACATAGACCACTCCACGGGGCAGCTCACATAATGATGGCTGGCTTTCTCAAAGCAAGTTAGAGAGGTGGGGGGAGGAGGAGAAGGAGAAGGAGCAGAAGCAGCAGCAGCGGAGGAAGAAGAAAGGGAGAGAGAGGGAAATAGAAAAAGAGAAAGAGAAAGTCACAGTCTCTCGAGACTTAATCTCACCTTTGATTCTGGAGGTTAGAAGCAAGTCAGCAGGTCAGCCACATAAGAGGAGGGGATCAGACAAGGCTACAAGCTCTGAAAATCAGGATGGTTGAAGCCATCCTGGAGGTTACCTTACCTCTAGGGATTGGATTCATTTCTAGGCATGTTCTCCCTTAAAGTGCCAAGAGGACTATTGGCAACTCCAGGCTACAGTTCCACAGGCCAGCGTCCAGAACAAGCTCATCCCCCAGATGTGTCTTGCTGGACCTGGCTGGGTGCAGAACTCATCTCAAGGCCAGGTGAAAGAAAGGTGTCATTCAGTTATGGTCCTTGTCCATTTTGGAGTCTGACAGAGGGGTACCCAGGAGCCACAAGCCCTGGTGAAGTAGACAGGGAAATCTCAGGAGGAGAATCTAAGGGCTGTTTCCAGGAGGGCTATGGATTCCAGACTGGATTGGGTTCCAGACAATCAAGCCATTTGGACCAGGCTCCCATTGATTGGGGCTGTTTGTAGAGTTGGACTCCTCTCCAGCCCTCTTCAAAAATCTGTTTTGCAACTCTTTAAGATCATGCTCAAAACTTGCGATATTGATTTAAATTGCATTTATCATGCAGTTTGATTTGTAATATTAATATTTTGGCCCTATAACATGTTATATATTTATTCCAGTCATTATCTGTATTCCTCAGGGAAGTTAGGTAGCTTTCTTCTTGGTTCTGCATACGTTTTATATTGATTGCTCCTGGGTATTCTAAGTTTTTATGGCTATTGTGAAAGAGGCTTAATTTTTATATTTTCTACTAGTTTATTGCTAATATAAAGGAAAGCTATTGTTATAATAGTTTTTCTAATGATTTTCATGAAGGCAAATAATGATAATTTTTTACCTTTTCTAACTGGTACAGGCACTATCAGGAAACATGGATAAGACAGGAGTGCTTCTGATCTTTAACTAGTAATCATGATGCTGGCTGTGGAGTTGAAGTGTACCGTGTGTAAACTCTTGTTCAGTCAAAATGGACATTGACTATATTATGTGGGTTCCTAAGGCAGTGTATTAGTCCGTTTTCACACTGCTGATAAAGACATACCCAAGACTGGGAAGAAAAAGAGGCTTAATTGGACTTACAGTTCCACATGGCTGGGGAGGCCTCAGAATCATGGCAGGAGGTGAAAGGCACTTCTCAGATGGCAGCAGAAAGAGAAAAATAAGGAGGAAGCAAAAGTAGAAAACCCTGATAAACCCATCAGATACCGTGAGACTTATTCACTATCAGGAGAATAGCACGGGAAAGACCAGCCCACATGATTCAATTATCTCCCCCTGAGTCCCTCCGACAACATGTGAGAATTGTGGGAGATGTAATTCAATATGAGATTTGAAAGGGGACATAGCCAAACCATATCATTCCATCCCTGGCCCCTCCAAATATCATGTCCTCATATTTCAAAACTAATCATGCCTTCCCAACAGTCCCCCAAAGTCTTAACTCATTTCAGCATTAACCCAAAAGTCCACAGTCCAAAGTTTTATTTGAGATAAGGTAAGTCCCTTCTGCTTATGAGCCTGTGAAATCAAAAGCAAGCTAGTTACTTCCTAGATACAATGGCAGTACAGGTGTTGGGTAAATATAGCTGTTCCAAATGGGAGAAACTGGCCAAAACAAAGGGGTTACAGGTACCACGCAAGTATGAAATGCAGCAGGGCAGTCAAATTTTAAAGCTCCAAAATGATCTCCTTTGACTCCAGGTCTCACATCCAGGTCACGCTGATGCAAGAGGTGAGCTCCTATGGTCTTGGGCAGCTCCGTCCCTGCAGCTTTGCAGGATACAGCCTCCCTCCCAGCTGCTTTCACAGGCTGGTGTTGAGTGTCTGTGGCTTTCCCAGGCACGCGGTGCAAGCTGTTGGTGGATCTACCATTCTGGAGTCTGGAGGACGGTGGCCCTCTTCTCATAGCTCCACTTGGCAGTGCCCCAGTAGGAACTCTATATGGGGGCTCTGACCCCACATTTCCCTTCTTCACTGCCCTAGCGGAGGTTCTCCATGAGAGCCCTGCCCCTGCAGCAAACTTTTGCCTGGGCATCCAGGCATTTCCATACATACTCTGAAATCTAGGCAGAGGTTCCCAAACCTCAATTCTTGACTTCTGTGCACCCGCAGACTCAACACCAGGTTAAAGCTGCCAAGGTTTCGGGCTTCCACCCTCTGAAGCCAGAGCCCAAGCTCTACATTGACCCCTTTCAGCCATGGCTGGAGCAGCTGGGACACAGGGCACAAGTCCCTAGGCTGCACACAGCACAGGGACCGGGGCTTGGCCCAGGAAACCACTTTTTTTCCTGGGCCTCTGGGCCTGTGATGGGAGGGGCTGCTGTGAAGACCTCTGACATGCCCTGGAGACATTTTCCTCATGGTCTTGGGCATTAACATTAGGCTCCTTGCTACTTATGCAAATTTCTGTAGCCAGCTTGAATTTCTCCCCAGAAAATTGGTTTTTCCTTTCTATTGCATTGTCAGGCTGCAAATTTTCTGAACTCTTACGCTCTGTTTCCCTTTTAAAACTGAATGCTTTTAACAGTACTCGAGTCACCTCTTGAATGCTTTGCTGCTTAGAAATTTCTTCCACCAGATACCCTAAGTCATCTTTCTCCCACCAGATACCCTAAGTCATCTTTCTCAAGTTCAAAGTTCCACAAATCTCTAGGGCAGGGGTAAAATGCCACCAGTCTCTTTACTAAAACATAACAGGAGTCACCTTTGCTCCAGTTCCCAACAAGTTCCTCATCTCCACCTGAGACCACCTCAGCCTGGATCTTATTGTCCATATGGCTATCAGCATTTTGGGCAAGGCCATTCAACAAATCTCTAGAAAGTTCCAAACTTTCCCACATTTTCCTGTCTTCTTCTGAGCCCTCCAAACTGTTCCAACCTCTGCCTGTTACCCAGTTCCAAAGTCACTTCCACATTTTCAGGTATCTTTTCAGCAACACTCCACTTTACTGTTTTCATGCTGCTGATAAAGACATACCTGAGACTGGGAAGAAAAAGAGGTTTAATTGGACTTACAGTTCCACATGGCTGGGGAGGCCTCCAAATCATGGTGGGAGGTAAAAGGCACTTCTTATATGGTGGTGGCAAGAGAAAAATGAGGAGGAAGCAAAAGTGGAAATCGCTAATAAACCCATCAGATCTTGTGAGACTTATTCACTATCACGAGAATAGCATGAAAAGACCAGCCCCCACGATTCGATTACCTCCTCCTGGGTCCCTCCCACAACACGTGGGCATTCTGGGAGATACAATTCAAATTGAGATTTGAATGAGGACACAGCCAAACCATGTCAGGCAGTGAGGTCAATAATATATGCAGATTCCTTATATTTATATTTGTGGCTTTGTCTCCGGTTGGTCATTGTGGACTCTTTCAGTGTGCCTGGTAAACATCTACAAGTGAGATTTGTGTAGCATTCTTGTTCTGTGGCATCATTTTCAAGTTTATGTGTCATTATCATTTTTAAATCTCTTCTCTTTCATCCTTTTATTTGGCCCTTTAACTTCATGTTTTCTTTCTTCTGCACTTGAATATCACCTGCATTTTGACTTTGCAACTTCATTGTGGTGTTGTCGTTGACCACAATAGAATTGAACCAGCAACATTGTGATTTTCTTTTTCAGGGAAGACTAAAGTAATTCCCTGCTTAGTTGGTTCTTGCTGTACTTCACCATTGTCAACAAACAAGGTCTTTATTAGGTTATTCAATTTTTCTTCAGCATCAGTTTCCAGAAAGGGAGCAGACTTTCAGGAAATCAAGCACAGTGATGAGAAGGTTTAAGCTGCACTGTTTGGGGTATGGAGGGTGGAATCTAGTTCTTTTAGGTGACTATCCCAATAACCTTTTCATATGGAACTAAGTTTATGGAGGGTTCAAGATCCCTCCAAAAATATATTCAATGACTTACCCAGTTGACGAAAAGAAACACATTTTTTTTTATGTTCTAGAGAAAACTCTTTCACCACTGTGTTAGGTATCTATTACTGTCAAATAACCCCCAAATTTAGTGACTTCAAATGGAAATAAAAAATTATCCCTCACAGTTTCTGTGGATCAGGAATTTGGAAGTGGCTTTGTTGGGCACTTCTGTTCCAAGGTCTGTCACATTGTTGAAGTTGAGATGTTGTCCTTATCTACAGCCATGGGAAGGCTTGTCAGGGACTAGACAGACTGCTTGCAAGACGTCTCACCCACACAGCTGTGGGTAGGAGGCTTTGGCTCATCACCAAGAGGGTCTCTCCAGAGGGCTGCTTGAGTGTCCTCACAAGATGGCCACCAGCTTTCACCAAAGCAAGTGATCCAAGAGAACAGGAAATCGTCTAGCTTCAGAATTACATTCTGTCATTTCCAATCTCCTATAGGTTATAGAAGCAAATTCCGTGAGAAGAAGATGACATAGGCATGAATATCAAAAGGTGGGACCCTGCCTTAGCCCATTTGGGCTGCTATAACAAAAACATCACAAACTCTGTGGCTCATAGACAACAGAAATTCAGTTCTCCCATTTCTGGAGGCTGGAAGTTCAAGATCAAAGCACTGGTAGAGTCAGCATCTGGTAAGGGCCTCCTTTCCGAATCATAGACAGCACCTTCTTACTGTGTCCTTATGTGGCAGAAGGGGCAAAAAGATATCTGGGGTTCCTTTTATCTGGCACTAAACTCATTTATGAGAGCTCCACCCTCAGGACCTAAATACCTCCTGAGGCCCCACTTCCTGATACCATCATATTGGGGAGCAGGATTTCAACCTGTAAATTTGAGGGGGGCACAAAAACATTCAGACCATCAAATTGCCCTCCTGGAGACTGGCAACCCTGTCAGCCACATCTTCAGCTGTCAAGTATGTGTGTGTGTCAGTTCAGGTATAACAGAAGTCTACCATTCAAGGTTATATCTCAGTAAGAAAGTCACCAAGCTCCAGTATAGGTTTATAGAAAATTTTGTATTATTGTTCTTCACATTATTGATGAACAAAATTATAAGTGGTATTTTTGTTTTCCAATTTCCTTTATAGTAAAGAACTTGCATTTCTTTTGAGATTTTGACCCACAATGTGTTATGTAACAGTTATTTTCTGTGCTTGTAAAACTCACTACAGGGTAAACTAGTACTGCCATGATAGGTGTTTAAAAGCAGCCACAGGAACCCACTGCTTGGCTCCTTTATGTCAGATTTTCTGTCTTCTAGGTGTAATGCTCCTAACTGAAAATTAGAGTTGAAAATATAGCCAACTGTATATTTATTTAACTATCATCTTTGAAGAGATCTGTTTTAGAGTCAGCATAGCCCCAGATATCATGCATTTAAGTCAGTGTTTCTCAACTGAGGGTGATTTTGTAATGTTGATGTTGGTTGGACTGGAGGACTGGAGAGTGCTACTGGCCTCTAGTGGGTGGAGGCCAAGGATGCTGCTAAGCACTCTGCAGTGAAGGAAAGATCCCCAACAAAGAGTTATCTAAGCCCAAATGTCAGTAGTGCTGTGGCTCAGAGAGCCTGCTCTGGATGTTGATTTTACCCTCTCTTCTGTTACCCATTCACTCTCTAGTTCTCTCTGGAGAAAGCTAAAGGAAGGATGAGGGCGCGTGAGGTACAAGTGCTTATCAGGTAACCAGCCTGACTGCTGGACATATGGTCAATGGAATTGGCAGATCAAGGCAGTAGGTTTTAAAAACGCCAGAAACTTTTCTTTCTTAGCTTCTTTTTGGAGCACAAGAGACAAACAATTTTAGTGAGCACAAGTAAAGGAATTTATTTTAAGCATTTTTCTGTAACAAAATGATTGTTTGCAGATGGAGCTGGAACCATATATGTTAAAACTTCTGTCAATAGTCTGGCACGTTATAGGTTTGCGTCATTCTCTTCTCTTGTTATCAGAACTGGCTGCCTTTATTTCTTGGTCTGTGTACCTTCCAGTTACTCCAGTTTTATGTCATAAATTTGAGGCTTGTGGAGAAAGCCTAGCCCCTTCATCCGATCTCAGATAGGCCTTATCTATTTAATACAATTGTTAATTACTTCCTTGCCTTACTAAACTGACTTACCTACCTGGCCTCAATGTCATGGTCTTACTTTACCCTTCTAGTAAGGGTCTTGCTGGTCCACTTTTGGCCAGCTAACTCTCTGCCGCAAGAGAACAGCTGCTCTAGAGCAACACGGCTGAAATAAGAAGAAGCACTTTTCAGAAGAAGGGGCTGTACCGGGGAACAAGACTGGTACCCCAAAATGAGTCATGTACTACTGCCATGAGTCATGTACTACTGCCATGAGTCATGTACTACTGCCATGAGTCAGTACATCTGTATGTCTCCCCTCCTACAGTGATTTGTGGTGGGGGAGGGGGTTGTGGGGGTTGTTCTCCGGGACTTTGGTTTTCCTAGGAGTGGATTGCTGTGGGATACAGGGTTCATGTCATAGCTGGGGCAGACTACTGGATGTAGAGGCAGAGCTGCATCTGAGGCAACCTGGCCCTACAGCTGGACAGTGCTAACACAGGCATTGAGAATAAGAAAAGGCTGCAGCAGGTGTGGCCATCACAGTTGAGGCTGTAGCTGGATAGAGCAAGCATGAGTTTTAGGGATAAGGCAAGGCTGCAGCCTCTGCACTGCTGCCAGAGATTCCGACCAGGCAGGAGGGAATTTGCATTGCTCTTGCAGTGCCTGTGTTGGTGTAGATTAGAAATTGATCTCTGTGAGCAGAAGCATAATGTGATTTATAAACACAAGCACAACTGTTGGTATCACCACCATTGCTGCAGTAGGCTGTGTTTGAGAGTGCCGCATCCCCAGGTGTTTTCCCTTTATGATGGAGCCTGACTTGCCCTCAAGGCAGGACTCCTCAGTGGGCAGTAAACAGATCTCCTTCTTGTGGTGTCTTATATATGCTCTACTGCTGCCAGGAGTGAAACAGTCCCAGCTGGCTGCACTCATCAACAGAAATCCATTTCCCTACCAAAGGCAGCAAATGCCACCACCTCCCACCTTCAGTCCTTGACCCTGTGCATTTTACACATCTCTTCATTTCTTAGTTGTAGTAGTGAAGAAGGATTAATAAATAGGGAAGCCAGTAGCAAAATAACTTCTGTGAGTGACCCTTCTACGAAGTTAATAAACAGGATTTGTCATAGGGAAGGACGGGGTGCATAGATGATCTGCAGGGGCCCTAGGAGCTGGCATAGACTTGACATGGGGCAAATGAGCAAGTGAGAAGGTGGCCATCCTCCAGTAGGCGTTTGTCCAGTGCAAGGATGAGTTTGTCCCATTTAGTCTATTAAATCGTGATGGTGATGACACAAGAGAGGAACTAACTTGAAGTAGTGGTATGCCATGCTTTGCCTGTATTTCACATAGTGCTTCCCAAGACCAACGACCCAGAGATTATTATCATCTCCTATGAATAAAGTGATGTATGAGGAACATTATATTCTCACAGGTGTAACTGCTAAAACTGAGACTTAGGCTCAGCCAGGACCTGGCCAAGGTCTTTAACCCCATGTCTATCTATCTGACCTTACCTTCCTGGTAGTACCCTCCTAACCATAGCCTCGGGGTCCTCCCTACCCAGCCTTGACCTGGGAATCATACTTAGCTGGTTTTACCCACCTGGCCTCAATCTCCTGGCCCTACCCGTGTGGCCCTGCCCACCTTGTATGAATCACATAGCTTTATTCGGTAGACCGTTACCTTACCCCTTGGCCACATTAACCACCTGGCCGTATCACTCAGTCTTAACTTCCTGGCCTTAACCACCTGGCCACACATACTTGGCCTTAACCACCTGTCCTAACTCAAGTAGCATTACATAACTGGCATTAATCTAGATGTATGAACCTAGATTTATCCACATGATCTTATTAACCTTGTGGCCTCTCTCAGTCTTAAGCTCCTGGCTTCACCCACTTGGCCTTACCCTGTAAGCTTTAGCCTTCTGAACTTAACCTCACGGCCTCTCCCACCAGGTGTAAACCACCTAGCATTATTCAGCTGGCCTGGACTTCCAGGCTTTAAACTCTTAGGCTTAACCTCTTGTACCTACCCACCTGGTTAGACACCCTTGTCCAGGACACCCCCTGGCCATACACCCCTGGAAGTCCCCCTTTAATCATACTTCCCAGGCCACATACCCCTGTCTATATCATGCTGACATTATGCTCCTAGCTGTAACCCCCAGGCCTTCACCCCTGGCTATACCCACCTGGCCTTACACATCTGCCATTAACCTTCTAGCCTTGCCAACCTGGTTTATACATGAGGATTATACTCCTGACTGTGCCCCCCTGACCTTATACGCCTCATCCCAGCCCCCTTGCCTTACCCACAAAACCTCACCACCTGGCCTTCCCACCTGGTCTTAATCTTATGGCCATAATCTCTCTTTGCAACCTCTTAGCCTTACCCGCTTGTCCTTAAATACAAAGTCACGCACCTGGCATTAATATCACAGTCATAACCATCAGTCTGAACATTCTATCCTTAACCTCCAAGGTTATGACTGTGATATTAATGCCAGGTTACCTACTGGTCTTGCCGTACGAGCCTTAACCTGTGTTTGCCCACCAGGTTACCTACTTGGTCTTACCATATGTATTAGTCTATTCTCATGCTGCTAATAAAGACATACCCGAGACTGGGTAATTTATAAAGGAAAGAGGTTTAGTAGACTCACAGTTCCACATGGCTGGGGAAGGCCTCACAATCATGGCAGAAGGTGAAGGAAGAGCAAAGCCACATCTTACATGACAGCAGGCAAGAGCGCATACGCAGGGGAACTCCCCTTTATATAATCAGCAGATCTCATGAGAATTATTCACTATCGCGAGAACAGCATAGGAAAAACCCACCCCCATGATTCAATTACCTTCCACAGTGTCTCTCCCACAGCACGTGGGGATTATTACAATTCAAGGTGAGATCTGGGTGGGGACACTGAGCCAAGCCATATCACCATCCTGGCCTTAACCTCCTGGACTTAGCAACTTGATGTTAACCACCTAACTGTATTCAACTAGGAATACCTACCTGGCCTTACACACTGATCCTTACCCTGCTGATCTTAGCAAACTGGCATTTAACTGCTGGACCTATCCTCCTGCCTTACTTAATGGTTTTATTAACCACCAGGCCTCAAACACCCAATCTTAACTTCCTGCTCTTACCCACCTGGCCTCAGGCAATTGGCCTTACCTGCCTGGCTTTAACTTCTGCTGTTACCAATCTGGTGTTAACAACCTAGCCTGATTCATCTAACTTTGACCTCCTAGCTTTAACATCTTGACCTCACCCATCTGACCTTACTTACCTGGTCTTACATATCTACAATTAACTTCTTTACCTTACTAAACTAGCTTTAATACTATCTACAATTAATGTCTTTACCTTACTACCTGGCTTTAATGCCATGCTCTTACCTATCTGGTGTTAATCACCTAGCTTCATTCACCTGGCCTCAACCTCCTGGCCATAACCTCCCAGTGTTAACCTCTTGTACTTACCTACCTGCTTTACTCCCCTGACCCATCTGATGTTAACCATTAAGTTTTCAGTAGACTTAGACCACCTAGCATTCACCCACTGCTCATAAACTCTTGGGCTTAGTTGTACCTGTCTTACCCACATGGGCATACACACTTGGCCTTAAAGTTGTAGCCTTAAACTCCTCACTTTAAATCCTTGCCTTGACATTCTGAACTTCATTACCTGGTTTACCAAACTGTACTTCCCACTTGGCCTTATTTTCCAGGTTATCCACCTGGGCTTCAGTTTCTGAACTTATTCACCTGAACTCACCCCTGACCTTACCCACATGGACTTAATCATACTGCCTTAACTTGGTATCCTTAAACTCATGGTCTTACCAACCTGGCCTTACCCACATGATATTAATCTTCTGGCATCGCCCACCTAGCCATATCCTTCTAGATTTAGTCTCCTGGCTTTACCAAACTGGTGTTGACCACTTAGCTGTATTCATCTGGCCTTGACCACATAGTCCTAAACTCCTGGCCTTAATCTCTTGTACTCAGCACCTGACCTTACCCCCTTGGCCATACCTCCCTAACCCTCCCCACCTTGTCATAACCCCTTGATCATACTCATCTTGCCCTAACACCTCTGGTTGTACCACCCTCGCCTTATTCCCCTGGCTTTTCCTGCAAGCCATTAAAAACCTGGCCTTAAACTTATGACCATAATTAATGGTGTTATCAGCCTGGCCTTAACTTCCCAATATTAGCCACTATCCTTAGCCATTGGGTTGCCTACATAGTCATACCCACCTAGCATTTTGGCCTAAACCACCTGATGTAAACCACCTCTTTATTCAGCTGGCCTTTATCTCCTTGTCCTAACACCCTGGACTTCACCTCCTGGCCTCACCCACATGGCCCTACCCATGTGCAATTAACCTCCTGAGCTTTACCAACCTGACCTATGTGAGATTATGTCCACGTTGGCAGGACATAAAAATGGCCTTACCTAATGGCCTTAATCATGTGCCCTCATCCACCTGGTATTGACCACTTAGCTTCATTCAGCTGTCTGAGCCTTCGAGCCTCAACTTCCCACCTGACTTACCTCTGACACTGTGCCTCCTAACTGTACACTCCTGACCATATTCCGTGGGTCCCAGCTCCTGGCCTCACCTCTGAGATTTTATCCCCTGTCCTATGTAATCTCATGTCCCTGACTTCTAAATATCACATCCTGGACTTAACGTCTAGACTTTCCCCACCTATCCTGCTGGACAAGTTTACCCACTCATCATGCTAGACCCATATTGACTTCAAAAGGAATGGCATCATGTTTCAAAGGCCAAAGAAAAGACCTGGAGCCAGTGAATGAGACATAGGGTTTATTGAAAGGACTTACATGCAGGACAATCTAATGGCAGTGGGCTGAACAGGAGAACCATTACCATTTGTAAAAAGCACATGATTTATATAGCATTTTCTGGCAACTTTCATTTAACCCAGAACAAAGGGTCTCAGTCCTCTGTAAGGCCTGCATTCCATGGAATAGGCCAGGGATTTCGATATCCCTCATAGATAAGGAATGAATCTGCAGGTTGGCCACTCCCAGATTCCTTAGCCCGAAACTCTGGACACATATTCTTCTTAGACCACAGGGTCATTCCCAGGGTGTGCTTAAGCTAACTTATTGCTGTTAGGTGCTGCCCTTACCCACTTTTTTTAGCCTTCTGGCCTTACCTCCCTTTGCAATTCCCCTTGACCTTATCCATCTGCCCCTCACCTCCTATCTGTAATCTCCTGGCCTTATTAACTTCCTGGCCTTATTCAGGAACCTGGTCCTATCTGTGAGGCTTTACATACCTGGCTTATTCACTTGGTCTTACCTACCTAATGTTAACCACTTGCCTTTACCAACTGGGCCTCCTGGCATTATTCAATCACCTTACCTACCTAGCTCTAACTTCCTGGCCTTTCCCTCCTGGCTTTCCTCACTGAACCTAGCTTCTTGTAGTTAACTTATTTGCCTTCTCCTTTTGTCCTTATTCTGATGGCATTATCCTCCACCCAGCATTGCCCTTATGGCCACACCCACCTGGCTTTACATATGTGCCTTACCCACCTAGCCTTATCTACCTGCCCTTGTTCACCTGCTTTTGAACACATGGCCTAACGTCTTGGCCTTACCCAACTGACCTTACTCACTTGGTCCTACTCACTTTTCCTTAACTATCTCACCTTACCCCTCTGGCCTTCTCATCTTCCTTGGCCTTACCCATCAGGCCTAACCTCCCTGGCCTTACCCTCCTGGCCTTACACAACTGGCTTGGATCTTGCATCCTCTTCTGGTAATGAATAACTCTTGGATCTCATCATATCTAGAACACACTAATGGGTCCCAGAACAGAATTTTACTTCTTGGCCTCTGGGCCATGGCTGGTGACTGGTCACATAGGTTCCCACCATGGTTATCTTTGCACCAAAGCATACTTTTCTTTTTATTTTATTTTATTTTTTTTTTTGAGATGGAGTCTTGCTCCATCGCCCAGGCTGGAGTGCAGTGGTGCAATCTCAGTTCACTTCAAGCTCCGCCTGCCAGGTTCATGCCATTCTCCTGCCTCACCCTCCAGAGTAGCTGGGACTACAGGGGCCCGCCACCACACCCAGCTAATTTTTTTGTATTTTTAGTAGACACGGGGTTTCACCATGATAGCCAGGATGGTCTCAACTCCTGACCTCGTGATCTGCCCACCTCGGCCTCCCAAAGTGCTGGGATTACAGGCATGAGCCGCTGCACCTGGCCCAAAGCATACTTTTATCAGCTCTCCATGCTAGTTCTACGTCAGGTGTGGTGACATTAAGAGTGCCTTCCAAGTGTGGCCCAAGTGTGAAATGACAGGCTCCTGGGCATTGCAGAGCCTGTGTTCCTATAACCCTGCTGAGGCCAGTGTGATAGAGACTTCCCAGGAAGCACCTAGACCTGATCTCTCAAAGCCCAAACCTGAAAACTGCAGGGCCCTCATGCAAGCACCTTGCTTTCCTCCATGGCCTGGCATGCTGGCTGGCCTTTGCTTTGTGTAACAGGTGGCCTAAATGGTCATTATGAAGGCACCTTCACACCCTTCTTGTCAGACTGGAAAAAGGCCTGCAGCACAGCAAGGCTTGGCAAAGGTTGTCCGCAATGGTTTGAACATGTTAGATCTCTCACTGGTGGTCTTTCTAAGCCAACCTGGATATGATTCTCTGATGGTTCAGGAGCTCATGGGAAGCTCTCACTTTCTTCATCTTCTGTAGAAAAGTGAAGTTTGGAAGACCATGAAATTTCCCCAGTGGCCTCGTTGGGCTTTGAGTTTTGACCACATGACTTGTAACCATGTCCCTCACTCTTCCTGACCTCTGACTTCCATTTGGGGTCACATCATGAGGTCAGAATTTGTTACCCCAGTTTCTTCTATGTAAGAGTGTACTTGAATGTATTTGGTTTGTTTACTTTTATACTCAAATTAATATACTCCATACCTGCCTCACAGTCCCACTGCCCAAGGTAAATTGTCTTACACAGTTGACTTTGGGTGTTTGAGTGTGTTGCACATATGCACACTCTTGAACTTCAAGCTGTCATGTGTGTGCCCTAAACACGCACTTCCAGACAGCCTCTGGGACTTCCTTTTGGAATGGGACAGTCAGTCCCCTGCTCCTGGAAACTGACATTTTACTGAGAATAGGAAGAGAACAAAAGGTTTTCACTGGCTTTCATGTGGTAGCAGGGTGAGACTGACAATTCTGATAAGATTTCTTCTTAATGTTTGCCTAATACTCTCTGTGTTAAATATATGCTACATTTTATTCAACATTCTATTGTAAGAATTTTTTCTTTTATTAATATCTTGATTTTAAATGATCACACTGACTCTATAATAATATAGTCACACCATTTCCAAGTAACCTATACCATTTGCACACTAGGAGTAACCACAGCTTCAATCCTTCTCCTAAGACTGGGTATCCTCCTGGTTGTTGCCAGAGTTGTTTCATAACAGTGATTTGTCTTTTTGTGATGTTATTTTACAGAATCTTTGATAATGATAGTTTTTAACAACTGTAGCTTTGTAGGTCTTTTATATATTGCATTTAATATTGTTGTTGTTACTTTCTGCAGGTCTCCTAATTGAAGCTAATGGACAACTAAAGGTCTTTGTAGTCCAGACTCAGTCCTGGAAAAGGTAAGGGAGCTCGTCTGGAAATAAAAGTCTGTTGATAAATGTACTAAGTCTGATGTATTTGTGAATTTATTCACATTGAAGCCTCTTATTAACTATGGAAACTCCCACCCTAGGAGCTTATTATTATTATTATTATTATATTATTATAATACTTTGTTTTGGGATACATGTGCAGAACGTGCAGGTTTGTTACATAGGTATACATGTGCCATGGTGGTTTGCTGCACCCATCAACATCAACACATTATCTATATTAGGTATTTCTCCTAAATCTATCCCTCCCCTAGCCCCACACCCCTAGACAGGCCCTGGTGTGTTATGTTCCCCTCCCTGTGTCCATGTGTTCTCTTTGTTCAACTCCCACTTATGAGTGAGAACATGTGGTATTTGGTTTTCTGTTCCTGTGTTAGTTTGCTGAGAATGATGGTTTCCAGCTTCATCCATGTCCCTGCAAAGGACATGAACTCATCTTTGTTATGGCTGCATAGTATTCCATGGTGTATATGTGCCACATTTTCTTTATCCAGTCTATCACTGAGGGGCATTTGGGTTGGTTCCAAGTCTTTGCTATTGTGAATAGTGCTGCAATAAACATATGTGCTCATGTGTCTTAATAGAATGATGTATATCCATTTGGGTATATACTCAGTAATGGGATTGCTGAGTTAAATGGTACTTCTGGTTCTAGATCCTTGAGGAATTACTACACTGTCTTCCACAATAGTTGAACTAATTTACATTACCACCAACAGTGTAAAAGTGTTCCTATATCTTCACATCCTATCCAGCATCTGTTTTTTCCTGACTTTTTCATGATCACCATTCTAACTGGCGTGAGATGGTATCTCATTGTGGTTTTGATTTGCATTTCTCTAATGACCAGTGATGATGAGCTTTTTTTCATATGATTGTTGGCCGCATAAATATCTTCTTTTGTGAAGTGTCTGTTCATATCTTTTGCCCACTTTTTGCTGGGATTTTTTTTTTTATTCTTGTAAATTTGTATAAGTTCCTTGTAGATTCTGGATATTAGCCCTTCGTCAGATGGATACATTGCAAAAATTTTCTCCCATTCTATTGGTTGCCTGTTCATGCTGATAATAGTTTCTTTTGCTGTGCAGAAGCTCTTTAGTTTAATTAGATTTCATTTGTCAATTTTGACTTTTGTTGCCATTGCTTTTGGTGTTTTAGTCATGAAGTCTTTGCCCATGCCTATGTCCTGAATGGTGTTGCCTAGGTTTTCTTCTAGGGTTTTTATGGTTTTAGGTCTAACATTTAAGTCTTTAATCCATCTTGAGCTAATTTTTCTATAAGGTGTAAGGAGAGGGTCCAGCTTCTGTTTTCTGCATATGGCTAGCCAGTTTTCCCAACACCATTTATTAAATAGGGAATCCTTTCTCCATTGCTTGTTTTTGTCAGGTTTGTCAAAGATCAGGTGGTTATACATGTGTGGCATTATTTCTGAGGGCTCTGTTCTGTTCCATTGGTCTATATATCTGTTTTGGTACCAGTACCATGCTGTTTTGGCTACTGCAGGCTTGTACTACAGTTTGAAGTCAGGTAGTGTGATGCCTCCAGCTTCGTTCCTTTTGCTTAGGATTGCCTTGGCTATATGGGCTCTTTTTTGGTTCCATATGAAATTTAAAGTTGTTTTTTTCTAATTCTATGAAGAAAGTCAATGATAGCTTGATGGAGATAGCATCGAATCTATAAATTACTTGTGCAGTATGGCTATTTTCATGATATTGATTCTTCCTATCCATAAGCATGGAATTTTTTTCTGTTTGTGTCCTCTCTTATTGCCTTGAGCAGTTGTTTGTAGTTCTCCTTGAAGAGGTCCTTCTCATCCCTTGTAAGTTGTATTCCTAGGTATTTCATTCTCTTTGTAGCAATTGTGAGTGGGAGTTCACTCATGATTTTGCTCTCTGTTTGTCTCTTATTGGTGTATAGGAATGCTTGTGATTTTTGCACATTGATTTTGTATCCTGAGACTTTGCTGAAGTCACTTATCAGCTTAAGGAGATTTTGGGCAGAGACGATGGGGTTTTCTAAATATACAATCATGTCATCTGCAAACAGAGATAATTTGACTTCCTATTTGAATACATTTTATTTCTTTCTCTTGCCTGATTGCCCTGGCCAGAACTGCCAACACTATGTTGAATAGGAGTGGTGAGAGAGGGCATCCTTGTCTTGTGCTGGTTTTCAAAGGGAATGCTTCCAGCTTTTGCCCATTCAGTATGATATTGGCTGTGGGTTTGTCATAAATAGCTCTTATTATCTTGAGATATGTTCCATCAATACCTAGTTTACTGAGAGTTTTTAGCATGAAGGGATGTTGAATTTTATCAAAGACCTTTACTGCATCTATTGAGATAATCATATAGTTTTTGTCACTGGTTCTGTTTATGTGATGGATTACGTTTATTGATTTGCCTATGTTGAACCAGCCTTGCATCCCAGGGATGAAGCTGACTTGATCACAGTGGATAAGCTTTTTGATGTGCTGTTGGATTTGGTTTGCCAGTATTTTATTAAGGATTTTCGCATCAATGTTCATCAGGGATATTGGCCTGAAATATTCTTTTTTTGTTGTGTCTCTGCCAGGTTTTGGTAACAGGATGATGCTGGCCCCATAAACGAGTTAGTGAGGAGTCCCTCTTTTCCTATTATTTGGAATAGCTTCAGAAGGAATGGTACCAGCTCCTCTTTGTACGTAGAATTCAGCTGTGAATCCACCTGGTCCTGGGCTTTTTTTGATTGGTAGGCTATTAATTACTTACTCCATTTCAGAACTTATTATTGGTCTATTCAGGGATTCAACTTCTTCCTGGGTTAGTCTTGGGACGGTGTATGTGTCCAGGAATTTATTCATTTCTTCTAGATTTTCTAGTTTATTTGCATAGAGGTGTTTATTATATTCTCTGATGGTAGTTTGTATTTCTGTGAGATCAGAGGTGATATCCCCTTTATCATTTTTTATTGTGTCAATTTGATTCTTCTCTCTTTTCTTCTTTGTTAGTGTGGCTAGTGGTCTATCTATTTTGATAATCTTTTCAAAAAACTAGTTCCTGGATTCATTGATTTTTCTGAAGGGGTTTTCATGTCTCTATCTCCTTCAGTTCTGTTCTGATCTTAGTTATTTCTTGTTTTCTGCTAGCTTTTGACTTTGTTCTTGCTTCTCTAGTCCTTTTAATTGTTATGTTAGGGTGTTGATTTTAGATCTTTCCCGCTTTCTCTTGTGGGCATTTAGTGCTATAAATTTTCCTCTAAATACCATTTTAGCTATGTCCCAGAAATTCTGGTACATTGTGTCTTTGTTCTCATTGGTTTCAAAGAACTTATTTATTTCTGTCTTAATTTTGTTATTTATCCAGCAGTCATTCAGGAGCAGATTGTACAGTTTCCATGTAGTTGTGCATTTTTGAGTGAGTGTCTTAATCTTGAGTTCTAATTTGATTGCACTGTGATATGATGGACTGTTTGTTATGCTTTCCATTCTTTTTCATTTGCTGAAGAGTGTTTCACTTTCAATTATGTGGTCAACTTTAAAATAAGTGTAATGTGGTGCTGAGAAGAATGTATATTCTGTTGATTTGGTGTGGAGAGTTCTGTAGATGTCTACTAGGTGCACTTGGTCCACAGCTGAGTTCAAGTCCTGAATATTCTTGTTAATTTTCTGTCTCGTTGATCTTTCTAATATTGACAGTGGGGTGTTAAAGTCTCCTACTATTATTGTGTGGGAGTCTAAGTCTCTTTGAAGGTCTCTAAGAACTTGCTTTATGAATCTGGGTGCTCCTGTATTGGGTGCATATATATTTAGGATAGTTAACTCTTCTTGTTGCATTGATTATTTTACCATTATGTAATGCCCTTCTTTGTCTTTTTGGATCTTTGCTGGTTTAAAGTCTGTTTTATCAGAGACTAGGATTGCAACCCCTTCTTTTTTTGTGTGTTCTATTTACTTGGTAAATATTCCTCCATCCCTTTATTTTGAGCCTATGTGTGTCTCTGCACATGAGATGGGTCTCTTGAATACAGGACACCGATGGTCTTGACACTTTATCCAATTTACCAGTCTGTGTCTTTTAATTGGGGCATTTAGCCCATTTGCCTTTAAGTCTAATATTGTTATGTGTGAATTTGATCCTGTCATCATGACGCTAGCTGGCTATTTTGGCCATTAGTTGATGCAGTTTCTTCATAGCGTCAATGGTCTTTACAGTTTGGTATGTTTTTGCATGGCTGCTACCAGTTTTTCCTTTCCATATTTAGTGCTTCCTTCAGGAGCTCTTGTAAGGTAGGCCTGGTAGTGACAAAATCTCTCAGCATTTGTTTGTTTGTAAAGGATGTTATTTCTCCTTCGCTTATGAAGCTTACTTTGGCTGGATATGAAATTCTAGGTTGAAAATTCTTTTCTTTAAGAATGTTGAATATTGGCCTCCACTCTCTTCTGGCTTGTAGGGTTTCTGCAGATAGATCTGCTGTTAGTCTGATGAACTTCCCTTTGTTAGTAACCTGACCTTTCTCTCTGGCTGCCCTTAACATTTTTTCCTTCATTTCAACCTTGATGAATCTGACGAATATGTGTCTTGGCGGTTGCTGTTCTTGAGAAGTATCTTTGTGGTGTTCTCTGTATTTCCTAAATTTGAATGTTGGCCTGTCTTGCTATGTTGGGGAAGTTATCCTGGATGATATCCTGAAGAGTGTTTTCCAACTTGGTTCCATTCTCCCCATCACTTTCAGGTACACCAATCAAACCTAGCTTTGGTCTTTTCACACAGTCCCATATTTCTTGAAGGCTTTGTTTGTTCCTTTTCATTCTTTTGTTCTCTAATCTTGTTCACACTCTTTATTTCATTAAGTTGATCTGCAATTTCAGATATCCTTTCTTCCCCTTGATCGATTTGGCTATTGATACTTGTGTATGCTTCATGAAGTTCTCGTGCTGTGTTTTTCAGCTCCATCAGGTCATTTATATTCTTCTCCAAACTGGTTAATTTAGTTAGCAATTCCTCTAAACTTTTTTCGAGTTTTTTAGCTTCCTTCCATTGGGTTAGAACATGCTCCTTTACCTCGAAGGAGTTTGTTATTACCCACCTTCCGAAGCCTACTTCTATCAGTTCATCAAACTCATTCTTTGTCCAGTTTTGTTCCCTTGCTGCTGAGGAGTTGTGGGGAAGAGGCATTCTTGTTTTCGGAATTTTCAGCCTTTTTGTGCTGGTTTTGTCCTCATCTTCGTGGATTTATCTACATTTCTTCTTTGATGTTGGTGACCTTCGGATGGGTTTTTTGTGTGGATGTCGTTTTTGCTGATGTTGATGCTATTCCTTTCTGTTTGCTAGTTTTCCTTCTAACAGTAAGGCCCCTCTGCTGCAGGTCTGCTGGAGTTTGCTGGAGGTCTCCTCCAGACCCTGTTTTCCTGGGTATCACCAGCACTGGCTGCAGAACAGCAAGGATTGCTGCCTGTTCCTTCCTCTGGAAGCTTCATCCCAGAGGGGCAGCCGCCATGTGCCAGCTGGAGCCCTCCTGTATGAGGTGTCTGTCGACCCCTGCTGGGAGATATTTCCCAGTCAGGCAGCACAGGGGTCAGGGACCCAGTTGAGGAGGCAGTCTGTTTCTTAGCAGAGCTCGAGTGTTGTTCTGGGTGATCTGCTGCTCTCTTCAGAGCCAGCAGGCAGGAATGTTTAAGTCTGCTGAAGCTGTGCCCACAGCTGCCCCTTCCCCCGGGTTCTCTGTTCCAGGGAGATGGGGGTTTTATCTATTAGCCCCTGACTGGGGCTGCTGCCTTTCTTTCAGACATGGCCTGCCCATAGAGGAGGAATCTAGAGAGGCAGACTGGCTACAGCGGCTTTGCCAAACTGTGTTGGGCTCCCCAAGTTCGAACTTCCCAGCGGCTGTGTTTACACTGTGAGAGGGAAACTGCCTACTCAAGCCTCAGTAATGGTGGACAACTGCCCCCTCCCCACCACCAAGCTCTAGCATTCAGGTCGACTTCAGCCTGCTCTGCTGGCAGCGAGAATTTCCAGCCAGTGGATCTGAGTTTGCTGGACTCCAGGAGGGTGGGATCCACTGAGCTAGACCACTTGGCTCCCTGGCTTAAGCCCCCTTTCCAGGGGAGTAAATGGTTCTGTCTTGCTGGTGTTCCAGGAGCCACTGGGATATGAAAAAAAAAAAAAACAAAAACAAAAAAACAAACTGCAGCTAATTTGGCATCTGCCCAAACGGCCACCCAGTTTTAGTCTTGAAACCCAGGGCCCTGGTGGTGTAGGCACCTGAGGGAATCTCCTGGTCTGCGGGTTGTGAAGACAATGGGAAAAGCATAGTATCTGGGCCGGAATGCACCATTACTCACTGCACAGTCCTTCATGGCTTCCCTTTGCTAGAGGAGGGAGCTCCCTGACCCCTTCTGCTTCCTGGCTGAGGCAATGCCCCACCCTGCTTTGTCTTGCTTTCTGTGGGCTGCACCCACTGTCTAACCAGTCCCAATGAGATGAGCTGGGTACCTCAGTTGGAAATGCAGAATTCACCCACCTTCTGCATTGATCTCACTGAGAGCTGCAGACTGCAGCTGTTCCTATTTGGCCATCTTGCTAGCTCTCCCTCCCTAGGAGCTTTCTTACCCTAGGAATCCTCATCAGTGGAATTGGGACCTCATAACATTTAGAATACATTTGCACATACATACCTTGTTTTGTTTTATTTCGTTTATTTTCATTTCTGGTTTATATACACTATTTGCAAAAGTTCTGAAAATGTAGAAAATGTAAAGAAAATAAAGATGACCTGTATTCCTTCCACCAAAAGACAATAAACACATCACCAACTGTGTGGGCTCTTCCATATGTTTCCTCTGTGGCCAGCCATGCTAATTTTGCTCATAACAAAAGAAGGAGCTATAATGGTACACTGTGGTAGACTATGATGCACACCTCACATGAAGGGGGCATCTTCCCATATCAGTAGGGTTTTTGTATATATTTTTCTTATGAGAAATTGCTGTTTTTCTTTTCTTAAGGAATCCAGGGGAGGAAGTAAGATAGAGAGGTTAAAGCATCATCTCTTGAATTATCCTACAGTTTTCAGTTTCCACTTTGGTCCTCAAAGTGACACTGTGATGAGCATCTGTGAACATGCATATTTTTGCTTCCCTGGTTACTTCCTCAGATAAATTCCTAGACATAATTGCTGGATCAAAAGGACACACATCTTTGAAGCACTGATGTGTAGTGTCTGGCCCATTGTAAGGCTGCATTGTTGTGGAGTTGTGATAGTTTGTGCAAGGCAATTTTAGTGCAGTTTGTTAGAATATTGCTAAAAGACAAATTTGTGGAAAAGCCTACTTTCTCCAAGAAGAATTTGCTTGCAGAAGGCCAACTGAGGCCACTGCAAGTTCTCTAAGCAATAACATCCACTTAATTTGTGTCGAGACCAAAAGCCAATCTAAAAACCCAGTGGTCTTGTTACAGTTTTAGGTTCTGTTTAAGCATTATTTACTTCTGATTTTTCTAATTATTCTCGTAAAATTAGCTCTTTTTACTCTTAACAGTGAGGTCCTAGTAAGTGATCTCTTGATCACTTGGGAGAGTTTGAAAGTGGTGACCAGGTCCCCAGCATGGTCTTCTGTCACATTTCTGCCTGTGCTGGTTCATTTGTTTCTAGTGTTTTTGGCCAGAGCTAGTATAGTAGCCTAACCGTGCCACCCATGCCCCTGTAGAGCCAGGTCCAGATGCCTCTGCAAGTCTCTTCCCCAGTGGAGAGCACAAGGGTTGAAAAAGGACTTGACTTCATGACCTGAGCAAGCCTGCACCCTCCCCCAAGCCTCTAGGTGCCCTGTGGGACTCAGCTGCTCCAGGCCTGCCACCTTTAGTGCTTGCATGGACCCTGCCCCCATGGTGGACAGTGCGTGTCACACTGGCCACCGCCTCCCTCTAGACCTCAAGCTCCAGCCTGTAGGAGGCTCTCTCTGTGTGCTCCCTGCAGGAGGGTGGTGGTGTGCTGGCCCCTGCTTTTCTGCTTAGCCTGGTCCTTCCCTGGTTGTTTTCCAAAGATGAGGATTAATATACAAAGCCCTCTTAGGAATAAGTATTTATAAGCTTTTTATCTTGATGATTTGCAGCATTCACAGATTGCATGAGAGAAATATTGTCTCAGTGTAACTAACTGAACATTTAAAATTTTCAGAAATTTCAAGCACTATATTTTTCTATTCAAATGATTAAACAAAAGAAAGAATCTTAAAAATCAAAGCTTTGTTTCCTTAGAAATGATGAAGTCTCTCATTATGTTGTTTATTTTGAATTCCTCTGTTGTCTGGATACACCCAAGTAATCTTTCTTATTACCACATGCTGCTTATCTCATTTTTCATCGTTACTAACAAATCTATGTTTAAAGCACTACCAAGTTTGATTGTGAGCCAAATAATAGAATGAGAGTGATTAGGAAACACAATATTCTGGCATTAATTCGTTTCATAGTTGAAAACATTCCGTATATCAGTTTTGGACCTGGCATGGCACATCCTCCACATTTTCCCTTTTGCTTATTCTGAGTATTTCCCCAGTCTCAGTTGTTGGTCATGGCCATTCTGCTCCCCGGTGAGCTGTGGGTCAGGTCAGTTCTGCTTCTGAGCTTGGTCTACAGCAGACTGCATGGGACTCTGAGGGCTCACCTCTCTGTACTCTCCTCCTTCCTCACCAGACACCAGCACTCCCTGCCCAGGCACTCAGTGTTGCTTCCACTTCAGTTACTTCAAACTTACTTACTTTTGAATGGGCATCGTATTCATGATGTTTTAAAATTTTGCAGTTTAAAAAGGTGCACAGTGGTCTGCGCTCAACCCTGTTCCCTGTTTTCCTCCCCTGCCCAAGCAAATGAGCACCGCTGTTAATTTCTTATATTCATTCCAGAGAAATATTTTTTAACAAAGAGAAATCTTTTTTAAAAAATAGAAATCTTTGTCCATTTGTCGAGTGTGCACTTCTCACTACCACAACAGATGCTGTTCTGGGCAGTGATTTTGGTGTCAGAGGGAGCACCTCAGACCTGAGGATCTCCAATGTGTGGACGCAATCGCATAAGGGAGACACTAGGCACATAGGGCACGACTTCCACCCAGCACTGAGCTGTGGTGCCATGGTCACCATGATACTCAAATCACCAAGATCCACTGGCCGCCCTGAGACTTGAGAAGCAACGTGCTTCCTAAGAAATTAGAGCCTCCCCATGTCTTTTGGCTGTGAGTGTTCTCCACCCTGTGTGCTGTTCTGTTGCCCCTTGTCCTCAGACCCAACACGCATGGACTCACTTGACTCTCCCGTGCTCTCTTCACTAGCTAATTTTTTTTTGCTTTCTAGTTCAGGGGATTTTAGGATAATTTTAGGCAGTGTTCTAGCCCATCTGAGCTGCTCGCTTTGGGTTATTTATTATTATTTCATCCGGTGGAAGAGTCCAGTGGATCCTGCTGGTTGTCAACATTCGAACACCCTTTCATTGAGCCATCACTCATGGGTACTTCCTGAGTAGCACTTGCCAAATGCTTGGGGTGCAGAGCCAGGATAACGGCTGGCCCTCATCAGAGCATGCCCTGAGAATCCAGAGTGGACAGCAATATTTCAAACACAAGAGAGGGATCTCTTGAGTCAGAGATTTTTATATAATACCCAGATCTCTCAGAAAGGAGAAACAAAAGTGCTTGTGATTCAGTGCATTCGGCTTCAAGAAAAAGAAAACCCATATGTATCTGGTCCTAAGGTTGGTTTGAAGATTCAACATTGTCATCAAGAGTCCAGTTTCTTTTCTTTTTTTTTTTTATGGTTCTATCCCCAGCTGTTGGTTTTCATCCTTAGGCACGTCACCTTTTGTTGCTATATTACGGAGTCAGCTCAAAGTATAAAGAGAAAACTTGGTTTCTATTTCTCTTCCTTTATCAGGAAGAAAAAATATCTTGGCCAGATGTTCAATAGCAGACTTTTTCTTATATCCCTTGGCTGAAACTAGTCACCTGAGCACTGGTAACTTCAAAACAGGCTGCAAAAGAAGATATATATATATATACACACACACATTATATATATATATATATATATAATGTGTGTGTGTATATATATATAGTATATATATGTATATATGTGTATATATATGTATATATGTATATATATGTATATATAGATAGATAGATATAAATATATTGATATAAATGAGCAATTAGAATAGGACAGGGAATGGCTGTTGGGTAGCAAATCAGTACTGATGCCACACCTGGGAGAAGACAAATGTAATAATATAGGGGAAATAGCATCAGGCAAGATGACATTAGGATGACGGAAGACTGTGAAGTACTTTAGTAAATAAAAGTAGAAGAAAGCACTTATTTTTAGATTAAATTTCTGTTAGTGGAAAAAAAGGAATGTGTTTGGTAAGAAGGGAAAAAAAAGAATGTGTTTGGTAATAAGGTGTTATTTTAATTATCAGCAGCTCATGCACATATAAATTATATTTTCAATATCTTTTTCATTAACTTGAATTTGCAATACCTTTTCAAATGACTTTTCATTTCAGAGCTAATACAAAGAAATGTAGCAAGAGATGGTTAATATTTATCACAAGTGAAGAAAAGGTAAGTTTGATATTGTTGATAGTATACTACCCCCACATCAAGTACTTCAATCAAGTATTTTATTTTCTGTAATTATATCACATGTCATGATAAGTGTGGCTCCTGAAGTGACTTAGCTCTCTCTTGATAATTTTTCAAACTTTTTCTTTCTGTGCAAATATGTATAATAACAAATTACTTTTGAAAAAACTAGCTGTTCAAGCCAGCTTCCAGTTGTTTAAGCAGAGCAGTAAAGAAATACATGACTAGTGAAATGAACAGATCATCAACCAAGGTTTATACTTAGAACATGTATCAGTCTGAGTTCTCTAGAGAAATAGAAATAATAGCATATTTATCATAAGGAATTATAGATGCTCAGAAGTCTCAGGATCTACCCCATAAAAGAAAAAAAAGTCTTTTCTGTCATTTCTCTAAAGACTCAATTTTTCCAAAGTAACCTGTTGCCTGTCCAAGGGCAGGGTAAATATGATTTGAAATAGCTTAGGACATTTGATCATTCAGAGAAAAGTTTCTAAGCCCGTTAAAATTTATAGAAACTATTTTCACAGAAAAACAGGAAAAGTAGGTATAGAATTATTATTTCCCTAGGCTTTTAAGAATGAAACAGAATATTTACAAAGTTAAGAGCAGTAGATGTTTTCATTTGAACTACCAGTATTGGCCTTCCACCTTTCACTGAGTCATCCAATGCCATGATTGAACTTTCTTCCAAGTGGGTCTCTGAGAAATTCTCTTGTATTTGCCAGACGGCACCACTAATAATGCCTTATTTCCTCTGAAAGTCACCCTCACCTTTGTACTTTTCCATAAATGACAAATCAGTATTTTAGCCAATTCTTGACTGTGACTGTCTTTACCCTGTTCACAAAGCAAATGTTGGCATAATATATATTATAAAATATATTAAAGGTGTGCTCAGTGGGGACTGGATGTGGTCATTAGGAAGCTTCTGCTTGAAATTTTTGTCTCAGAACACATGCTTGAAACTGTGATTTAGATATTTTATAGACCATAACTGCTACTAAGACAATCTTCAACAACAGACGTTAATTTCCATCCCATATGTTTGCTTCCATTTAGATAATGTATATATGTACTAGGTATTATTTGAAAAATAATTTAATCATTAAATATTTGTGAGCAGGTGAGTAGATACTATTAGACAGATATGAACCCTGTCTTTAAAGAAATAATAGTAATAACAACAATATTACTTATAAAAAGAAAAACTGTGAAAACTATCTGTTATGCTGTGCTAAGTGCTTTACACATATTATTTAATTTGTGCAATAACCAGGTTCTTAAGTTATATGTTATATGTAATATCATAGTGTATTATATTCATATTTTGCAAATGAGTAAACTGAAGCTTAAAGAGGTCTATAACCCACCTAAGTTACATAAATAGCAAGGGAAAGATGAAAACTCAGTTTTGATCTTTGATGAAAAACTTATGCTCTAATTCATGATATACTGCTGCCCCCTTGGGGTTTATATCTGGGGTATAATGAGCAGACATAAGTAAATAAGTAATTGATTCTATTTTAGAAGTACGTGCTTTGGTTTTTTACAAGGGCCCAATTTTGGATCATTATGCTACATCTCCAGCTGCCACACCACCATCAGCCAGCACCAAATGGTGCCCTGGAGGTCAGGATGAAACATTTTTCTTTAGGGAAATGAAAAATAAACTCATTATAAGTTACTGTCAAAGCAAAAGCTGCACCAAAGTCAAACAGGTAAGGAAGACTTTATTCAAGTCAATTGCAATAAGAGAGAGAGGCCAGAAATCAATCTGTGCTCAACTCTACTGAAATACAGGGTGGGAGGATTTTTAAGCATTGGGGTGAAAGGGGGTAACATAGGCTACCTGTGTCTGCTAATTGGCCTCACAAAGAAAAAGCAAACCTTCTCTTATCTTCATGACAGCAGATAGTTTTACAACTTACAGCCAAGTGACCACTGAAGTTAAGCACTTACTCTCCCACAGAGACTGAGAGACAGGGTCACTATTTTCCCTAATGATAACATTTCAAAGGAATAGCTCTAGGTCCTTGAGAAAGATACGCCTGGTGGGTAGTAAAACTGATAAGAGATGTTTAAAAATTTACATTTCAAGTAGCAAACAAGAAGAATTTGCAATTATAAGGTATCTGAAATAAATACTCTTTATAAAGGGAGGAGAGGAACTCCTGTGACTGGGCCATCTGGATTCTTTAGGGGGAGGGAGTCAGAGGGAGATCAGGCCTTAAAGGCCAGAGGAAGACTGTCTAAAGTTTAATCAAGCTAAGGGACATGTTAAGACTGTCTTGGTCACTACAAACCCAGTGCATAACGCAAAATATGTACTTATAAATAAAGAGTTATACATTTTTCTCACTTTTTCCTCAAAATTCCCATTCCTCTTTAAAATTTGTTCCACTTATATGAACTTTAATTTGTATTTTTAGTCATTTCTTCTCACTCTTGTAGCCCTAGATATTAATTGGCAATCCACCTCCTATTCTTAAGTTTCCCCAGAATGCTTTGGTCTGAGTTTGCGGCAGCAACAAAACAACTTGCCATCAAAGCCCCAGCTGGAACCCTGAGGCTAGTTAGTTTCTTTCAAGTACTTCCCATCTTCCTCTGTATTCCTTGACTTTCTAGTGCCCTTGATCTAAAACCCACATTGCAAACTCTTCCATCTAATTTATATCTTCTCCTTCTCAGACTTATCATTCTCTATCTAATTCCACTTCTACCTCTTTACTGTAACTACATAGAAACCCATCCTATTTCAAAGAAACTTCTTTGTAATATGCAACATCTTGACTATTCCCCTTTACTTCTTCACCCTAACTGTAACCTTTTTCTCCTCTAATAATACCATTTTGCTCAAAAAAGCCTCAAAAGAAGCTTTAATTCTCTGTATTTTTAAGTGAGGAGGTACGTTCATCTTTCTCTTGTTTACCCACTGCAGTTTCATTCTCATTATACTTGATGCTCATCCAAAAAGTCCTCCATACTTGAGTCCCTAAAAATTGAACTATACTCTGTGCTCTTTATCTTCATCACTGTCGTCAACTCACCTCTACTCCCTTATGCCACAATTAGTGAGGGCTTTGGTATCTGGATTGTAATCTTTCCTTCCACCAATTCCTGTCACTATTCTGAAAGACAGCGTCCATGTGGGCTGCCATCTGACAAACTTCTTTCCCATTCCCCTCGAACAAAACACTTTTGAGGTCTATATTCCAGGCCTTGTCATCTTCCAAAATTCATTTTCTTATCCAAAATTTGAAAATATAATTCTCACAGCACAATCCCCTCTCTTTACATGTCTACTACTATCTCATCCCACTAAATCTTGATGAAACATTACACCTTCTTGAATCAACTGACCCTAGGAACCAGCACTGTGTGGACATTAACACAGTACTGTTAATTTCCTGTTATTCACACTTCTTCAAGGCCTGTTTTGTCAATCTCTGTCCTTTGAAGTATTACAGACTTGGGTACAAATCAGAGCTTCTCTGATTGCTAATGTCATTTACTCCTTATGCCATTTACTTGTACTTTCTGACCTTCAGTTTTCTCATCTATAAAAAAGTTTTGAAAATATACATGAAAAACTGCATTTTAAATGCTAAGCTCATATCTGGATCAATGTACTGTGTGCATTATTAACCATTATTATTTCCAAAATGCATTTTCTCTGAAATTGAATGCAAGAAAAAAAATATAATAGTTTTCACTACAAAGCTGTGGTTTCCAACCGCAATTGAGTGTTCCACATTGTTGAACAATACTTTTTCTTTTTCTCATTTGTCTCTCTTTATCATTTTTCTTTGTAGCTACCCAAATTTGTACCAATCTTCTCGAATTTTCTTTTTGCAAACACCTACCCTACTTTTGCACAAATCCTTCATGGAGAAAACTTGATACAAAGTATCTGATTGGTAAAATTTATTCAGACTCTTGAAACTTCTCCTAGGTTCATCTGTGCACTTCCTTGTAAAATCCAGTTTTAGCAAATACCTTGCTAACTATGTTTAGCAAGAATCCCCTACCCCCAATATCTGCTCATCCTTGGTATCCACTGGGGTTACTCATCCTCCACCATCTCATAAGTGATGTTTGATCACCCTAGCCTACCTTCAGCAAGAATCTTTCTAGGTCAATTTAGCCAGAACCCCCTTTACCCCTGATGCTTCCTCTTAGTCATGTTTTATCCACTGACCCCCACCTTGCAACTTGGCAATAAATTCCCACTTGCCCATCCTTTATTAAGAGTTGAGCCCAATCTCCCTCCCTCACTGCAAAATCCCATTTCAGTGGTCCCTGTACTTACCATGATGGTTTATAATAAAGACTTCCTTATCGTGCTTAACAAGTGTCATTAAATAATTATTTCTTTAACAAACTAAAGGTTTCAGAGTGGGGTTATATCAGCTTATTTCCCATTCATCTATAAACTTATCTATTTTTGCACTTATCCAGGCATCCATTCATCCATCTTTCTGTGAGTTCAAGAAATATTTACTAAACATCCTGCTATGTGCCAGATATTGGGAATATAATAAAGAACAAAACAGAGAGTTCCTTTACTCCTCAATCTTACAGTCTAGCATGACAAACAGTCATTGAATAATTTATTGCAGCTTTTCCAAGTATTACAAAGAAGACAACAACTTTCCACAGGAATGTAAAACATTCTTAATTCTGAATAATAATTGTCAGCTGAATCAAGAAGGAGATGAAGGGCATATGAGCCAAGAGAATGACATGTACAAAGTCCTTAGGGATGGAAAGAGCAATCAAAGACTAAAATCCGATATACCTGGATCACAAAGAATAAAGAAGGAAAGAACAACAAATGTTGCTGGGACCGCCAATGATTCACCAAAGTTCTTTTCCTCATCTTCCATAGTTGCTGGAAATATGGCTGCCCAAATGCATTACATTTCCCAGCCTTCCTTGCAATGAAGTGTGCTTTGTAACTAAGTTCTTTCCATTGTAGTGAGAATAGAAATATGTTCCACTTCCTTGCTTCACTCATAAAAAATATCCATGCATGCTTATTTATGCTCTTTCTCTTTCAGGATGATTGTTGGGCCATGCTCAGAATGACCTTGGAAACTAAGTATTAGAGATTGCAGATCTCATCAGCTTGTGTCCCAGTGTGGAGCCAAGCACTTGTTTATCCGAAACATCTACCCTGAACTTTTATAAGATCAAGAAATATATTTCTACTGTTTGAACCCTTACTTTTTGGGAGATTTCTTTGTTATAATGGTTCAGTCTACTGTAATCGTTAAAGTGAGAAAGGGATATTTTATGCAGAGCCTTGGAGGCCATAATAAGAATTTGAAGTAATTGATCGAAATAAAAGAGAGGGAAAAGTCAGTGATATCTTGTATGTTCCCAGCTGGAGTAATTGGATGGAAATAATTGTGCAATTTGCTAAGATGGGAAACACTAGAGGAGCAGGTCTAAAGAGCAATTTCACCAGTTCAGTTTTACACAGACTGAATTTAAGATGCCTGTGAATAATTCAAAAAGAGATGTCCAGTTGGTACACAGCCATTTAGTTGTGGAGCTCAGAAAATAGATTCCAGCTGGAAATAAAACTGAGAGTGGCAGATATTGAAGAAAACTGAAGCCACAGGGATGCATGAGATGAGCTCTTAACATAAAACATTTATTTCGCTGTGTAGTAAATAGAAATTTATCTTTTCATTGTCAATCTTTTTCTACTAATAGATATCTCTGGAGCTAGGTAATTCATAGTTAAAGTACATTTTTGTTCCAATTAATCCCTCAAAGATAGAAACTGTGACAATCCATTTCTATAAGTATACCAATATCTATTGTTAATTTATTAATTAAACATATTATCCTTCTACTTTAATACATAAACAGAAACAGAATTACACTTTACTTCCAACTCTTAACTGAGTTATAGAAATCCAGTGATTGTACCAATCTATTCTCATATATTCAGTTGCTACCACAACCTCACCAGCAAGCTTCTTGCATTTTATCTTTGCAGCTAAGCTTTTAGCATTTCATAGTTTTTATTATATGCATAATATTGATCTGAAATACATCAGGTCATTCTTTTTCACTTAAGCAACTGGTCTTCAGATGTTTGGTGCACACTGTCCCATCTATGGGGAAAGAGAAAGAACCATTCATTTAATGAGTGTCTACTATGTGCCATGCATAAGCACTAGGTGCTTAAAGCATATTTTCTCTTTTTATGTCAGCAAGTCTCACTGGAGTCGAAAAAATTTTAGCTCCAAGTCACCTGGCAAATGCAGTAGTGCAATTTTAGCTCACTGCAGCCTCCAACTCCTGGCATCAAACAATCCTCCCACCTCAGCCTCCCAATGTGCTAGAATTACAGATGTGAACCACTGCCCAGCCTTATTTTATACTTTGAATAGGACACACCAAGGTCAAATTTCTTCAACCAGCCAAAGCTTCTCTGTCACAGACTAAGCACCAAAATAGGACTTAGTCATAATGGATTCCAACCCTACACATACTTTGAAGATTATTGTAAGTAATAACGAACGCCCGAAAACATAAAATGGGGATTGGAAGCCTGTAGGGGAAGGAAAGGGAGGTGGGGAAATACAGAGTTCAAGGTGCTGGTGAAGTTATAAATCAGACTCCTGGACTTCCTGATAGTGTTGGTATGTGGAAATATCAGAATTAAACTCTTTGTATCCAACTTCCTACTTAACCATATGTTTGTCAAGTAGGGGCTTCAAATATTAACATGTCCATATCTAAACTGTATTCCCACCTCCAATCCCCAAACTGCTTTTTCCCCATTTTATAAATGTTATTATTCTGTGTTGTTACTCAAGTAAAAAACTTACAAGTCTACACTTTAAACAAAAATTAACTCAAAATTGGTAATAGATTTAAATGTAAAATGCAAAACTACAAACCTTTGAGAGGAAAACATAGGAGAAAACCCACATGGCCTTAGGCTTGGTGATGAGTTTTTATATACACCAAAAGCATGAAAGAAAAACTTGATGTTAGTCTTTTAAATTTACAAAGTCTGTTCTGCAGAAGACACTTAGGAGAATAATAAAACAAGTAACAGACTGAGAGGAAATATTTTAAAAATACATATCTAATAAAGGACATCTATCCAAAATATACAAATGACTCTCATATCCAAAATATACAAAAAAAAGACAAAATTGAACAATAAGGAAACAACTGAATTTAAAAAGAGGCAAAATATTTTAACAGAGACCTCAAAAAGAAGATATGCATATGATAGATAAGCAGATTTTTAACTGCTCACTATCACTATTCTGTAGGAAATCCAAACTAAAACAATGAGATACAACTACACACCTCATAGAATAGCTATGATTGGAAAAATTTACGATACAGTACTTCCTCCTTATCCACGGTTTCACTTTTCACTGTTTCAGAGATCAGAAAATATTAAATAGAAAATTCTGGAAATAAACTATAAGTTTTAAATTGCATCCCATTCTGAGTAGCATGATAAAATTTCGCACCTGCCTTCCTGTGTCCTTAATCATCCTTTTGTCCACTGTATCCACACTGTATACACAATCTGCCTGTTAGTCACTTAGTTGCCATCTTGATTTTCAGATTGACTCTCACAATATCACAGTGCTTGTGTTCAAGTAACCTTATTTTACTCAAAAATGGCCCCAAGGCACAAAAGTAGTGACACTGGCAATGCAGATATGCCAAAGGGAAGCCATGATGTGCTTTGTTGAAATGAAAATATTAAGTACTTGACTTAATAAGAAAGGAAAAATATTTTGCACTGAGTTTGCTAAGATCTACAGTACAATAAGATATTTTGAGAGACAGCAGTCACATAACTTCAATTATAGTATATTGATATCATTGTTTTATTTTAGTATTATTGTTATAATCTCTTACTGTGCCCAATTTATAAATTAAACTTTGTCATAGGTATGTATGTATAGGAAAAAACATAGAACATAAAAAGGGTTCAATACTATCTGAGGCTACGGGCATCCACTGGGGGCCTTGGAACGTATCCCCCAAGACTTTAATGTGGGACAATGGTACTAATTGCTGGTGTAGATGGAGAGCGACAGAATTCTCATTCATTGTTGATGAAAATGCTTACATATTTTAAAAGAAAACTCAAATTTATTTCTTTTATACAGACTGTTTTTAAGATTCTATTTCACATATTACTATAGCAACTCATTTTGGAAATCAGAATTTATATACTATGTACTCTGAGTCTAAACAATCCTACAAATTAAAATTGAACTCCACAAGCATATATTCCAAAATATCTATTTTTCTAAGTATTCCTTTAAGAAATTATGACATATACTAAGACAACCTTTTGATTTTTCATATTTATGCTCTTACAGTTCATGACAAACAGGCATCACATTTTATTGAGAAATATTCAGTTGTCTTTCTGCCTTCTCACTTATACAAGTGAATTTTATATAGGTGATTTTTTTCCTCTAAAAATTAATTTATTTAAACTTCAGTTTTTCTTATTTATCTTTCAGGTATTCTTGTTTGTTTTATTGTCTAAAAAAACATAAAATTAAACCATTTGTGGAAATTAAAAACATTATCTCTAACTTAACAACTTCCTTTTCCCAAGATATAATCTTGTCCTTGTCCATATGCATTTATATTTCAAATAGTTGAAAACATAAAAGTTTTCAACTCATATATGAGTATAAATGTTCCATTTCTATTCATATTCCTGATTTGTTTTAGCCAGTATCTGGATACAGTCATGTATTGCTTATCAATGAGGACGTATTCTGGAAATGCATTGTTAGGTGATTCTACCATTGGGTGAATATCAAGTGTACTTACACAAACCTAGATAGTATACCCTACTACACACCTAGACTATACGGTATAACTTATTGCTCCTAGGCTAGTCCTGAATACTATTGGCAAAATTGTAGCACAGAGTAGTATCTGTGTAACAAAACATATCTAAACACAGAAAAGATTCAGTAAAAATACAGTACTATAATCTCATAAATCTGCTGTGGTAAACATGGTCTGTTATTGGCTGAAACATCCTTATGTGACATGTAACTGAAATTTTCATTTCAGTAAAACACCACACATCCCAGTACTTCCCTGATTTTGGAAAGGAACATGAAGAGTGCTAGATGCAGCACCCATGGAGATTCACTGAAGAGATGAGAAAATTTGAATGGCTGGGAAAGGAGGGCACTGTCTTGTGAGGAAGTAGGCAGCATTGTTGAAAAAATAAGCCTCTTAAAAATGTTCCTTCATTCATTTATTTCATTTTTATATTTTAATAGTATTCCAAAAGCATTCTTGAAATACTTTTAAATGTATCATTTTTAGTGGAATGAATACTGTTGCAGTTCTAAAAACTTTTATTTTAGAATAATTGCTAATATATCATTTGTGCAGTTAACAAAAAAGCTCTTAGAAGAGAAATGGAAAAAAATATGAGATAATGAATAAAAACTAAAAATTGTGAGTGAAAATTTTTCTTAATATGATTTTTGAATCCTTCTGCCTCTTCACAATTTCAATGTTAAATAGAGTGTACTGACTCTTCCTTAATTTTCAAAAGTACACATGATACAAAAATACTTTTTCTAAGAATTGAGATTTAATGGTTCCTTGAATGGAGCAAACCTATTTCCGCAGATATATCTACAAAAAAAATGTTATCTATATTAGCTCTTAACTTTCTGTTGAAATGTTACTTTATTGAAAATTTTATTGAAAATTCTTAATGAATGCTGGCTTTAATTATCTATGGCATTTAGATTTCTTCTGCCAGTCAATAAACAATTTCATTGAACGTCTATTATATGACTGGTATGATATCAGATGTTGGAATATTAAAAAAAAAGAATGAAACATGATCATTGCTTTCATGAAACCCGTTATCCATTGAGCGGACAGTTATTTTAGCAGGGAAGTTACTTTAAGTGCAGAGATCTGAATATTGGGCCAAAGGAACCTGAAAGACATGAGCTCCCTTCTTATTGCTGCTGGGATAGTAAGAAAATGCTAAACTGCATGGGTGATATGTGAACGGTCTTAAAAGATAAGAACTAGTTTGATACATAAGGAAGAAGGAATTTTTCTCCTTCTCCCTTGTTTTTCATATCCAATCCATCAGGAAATCTCCTTGATTTTTACCTCCTAAATATTTTTTGAATCTTCCACTTCTCACCATCTCCAGTCTGACCACTATCATTCGGGTTACCATTATCTCTCTACTAGACCAATGCAACAGCACACTACTGTTTCTCAGTGCATTAATTCACTCCTCCCTCTCTAAACTGTTCTCTACAATACAGTCAAATCTGATTATGTAATGCATACCCCTGCCTATGCTTACTCCCCTTTGAAGGCATCCACTGATGTTAGGATTAATATCAATATTTTTAACCTAGACACTTGTACTCTGTGTCTATGCCTGTGCTATGCCTACGAGTTCAACTTCAGTGCCCGCCACCTTCCCCACCTTATCTCTGTGTTCCATCCACACAAGTTTTCCCTCTGTTCCCTTTTTCAGGAATGCCCATTCCTCCATTTCTTACCTAGTTAATTTCCATTTATTTCTCCTATTTTAATCCTTTCTGACTACCATCTCCTCCTCCCAGGATTGATCAAAAACTTTTTACAGACTTTCTTATGGTGTCATATTATTTTCTTTCAAAGTACTTATCTCTGATTTAAATTTTGCATTCATTATAGTGATTGTTTAATATCTTCCTCCCCTACCTTCTATATCATAAATTCGGTTCGAGGAAAAATACCTGCATAGTGTCATCCAATAATATTTGTGTTGAATCAACCAATGAATAAATGAGGAAAAGAACATGCTTACTTTGGGGAGAAGGAAGCGTGAACAATTTCAGACTCACGAAAAAGCCTAAGTCTGGGACATAATAGACATTAACGCAAGTGCAGTATAGGGTTCTAGTGGAAAGTCAGTCCGGAATAACAAGAGATAGGACTAAAATAATAGCTTGAAAACATATTCTTAAAAGGCTTAGTGTTCCAGAATCAGTTCTGTTCATACCTTATATAATGGAGATCAACAGAGGTATAAATCACGGAAGCAAACACCTCTGTCTTGGGTTTTGGCATTGTAATTCTGGTGATAGAATAAAGGATGAGCTGGAGTGGGCAGAAATTACCAGGATAGAGATCATTTAGAAGATTATTGCAAAAGATGCTACGGACAACAGAACAGAAGTAAAGGTGGAAAACAAGAATCCTGTATGTATAGATACCTCTAAGGTAAAATAAGCATCACCTGACAGTACATTGATTGTTGGGTGTGAAAGAGGGGAAGGCTTCTAGATAGGGGGGACTAGATATATACCCTTTCCAGCAGCCAACATAGATATCTGTGTGGTGATAGTAACTTCTCATTCTGACATGCCAAGTTGAAGGTTCATGTAGTGTATCTAATGCAGTTATTCAATAGCAATATTTGGACATATGGAGCTGGAGGTGATAGGTATAACTCTTCAGAATGCAAGGTGGTAGTTGAAAAAAAAAAGTGGATTATTTTAGTCAAGGAAACCACCTAGAATTACATGAGCAAATTAAAAGAAATAGAGAAGAATTTGATGAAATAACAGCTTGATAGTTTTTAAAGCCGAATGAGGTCCAGGAGACATCCTGGTCTAGAAAGAAGGAAGTCTACAGGCAGTGCTCTACTATGTCAGAGGCTGATGAGAAAGCAAACATAAATAACACTGAGAATGGACTTTGGATTTGCAATTAAGAAGATATTAGTGCTTTCAGCAAAAGCAATTTCAGAACAGTAAGGATTGATGTGGATTATTACGCATTGAAGGATGAAGTTAAGAAAATAGAGACAGCCATGTAGTTTGCTCTTTCAAAATGTAAGAGGGAGAGAGACTACAGTAATGACTTAAGGGAAGAACAAACCAATAAAATATTTTATTTGTTTGTTATTTTTAAAACATCATCAGCATGCACAAATACGTAATGCCTAAGAGGAAAGGGTGAGTAGTAATATCAGACTAAAGGAAAACAAGTAAAAATTGTGGAATATTCTTAGCGCTTCTGTTTGATGATTTTTATGACTTGACATGGAAAGTGACACCAGAACTCATTAATTTATTTAGTCACATATATATATAATGTATTTTACATATATATACACATATATAAAAGCATCTCCCTCTCCTTAAGAACCTTACAATCTCATTAAAGAAAGAACATGAAGTAATAGGAATAATACAAACTTGATTCATTAATTTAGCAAATAATAGCAATTCCTATCAGCCAGACGTTTTGGAAGATACAAAGACTATAGAAAAGAGCATGCCATATATGTTTCTGACATTTGTGAAGCTTACACTGACCACTAAAAATGAAAGAAACAGTAGATTTTTGGGTTCTAACAAAGGTTCTTTCTTGCATAGATAGTTGAGTTGTTCAATTTGGTGTTCCTAGGGTAAAGAAAAGGCGATCACTGGAGAGTTCTATTTAGCCACCTGAATAAAACTCCATTATATTGTTTTCTACACTCCAGGAGATGGGAGGAAGGATTCAATAAGAAAACCTTAAGATCAAGTAAATTATAACACTGTCTCATCTCTTGATAGCAAAATATCAATTATAGGAAATCAAGCTGCCATCTTAATGTCAGTGATAAAATATCAGAATGAAAAATTAAAACTAAACACTATTTATTATCATTTGACACCTGTACTCTAGGTTAACGAGGCATAAATTTTGATATGCATATACAAATTTTTAATTTGTTCTAATGTGGGTATCCTCACTTGTGATAGCCTGATATTTATATGTTAATTATAAAATATGCTCTCTGTAATCCCAACACTTTGGGAGGCCGAGGCTGGTGGATCACAAGGTCAGGAGGTCGAGACCATCCTGGCTAGCATGGTGAAACCCCGTCTCTACTAAAAATACAAAAACTTACCGAGGTGTGGTGGCGGGTGCCTGTAGTCCCAGCTACTTGGGAGGCTGAGGCAGGAGAATGGCGTGAACATGGGAGGTGGAGCTTGCTGTGAGCTGAGATCAGGCCACTGCACTCCAGCCTGGGTGACAGAGCAAGACTCCCTCTCAAAAAAAAAAAACAAAAAACAAAAATCACACACACAAAAAAACAAAAAATAATGTTCTCACTTGTTCTTCTCCAGCCCTGTCATGGGTAGACTATTTCATCTCCTAAAACACATAAGCCTCTGATCTTAGAGGTGATGTAGATTAGCTCCTTACTCCATATCACCACTTGTAGACCACTGTTTATTTTGCTTTTCTGAAAAATACCAGCTATCAAATATCTGGTTGGTTCTTTTCATCTGAACCATTCTTCCTGTTTTTTGTCTTCATTATGCAAATTTCCAAATCCTTCTACACCCTGACTTTAAAGTTATGAAAGTAAGTCAAAAAACTCTGGCAAACATGCTGCATTTTCTTATTTCATTTATTTTCCCATGATGCCAGATGATTATTCACACCTTCTTTCTGCTCAAACCTCCAACATACCTTCCTTTCTCCTTTCCCTCAAGTACTTACCACCTTTTCTCTTATTTGTAAGCCAAAAATAAAATTCTAAGCCCTCCAACCAACTGAAGGATGCTCCCTTCAGCCAAGGGCATTCCAAAATTAACCTAAAAAACTGGTTCAGGTCATGATGGAAGCAGGGGTAGGATATATGTCATTATATCCTCCTTTCTTTGGAATTCAGACACAGATGACCAGCATAAACATTAAAACAGAGACATTAAGACTGAAGAAAACAGACTTTTTGCAGCAATAAGACAACAAATTCCAGGCTGACTCTAGTATAGCGTTACATGACAGATAGAAAGCTCTGAAAGACGTTGAAGTATTTTACCCTAAAATATAAATGGCTCTGCAAAACTGTCTTTTATGGAGAAAAAATTTTATATTCTGTAGAGAATACCCATTCCTTTCCAGGTCTTTTCCCTGGTCCAGGGGAGAATTAACTAACAGCCTGGCACCTCTTTAGTCCTGATAAGGGCTCTGAAGCCTATTACCTGGAGGCTTCATCTGTATGATAAAACCTTGGTCTCTGCAACCCCTTTTCTTAACCCCAAAATTCCTTTCTACTGATTCCAGCTCTTTAGATGATAACTCTTTCAACAAATTGCCAATAAGAAAATCTTTGAATCCACTTATGATCTGGAAGCCCCTGTTTCCTGTTGTGCCCCATTCCCAGACCAAACTAATGCACATCTTACATATATTAACTGATGTCCTATGCCTCCCTAAAATGTATAAAATCAATCTGTAACCCAACCACCTTGGGCACATGTTTACAGGATCTCCTGGGGCTGTGTCACTGGCCATTGGTCACTCATATTTGGCTCAGAATAAATCTCTTCAAATATTTCACAGAGTTTGACTCTTTTCATCAGCATATTTCATAAATAGAAGAGAAGCAATCCAAAAAGAACTTCCATGAACTTCTATTATCTTTTCTACCTACCCACTCCCATTGTACTCATTTGTATTCTACTCTCTTTCCAGTTGTAAAGGTAACTTATTTGAGATCCTACCTACTGCCAACTTCTCAATTTTGGCACTGGATTTAACCTCTTCTCACCTACTCAAAGAACTTACTTTTGAAATTATACCCTTTCTCTCATTATCAGTTTTTTTCCCTCACTCTCTACTGGATTTTACTATTTTGATACAATCATGCTATAATATTTTCTGTTAAAAATAAGACCTCCCTAGATTCCATATATTGTTCTAACTACCACTCTATTTTTTATTCCTCTTATAGCACTCCTTTAAAAAGTTGTTCAAATTTGCAAACTTCACCTTTTTACTCCCCATATCTATTTGAACCTATCCCAATTAGACTTTCCCCACTGAACACCTTCACATTGCCAAACGTAATAATTAATCCCTTCTTACTCAACCCTTAGCAGTATTTGGCATGGTTAATCACTCCACTCTATTATTTGAAAAAGTCTTCACTTGACTTCTGAGATACCCAGGCCCACTGATTTTCTTCATACCTTACCCATCACTCTTTATTAGCCCCCTTTGCTGCATCCTCTCCTTCTGTCCACACTGTAAATGTTGATCCCCGATGGCTCAGTTTTTGGACTTCTTTCTACCCATGCTTATTCCTTCACATACTATTTGTACATTAATGAATCCCTAATTTTTACCATCAGCCCACATTTCCCACCCCACATTCCTTACATTTTATCTAGTTCTACATCTTTACCTGGATTTGTAATGTGTCTCATCCTTACAGACCTATGACAAACTTCTTCATTCCATTCACCTGAGGCTTGTGGTCGTGAAGTTACAGTGAGATTGGTAAAAATAATGTTTCCATTTTTCTACAAGTTTAGGTTAACACAGTTCGTGCTTCGAGTAGGGAAAGATTTGAATTTAACTAGAATGTGTTTTTCTAAACAGTTAATAGGAATCAAAAGAGGCCAAGGCAGTTTAAGCTGTATGTGTCTTGTGATCCTGACCCAGAAGCTTTTGATCAGTTGACCTTTGGCTGCTTCTCTCACCTCATTTTCTACCACTGTCTCCCTGTCCACACCTCTCCTGCCATTCTGGTTCCCTTGCACATTTCAGTCTCTGAGACCTTGGACCTGCTGTGCCTTCTTCTCTGAATACTTTTATCCCAAATAGTCACATGACTTCTTCTCTATTTTACACCTCTACTCAAAAGGTGCATCTCAGAAAGAACTTCCCTCATTAATTGATCTGAAATAGCATCTTCCATCACTCACTGTCCTCTCATTCTATTTTATTTTCTGTTGCAGCATTTATAGCTATCTATTACAGTCTACACTTATTTATTTCCTGCCACACCTTCAAGGATATATGGACATGAGGACAGAGATTTAGTTTCTCTTATTTATCTAGAATTTAGACAGCACATGCTACATAGCTGACACTCAGTAAGTATTTGTTGAATAAATAAATGTTTACTTAAAATATCCAGTATGTGGGGACAACTCAGATGTTATTGATTTGATCATAGTATTAATATTCCCACAGAAATATCTATGCCACTTTCTGCCTAATAACAACAGAAACTTCACATAGTGTGCTTAAAGAAGCATCTGGAAAATAAGGTTCATTCTGATTACCATCCTTAATCATGAAGAGAAATAACATTTGAAAACTGGAGCGTTATCAAGGTATATTTTTAGTTTTATATGCCCTAATATTTTGACTAACTACAAAGAAAAAAAGGGGAGTTAAAATTATCAGTTTTTTCTTCTGATCATTCTAGTTTGCTTCTGCACGTCTGTTATAAACATTGCAAAGAACTTTAAAAGGTGGAGGTGGAGGTTAAACTCAATAATCTCTACAATGCTTTTCATGATCCAAATTGAAGCACATCGTACTACCAAGCCTATTGGGTTATGTCTATTGTTCTCAAATCGCTGCCTTGCATGCTCCTCCTTATCTCTAATGGAGCTGTGTAATGCTAAAGAATTACATGCTTTCAGATAGATATAGAGCAATAAAATCTCCTATGAAAGTCAAAGTTATATTTTTTCTGAGATATATACCTAGAAGAAGAAAATATATCTAGAATTGATAATTTAATTATGGTCTTGAGTTTAAGAATATTGTATTATAGAATGTTCACTCTCAACTCCTTCAAGTCTGAATCATCAGACCATTAAATTGCCTTGTTTTTCATCACCATATTGCTCAAAAATATCAAGTTTATAATACATTGACTAAGGTTACAACACATATTTTGAAATATATACAGATTCCATTATGAGAAATCAGATTAAAATAATAAAATCTAGTACTGGGGGCAATTTCACTGTATGAAATGCATTTTCTAAAATGTTAGACAAAGGAAGGAAGAGTCCAATTCAAAATCCTATCAAAATTAGGAATGAAAATGCTTATTGTTCTCCTCAATGGGTATGCTACTGATTTTTAATCACAGATTTTAGAAATAGAACTGATCAGTACCTGTTTAATGTTTTCCTCTGTGTTAATTCCTGGTCATCTCCTGCAAGTGCTTTTGGCCCCCCTTCCCTGGATAAATTAAGATTTTAAAACTGTGGGTTTTGTCCACAGTTTTTAGACATTGTCTAAAAATGGAAAAGACTGAAAATTGTAATAATATTAATACAGCTGCAAGGTGTTTGCTTAATGAAATATTTAGGGTAGAAAGGTGACAGTAGGATTTAGAACTGCACCCAGAGCAAATACTTAGGGTGGAAAGGTGACAATGGTACTTACAACTGCACCCAGAGCCCCCTTATCAGCCATGTATATAACATAAAAGCAATCACAGTAGACTCCACTGCCAAGGTAGAAGCAATAATATCTGAAGAGTTAATGGACAAAAGGAACCAGAATTCCATCTGTGAGTTAAAACTTAATAGTGAGAAAACTCTTAGTGAGAAACTGGCAGATTTTTTTTTATTATACTTTAAGTTTTAGGGTACATGTGCACAATGTGCAGGTTAGTAACATATGTATACATGTGACATGCTGGTGCGCTGCACCCACTAACTCATCATCTATCATTAGGTATATCTCCCAATGCTATCCCTCCCCCCTCCCTCCACCCCACAACAGTCCCCAGAGTGTGATATTCCCCTTCCTGTGTCCATGTGTTCTCATTGTTCAATTCCCACCTATGAGTGAGAATATGCGGTGTTTGGTTTTTTGGTCTTGCAATAGTTTACTGAGAATGATGATTTCCAGTTTCATCCATGTCCCTACAAAGGACATGAACTCATCATTTTTTTTGAACCAAGTGAAAACTGTCATATATCCTCAGTGTTTAAGGAGTCTCCTGGTAGTAATAGTAATGACAGCCCCATGGTGTGCATAACCCACATGGAAGAATAAGCTCTTTCCAGCCCCACGGGAAGTCTTCTGTGCCCTATCAGCAAATCCAAGAGCAAAAGTAGAATATTGAGGTAGGAAAGTAGACCAGATTTTTAGGGAAAGCTCATATATTTCAGAAAAAAAAATGTCTGAAACTAGAGTCATTACAGTCTTTGATAAATTGTTAAAGAATAATACTGTATCATGCTTATTAAATAAAATTTTACTGTCAAACTCTGTGCAATTTGTAAGAATATCACTTTCTGAGAATGATACCTCCTAAAAAAGTTATTTAGTAATGTCTTTTCCAAGAGGCAAATGCAGGAGAATTGTCTGGAAATTGCACTAAGAAAATAGCTAGGAGACAGAAAACACATTCTATCAAAGAAAAAAATGTGAACTACATGATAAATATTTTAAAAAGGGAAGAGAGGGAATTTTGTGTTTTTATAGAAATATGAAATTCTTCTACAGATTTTAAATAGAAATAGAATGCTATATTACCTAAAGATTAATCCTATCTCTGAGATGTTTACCTCTTTAATTTGATATTTTGCCCAGGAAAAAAAGTCTATTATTTGGTCTTTTTCTATACCCTTCCCTTTCTTTGATGGCAAGTCATCTTGATTAAAAAAAAAAAGGGGGGGGCAATGAACTAAGGAGAGAAGCAGGGATGGAGCAAAACAATCCAGGCATCCCTTGTTTTATTCTGCTTCACTTTACTGCACTTCATAGATAATGTGTTTTTCACAAATTGAAGGTTTTTGGCAACCCAGCATCACACAAGCCTTATTGGCACCATTTATCCAACAGCATGTGCTTACTTTGTGTATTTGTGTAACATTTTGGTACAGGAAGGGGAACATCACACTCTGGGGACTGTTGTGGGGTGGGGGGAGGGGGAAGAGATAGCATTGGGAGGTATACCTAATGCTAGATGACGAGTTAGTGGGTGCAGCACACCAGCATGGCACATGTATACATATGTAACTAACCCGCACATTGTGCACATGTACCCTAAAACTTCAAGTATAATAATAATAATAATAATAATAATAAAACATTTTGGTAATTCTTACAATATTTCCAGCTTTTTTATTATTATTATACCTGTTATGGTGATCTGTGATCAGTGATCTTTGATGTTACTATCATAATTGTTTCGGGGCACCATAAATCACGCGCAGATAATATGGTGAACTTAATAAATGTTGTGTGTGTTCTGACTGCTCCACTGACCATTTCCCTATCTCCCTCCCTCTCTTTGAGCCTCCCTATTCCCTAAGATAAATGATATTGAAATTAGGCTAATTAATAACCCTACAAGGGCCTCTAAGTATTTAAGTAAAAGCAAGAGTCACATATCTCTCACTTTCAGTCAAAAGCAAGAAATGATTAAATTTAGTGAAAAAGGCGTGTTGAAAGCCAAGATAGGTTGATAGCTAGGTCTCTTGCACCAAACAACCAGGTGGTGAATGCAAAGGGAAAATTTTTGGAGAAAATTAAAAATGCTACTCCAGTGAACGCACAAATGATAAGAAAGCAAAACAGCCTCATTGCTGATATGAAAAAATTTTTGAGTCATCTAGATAGAAGATCAAAGCAGCCACAGCATTCCCTAAAGCAAAAACCTAATCCAGCACAAAGCCCCATGTTCAATTCTGTGAAGGCTGAGAGAGGTAAGGAAGCCTCAGAATAAAAAGTGGAAACTAGCAGAGGTTGGTTCATGAGATTTAAGGAAAGAAGTCATCTCCATAAAATAAAAAAATAAAGTGGGTCAGGCACGGTGGCTCAAGCCTGTAATCCCAGCACTTTGGGAGGCTGAGGCGGGTGGATCACCTGAGGTCAGGAGTTCAAGACCAGCCTGGTCAACATGGCAAAATCCCCTCTCCACTAAAAATACAAAAAATTGCCCAGGCATGGTGGCAGGTGCCTGTAATTCCAGCTACCCAGGAGGCTGAGGCAGGAGAATCACTTGAACCCGGGAGCCAGAGGTTGCAGTGAGCCAAGGTTGCACCATTGTACTCCAGAATGGACAACAGAGTGAGACGCGGTCTCAAAAAAACAGAATAAAATGAAACAGCAAGTGCTGATGGAGAAGCTGTAGAAATGTATTCAAAAGATCTACCTAAGATCATTTATGAAAGTGACTACATTAAACTATTGTAAAATCTATTGCTAATGTATTATGTATACATTAATGTGTATAATATACAAAACAACTTTATATTAGAAGATGTTATATAGGATTTCTATAGCTAGAGAGAAGTGAATGCCTGGCTTCAAAGCACAGGTTGACTCTCTTGTTAGGGGCTGATCCAGCTGGTGACTTTAAATGAAGCCAGCAATAGTTTGCCATTCTGAGAATCCTAGGGTCCTTAAGTATCATGCTAAGTCTTTTCTGTCTGTGTTCTATAAATAGAATAACAAAGGCTGGGCGACAGCATATCCATTTACTGGTTTACTAATAGTAATGGTTTACCGAATAGTATAAGCGCACTGTTGAGACCTACTGCTCAGAAAGTAAAATTCCTTTTCAAATATTGCTGCTTATTGTCAATGCACCTAGTCACCCAAGAGCTCTGATAGAGATGTACAAGGAGGTTCATGTTGTGTTTATGCCTGCTAATACAACATGCATTTTTCAGCCTATAGGTCAAGGAATAACTTCAATTTTTAAGTCTTATTATTTAAGAAATACGTTTTATAAGGCTATAGCTGACATAGATAGTAATTCTTCTGGTATATCTGGGAAAAGTAAATTGAAAACCCCTAGAAAGGATTCACCATTCTAGATGCCATCAAGAACATTCATGATTCATGAGAGGAGGTCAAAATATCAATATTAACAAAATTTTGGAAGAAGTTAATTCCAGCTTTCTTTGTGTTATAAACATACCAATTATACTCTTCTGGTTACTTTTAAATGTATGATAAATTATTGTTGACTGTAGTCACCCTGTTGCGCTATCAAATACTAGATCTTATTCACTCCGTATAACTATATTTTTTGTACACATTAATCATGCACCCTCCCCACCACCACTACCCTTCACAGCCTTCCGTAACCATCATTATACTCTCTATCTCCATGAGTTCAATTGTTTTAATTTCTAGCTCCCACAAGTGACAACAGGTGAAGTTTGTCTTTCTGTGCCTGGTTTATTTTACTTATCATAATGACCTCCATTTCTATCCATGTTGTTATACATGACAGGATATTCTTCTTTTTCATCGCTGAATAGTACTCCATTGAGTATATGTGCCATATTTTCTTTATCCATTTGTCTGTTGATGGACACTTAGGTTGCTTCCAAATTTATTTACAAATATTTTAAACTAAAACAGTATGATAATCATATTAATGAATTCAGTGGGAGTTTGTAGTAATATCTTCTTTCTTTATGCTCTATTGTCATAAATAAAAACAATAGTATAATAAGAGTCAATTATTTGGGGGAGAATTAAGAGTATAATCACTAATGCTCACATTATATCCCATTTTTAATTATTCTCTATAATCAATTCATCTCACTTTTTTCTATTCTTAAAAATAATTACATTGTATTTAATTAGAAATAATAGACAAATTAGGCAAATAGAATGACAAATTCTTTCTAAATGTGTTTAATAAACTTAACATTAAATAATTTTGTCCATATTAGTTTGAGAAACACCTAAAATATAATTACCTTGTTTTAGCTAATTTAAGTAAATGTGTTTGAAAGTTTAGGCCGGGCACGGTGGCTCACGCCTGTAATCCCAGCACTTTGGTAGGCCAAGGCGGGCAGATCACGAGGTCATGAGGTCAGAAGATTGAGTCCATCCTGGCTAACACGGTGAAACCCCGTCTCTACTAAAAATACAAAAAATAGCCGGGTGTGGTGGTGGGCGCCTGTAGTCCCAGCTACTCAGGAGGCTGACGCAGAAGAATGGCATGAACCCTGGAGGCAGAGCTTGCAGACAGCGCCACTACACTCCAGCCTGGGTGACAGAGTGAGACTCTGTCTTAAAAAAAAAAAAAAGAAAGTTTAAACTATACAAGCTAATCTACACTTGGGATGCCTCTTTTTTATCAAATATAGGTACATTTTCCCCATTTGACCTTTAAATATCAAATAATTCAAGAATGATAAGTCAGGCAGCTATGAATACAGATGCAATACAGACTTAGGGAATGCTTGTTACCTAACATTGGCTTTCTGATTCTACGCTGATTTGATGCTTTGCACCAGATACATTAACACATGTCGTCTTATTTAATCTTCACAATCATCCTGAGAAGGCAGATTTTACAAATGAAGAAAATACAATTTCTAAAAATAAGCTGTTTCTCAGACCACATGACTCATAAATGTGAGAAATAAAAATTTCAAATCCAGTGCTCTTCTATATTGCTAAGATATTGCAGATATCATATTGCCATGCATAGTGATACAGTAACAGTGGAAATTCAGCAAAAAAAGGAGTTCCAGATGAAAAATATAACAAATTATATGGAAGGCAAAATGGTCTCCCTTTTTGAGTGTGAGAAATACTCCACTTTTCTGATATCTGACATGCAGTTACTATGAGAGCCTAAACTGGGTCATTTTTATTGCAAGTTTACAGTCATCTAACTTATTACTAGAGCCCTCCAAAACCACTTAGAGCAGGAGCTTCCAGACTATCTTTCACCAACATAGTAGAAACATTTTCAGGAAAACATTTCTTTCTCTGCTTTAGAGATGTCTCTGAGCATATGGGCCCTCTATGGCTCAGTTCCAGGTTCTGCTTTGCAGTTTAAACTACTCTTTGTAAAATTAATCATCAATACTGTTAAAACTGCAGATGGGGCCCTGTAGGATAGAGGAAGCTGAGTAGAACAGACCAGTTAATAAGCTAGAAAAATATGGGCTGATATTGGCATTGTGGCATACTTGCAGTCAGGGTTTCTTCGAGTAATATGATACGAGGGACAATTGAATTACCAAATCTATATATTTAGCAACTAAAATAACATAAAATATAGAAAAAGGATTAAATATCTTCTCTTTTTATGATAAAAATAAGGTGGGAAAAGGAAAAGTGAAAGAATTTCCTCTAGCATCTGTACTAAGAGTAAAACAATTTTTATTATTCTATTTCACAGCAGACAAATTCTCCCAAATGATTATTGTAAATAAACAAAAAGTATACTACAAGTGTATTTCCATAATACTAATGTAAAGAATATAGGAAAACAATATGATTACTTTTACCAATATTATATATTTTGATGTTGTCATTCGATAGTGGAGGAAACAATTATGAAGAGAGTGGAATGGAGCTGCAAGTACCCATGCTCAAAGAAATAGGAAATAAGCCTGAAAGACTTGCCTTTACCCCATGTGTTCTTCCCTTCCATCACATACAATCCCAACTCAACTTGTTGATCTACTTATTTTATATTTTATGTTAGTTTATAATTTCAACTTTTATTTTAGATTCAGGGTGGGTATATGTGCAAGTTCGTTACCTGGGTATATTATGTGATGCTGAAGTTTGGGGTATGATTGAACCCATCACCCAGGAAGTCAGCATAGTGCTCAACAGTTAGTTTTTCACCTCTTGCCACCCTCCAGGGGAAAACCTCCCTTCCAGTAGTCCCCACTCTCATTTGTTGCCATCTTTATGTCCATGAGTACCCCACATTTAGCTCCCACTTATAGGCAAGAATGTGCAGTAGTTGGTTTTCTGTCCCTGCATTAATTCACTTAGGATTATGGTCTCCAACTGCATCCAAGTTGCTGCAAAGAACATGACTTTATTCCTTTTATGGCTGTGTAGTGTTCCTTAGTGTACATGTACTATATTTTCTTTATCCAATCTACCATTGATGGGCACCTAGGTTGATTCCATGTTTTTGATATTGTGAATAGTGCTTCAATGAACATGTGAGTATGTGTGTCTTTTTGGTAGAAAGATTTATTTTCTTTTGGATATATACCCAGTAATGAGATTGTTGGGACAAAAGTTACTTCTGTTTTAAATTTTTTGAGAAATCTCCAGACTGCTTTCCACAGTGACTGAACTAATTTACTTTTCCACCAACAGTGTATACACATTCCCTTTTCTCCACAGCCTCACCAGCAGGCTGTTTTCTGACTTTTTGTTAATAGCCATTCTGAATGGTGTGAGATGGTATCTTATTGTGGTTTTGATTTGCATTCTCTGATAATTACTGATGTTGAGCATTTTTTATATGCTTGTTGGCTGCTTGTATGTCTTCTTTTGAGAACTGTCTGTTCATGTTCTTCGGCTACTTTTTAATGAGGTAATTTGATTTTTGCTTTTTCAATTGCTTAACTTCCTTATAGATTTTCCCAATTAGACCTTTGTCAGATGCAAAGTTTGTGAATATTTTACCCATTCTGTAGGTTGTCTTTTTACTCTGTTGTTAGTTTCTTTTGCTGTGCAGAAGCTCTTTGGTTTAATTAGGTTCCATGTGTCAATTTTTGTTTTTGTTGCAATTACTTTTTAGGACTTTGCCCTAAATTCTTTCCCAAGGTCTATGTCCAGAATGGTGTTTCCTAGGTTTTCTCCTAAAAGTCTTATAGTTTGAGGTGTTACATTTAAAATTTTAATCCATTTTGAATTAATTTTTGTATATGGTAAAAGGTAGGTGTTCAGTCTCTTTATTCTGCATATGGTTAGCCAGTTATCCCAACACCATTTATTGAATAGGGAGTACTTTCTCCATTGCTTATTTTTGTCAACTTAGTCAAAGATAAAATGGCTGTAAGTGTGTGGCTTTATTTCTGGGTTATCTATTCTGTTCTATTTTCTGTATGTCTGTTTTTGCACCAGTACCATGCTGTTTTGATTACTGTAGCTTTGTAGTATAGTTTGAAGCCAGGTAATGTGATGCCTCTGGCTTTGTTCTTTTTGCTTTGATCTAATATTTTCAATGGTATTGAATAGTCAGCCCTAAGTCTTCTAAACCAAGAGAAAAAAAAAAAAAACCTTGGGCAAAAGCCACCAAAAAACATATTGGAAAGGCATTTGGGATATTCCTACTCATTCAGCTGATTTATTCATGACAATGATTAAACATGCATTAACTCTGAATTACTCAACAAATATTAACTACTATTATAATTTCCAGGGACTTACCTAGGGCAGAGCAATAGGATAAGGAGGTGCATTGCTTGTGGAGCATTTAAAAGCAATGATAAAACTAACTTAAAAATAATCTCTTTTTTATTATCAAAGTATGCCAGTAATTCTAAGCAACATCACTGATAAACAGTCCTGTCTTTAAAGGCTTCTACTAGTCTAAGTTCTAAATAATTGCACAGATTACTATTGATTTTCAATAACATATTATTTAAGTTACAAATTAGCACATTTGAATTACTTGTTCTTTAATAAATGTTGTAATCTTCATAAAAGTTAATTCAAAGAATCCTCAGTCATCCAGTCAGTCCCTGATGCATGTAGACATAACTACATATGTTCATTTTAAGAGGAAGTTCATAACGGTTTTGAATCCTTCAAGCTCTCTTTGGGTGCTGGGGAGCTACTCTCGTGGAGCTACACATTCCTGAGTTAAGCAGAAGATTCTCACACCAGTCAGAATAGCTATTATTAAAAAGTCAAAAATAAATAAATAAGTGCTAGCAAGGTAGCAGAGAAAAAGGAATGCCTATGCACTGTTTTGAAGGTTGTAAATTAGTTCAATCACTGTGGAAAACAGTGTGGCAATTCCTCAAAGACCTAAAAATGGAAATATCATTAGACCCCAGAATCCCAATACTGGGGATATACCTAAAGGAATATAAATCATTCTGTCATAAAGACACATGCATGCATATGTTCATTGCAGCACTATTCTCAATAGCAAAGACATGGAATCAACCTAAATTCCCATCAATGACAGATTGAATAAAGAAAATGTGGTACATATACACCGTGGAATACTATGCAGCCACAAGAAAGAATAAGATCATGCCCCTTGCAGGAGCATCATGCAGCTGGAGGCCATTATCCTTAGCAAACTAATTCAGGAACAGAAAAACAAATATTGTATGTTCTCACAAGTGGGTGCTGAATGATGAGTACATATGGACACATAGAGGGAACAACAGACAGTTGGTCTTATCAGAGGGTGGAGGGTGCAAGGAAGGAGAGGATCAGAAAAAATAACTAATGGGTACTGCACTTAATAACGGATTCATGAAGTAATCTGTACAACAAAACCCTATGACACAAGTCTACCCATATAACAAACCTTCACATGTGTCCCTGAACTTAGAAGTTTAATTACAATAAAAAAAAAAACAGATTTGAAATAATTGATGACAACCTAGTGATAGAAAAGATGAAATATAACACTTGAATTACTTCAATTCTCTCATTCCTTGGTACCACTTGAAGTTTTCATCAGTGTTTAAAATTTCTGGAATATATGGTACAATACGATTTTTATTAATTTCCTTCAAATTTATATTCATATTTATATTTTTTCTAGTTTTATATTTGTTGCTTTATGTGACAAAAACCTTTTAAATTGAATTTAAAAGTGTTCTTCAGTCATTATGAGTAAGATAGATTGACAAATCTAGCTAATATAGTCTATGAAATAGGAATATATAAAGAAAATCAACTTGGACAAAGCTATTGACAAATTTGCAAAATCTAAGCTAATACAGAAACTATAATCATTTATATAATGTATAAATAATATATTCATTGTTGTAACTGACCAGTTTATCAATGTATTAGTCTTCTCAGACTGCTACAACTAAGTACAATAGACTGTGTGGGTTAAACAACAATTTATTTTCTCATAATTCTGGAAGCAAGAAGTTCAAGATCAAGATTCCAGTCAAGTTGGTTTCTGGTGAGGATTCTCTTCTTGGCTTGCAGATGGCTGTCCTCTCATTATGTCCCCACATGTCTTTTCCTCTGTATGTGCCCTCGGGGAAAGACAGAAAAAAAAGATGTCTCTTCTTATAAAGACACAAATTCTATTAGATCAGAACGCCATCCTTATGCCCTCATTTGACCTTATTTACTTCCTTACTCTAAATATAGTGACATGGGAGTTAGAGTTTCAGCGTACAAATTTAGGGCTGGAAGTCAGGTAGGGACACATTCAGTCCCTAATAATTGTTATATGTAACAGACCACCTATTTGGGCATGTTTTTAAAAAGAGAATATTATTGTAACTTAAAAGTATTAACCCATTACCTTTCTCATTTTGTACTGTAATATTTATTTACTTACTATTCTTTTTATTGGCATTATTACATATACAAAATTCAATAGAAGAAAAATTTTAAAGTCTGCTGATTTTTCTAACCATTATTTTATTTGTCCTATTTCATGACTATTACTGGAAGAAATTTTGTCATATAAACAAGTTACTTCAAGTGCCAAATATCCTAGATATGCAACTGATTATTTCTATCATAATCCTCACAATCGACTTTGTAAAGCGTACATCATATCTTAAATTTCTAGGAAGGATTTGTGACTCATGGATAATTAGATGGCTTCTCTAGAACTCAGGCTTCTACTCTGTAAAATGAATGTAGGAGAGAAGAGAATGAAAGGTAGGCTTATCATAATTTCCTAAAGTGTGTTCCTTGGAAAATTAGTTTCACAACATTATAATGTGTGTTGCATGGTTTAATAATTTTGAAAAATGCTGGTTTCTTCATAATATGATTCTCAGAATACCGCAACCACCATGGCACTCTCAATCCTACTTACCTAACTCTCTTTTTCTGCAGCATGAATGACCTTCCTTATACTATATAATTTGTTTTGAATTATGTTAAGTGTTTATTATTTGTCTCACTCACTAGAATGTAAACTTTACAAATTAGGAATTGTGTCTGTTTTACTATTTGATGTATCTCAAGCACCTAGAATAATTTGGGGCACATAGCAGGTGTTCATAAATGTTAACTAAAAGAATGAATGTATGAATTAATGAAGCTATAATGTGCTACTGTGCATAAGAATTCCAAAAAGGCAATGTAATATATATAAAACCGTCAAACTGTATTTGACCCTAGAAAATGTTTGTTGTAGATATTCTCACAAGACCAATATGCTATTTAGAGTAAAAAGTAAAGAAGCCTTCTCTAAGGAAATGACATTTGAGCTAAGAGTCAAAGAAAAATAAGCTGCTATGCAAAAAGCCGGAGAAAGAGGATTCCAAGTGTTAGGAGTATCAAATGAAAGGTTCTGAAATGGAAAAGAGTTTGGCTTATTCAAGGAACAGAAAGGAGGATGGTGTGGCTAGAATGAAATCAGCTAGAGCAGAACAGTAAGGAATAATCCCAGAGAGAAATCCAGGAACTAAATCCTGCAGGGCCTTGGCAGAAAAGTTTCTGGACTTTATTTTCAACAAAATGGAAAACGATTGAAGAGTTTTAAGTAAGGGGGTGACAGGATCTGATGCATATTTTAATAAAGATTACTCTGGCTGCTATGTGGGCATGAATAAGAGAGGAAGCAAAGATAGCAGTTAAGAAGCTGCCACAATTGTCCAGAAAAGATGAATGTGACTTAAAACAAGGTAGTAACAGTATAAATGGAAAGAAGCAGAGAGATTCAAAATATATTTTGAACATGCTAATGGATGCTGTGGGGGGATGAGGAAAAAATAAAGAAATCATGGATAACTTCTAGGTATTGGGGTTTGCATAATTGGGTGTTTGGTGGTACCACTTATTGGGATGGGGAAGACTTTTCGAAGAACAGGTGGGGAGTGGAAAAAAAACAGAAGTTCTGGTTTGTAAAATTCAAGCTTGAAATGCCTAGTAGGCATTCAACTGGACAAGTACAATAAGCAGTAGGTGTATACGTCTGGAGCTCTTTCGTTTTTCAATTGTTAGCATTTAAATCACAGTGACTAAGTGCAATCACCTAGGGAGAGGGTGTGGATAATTATGATTTCAGGTAAAGGGGAAGGATCATCCAGAACAAGGAGACTGGAAAGGAAGAAGTAGTCTAGACAGTCAAGTTTTTCAAGGAATGCAGGCTGACTCATATTGAATGCTCCTGAGTAGCAGGGTAACATGAGTACAGAAAGGTTTATTAGATTTGGCAATGTGGTTATTATTGATGTCCTTGGCAAAATAAAGAAAGGAAATGAGGCAGGAGAGAAGAAAAGAAAAGAGAGAAGATGGGCTGAGGTTTCCATGAATGGCAGAAATGGAAGCCAGATTGGAGTAGGTTGATTAGTAAGCAGTAGGTGAAGAATGGAGAGAGCAAGTTAAGATAACAATATTACAAAAAATGGAGTAATATCTTTAGGGAAATGGAAAATCAAGGAATAGATGTTTTAAATGAATTAGCATATTGTATACAGGTGGGAATAACACGCTAGAAAAGAAGAAACTTATGATACAATTACTTCAAGTGCAAAGGTCTTGAAACTAAAGGGAAGCACAAGTGGAAATATTTGCCATCGACAGGCTGCAAAGGAAGAAAAAAGAATATGATACATATTATTTTATGGAAATAGGGTTACAATACGGAGGTAAGAAGATGAAAACACTCCTATGTGGTTGCTTATATTTTCTCAATGAAGTATGAGCAATTCTTAAGCTAAAAGCTGAAGTTGCAGCTAAGAGGATATGTTGCTCAGGTTATAAAGCAGTAAATAGGATTGGAGAATCACAGGACTGGAATGTAAATGAAATCATAAGGAAGATGACAGGAAGTCATAAAAGGTTAATATCAGAGGGCTCTAATGATGAACTCTATGCTTTAGAAGGATAACTATGACAATATAGATGATGAAGTGGAGACCAATTGATACAATAATCTGTGGTTGGAAAGGGCCACAACAGGGCACTGGTAAGAAAGGTTTTATTGAATGGGGGGCAGACTGGGAAAGCTAGGAAGTAGAATAGTTAAGAAGTATGTGTGTGGCATTTTCTTATTCATCTGTCTTCTCCACTAGAATGTAAATTCCATAAGGGTAGGGATTTTATATAGGGTGTTTACTATTTTGTCCCAGTGCCCAAAAGATTCTCAAGAAATTTTTGTGGAGTTAATAAAAATATACATAGCGCATGTCTGAAAAATGTTTGCTTAATTAAATATTCCTAGGCTCAAGGTATTTTCTGTGAATAACAAAATTATATTTTTGTTTTTTTGGTCCTTCTGGGTCCACTATAATGTTTTCTGCTGATACCACTCATTTTAAATTATCGTTTCATTCCTATTCAAGATATTTTACTGATACTTCTAAACAATTATTTATTATATAAATGATATAACATATTTTATATAAAAGCATATAAAAATAATGACAAAACATAACAAATCATAACACTCCACTAAATCATATATTTATTTGTGAGCTTGTCTCCTGTCAACACCATGAGGACAGGTAATGTTTTTATTGTCGATTTCTTTTCACTAAAATACAACTAGTTCCCAGAATAGTGTCTGACACGTACTGGTCTAAATTAACAAATTTTATGTGAAGAGTTAGAAAGGAGTGAAATTGAATGGAATACAGAGATTTATGACCTTGAAAAGCAGGCGTATAGTGATAATATTAATCAAGAACAAAGGAAATAATCTTGGGAGATAAAATAATGAGTAGGTTTTGGGATACATGTTTGAGATAAATGTGTATCACATTAGCATATGCTTTATAAAAAAAAAAAACCTGTAGCAATGACTTCTAGTCTGTATTGTTTAACTCCCTAGCCCACCAGTATGATGCAACCCAGTTAATAGCCTTCAAGCCAGACACATTGGTTACAGTGCATTTTAAAAAGAAAAAAGAGAAGTGAAGCAAATCGCTCCTCTATTCTTCCATTATTGATCCCAAGATAAGAGATGTTCACAACTATCTATCTGGGCATTCTTCCTTGGAATGGAAATGACTAGATGTGTTTAGAATGCTAATGCTACCTTTGGACCATAAGTGACTCTTTCTGGGCCTATTTCTCATAGATGTGATCAAGGGCAAGTTAGGTCTCAAAGCACAATTGCACTGTGTACTTCAGCAGTTCCAGCCCTGACCACAGCCCAGCTTTTTATATTGCTCTCTAACACCACAACCCATGTCCTCCATGAGCAGTCCCTTTCCTACTAGTCTGTTCATCTCCCTCTGCTGCAGCAGAGTGGGAGCTTAGCTCTCACTGGTTTACTTTACCTACACCTACAGGTGAGAGTATCAGATAATTACAACTGTTTCAACTACTTTGTCTTATTTAAAGAACAGAGTTCAACATCATGGTTATTACTTGGATATTAGAGCATTCTTCTAACCATCTTATGCTGATCAATAAAAAGTTTTCTCTGATTCATATTGTATTCATGTTAAATCTAAGCATAGACAGTGAGACTCTTAGTATCCTTTTTCAAGGGGAGATTATTGTAATAATACTGTGTAGAAAATCCCCTCTGCAGGTTTATGATTTATATCACTTTTTCCTATATTCCCCAAATAAGTTTTAAAAATAACAAAGTAAATAATTCTGTATCCCTTACTGGGTTCCAAATACTGTTTTAATCACCTTACCTATATTAAATCATATAATCCTCACAATAAAATTGTGAGGCAGGTACTATTTTTATCTTAACCATACAATATGAAACTGAGGTTCAGGAGAGGTTAAGTAATATTCCCAAGATGGATCACATCAGTGGTGGAGTTCAAATTCTATGCTAGGCATTGTGCCTCTAAATAGAGTAATATACAAATGTAAAATAATATTATGAATTTTAAAAGTGAGAAAAATTTTAAAATATGTAATGCAATACTTTTTTAAATGGCCAACATATATATTTGAAAATATTTATTATTGTTTAAATATTTTAGTCATAATTATAGTCAATATTATAGTCGTAATTTCAAAATGGTAGAGATGCCTTGAGGGCGGCACTTCCTAGGGAAGTTAAAATCCGCAGCCCAAAATATTCAACTTTATTTTTTAAATTTCTCTGAAAAAACATGCATTTGTGTTAAAAAGTGGGCACACAGTGCAAAAATATAAAATTATTTTCCAAAAAACACTAAAATTTTTCTTATAGTCTATCAGGCACCCTTTTTAAATATTCAAAAGATAATTGGAAATATAGTAACATGTATATAGAAATATAAATCACAACATTGGATCTTATCAACTAGCTTAATCCACTAAATTTATTTCAGATATGATTCTTCACACAATTCAGGATTGAAAATCCCAGTGATCTAATTCACATGTCAAATAGGGAAACCAATGTAGAAATTCTGTACTTCAAAGACAAACATAAATTTTGTACAAAATAAAATAATTTTAGAAGTTTTACCCAGAGCAGAGCAAAACAACTCCCCTCCTCAAAAAGGAAATAAACACCAAAGGTTAGCAAGTAAATGTTAGGAAGAACTACAGAATTAAATCCAAAAGGTGCAATGCTTGATATCACAGTTCCAGGTTCTCCTGTGACGTATGAAAATATTAAACATTCTAACAATGTGTCTGATATTTGCCAGCTTATAATCTAATGTAAACACTTTTTTAATAGTCAAACCACCTGAGAAAGTAATTCTGTGCCTCAATGACATCATCACTTGTAGTTCAGAAGCACCAGAATCTCAAATGTACTCATAGTAATTTAAAATTTTTGAACTTACCTATTATCTCTGTATTGAGACTATACTAAAAAAGTTTACTTAGTATTACCTAATTTAGCATATTGACCATTACCATTTTATGTAGAGCATAGTTTACTTGTTGTTCAGTCCAAAAATATTCCCAATAAACAAAGCACTGTAAATCTATCAGAGAGAAATATTTGCTCTTCATTTAAACTTAGGCTAAAAATAATCAATACAAGCAGATTAATCATCCAGAACAGCTTCAAGTACAGCTAAAGGAGTTTGCATGAGATTGGATGCACTGCGGAGTCACAGTAGGATGGAGGTACAAAAGTGCTCTCTTGGTCCCCTGGGAGGCCAGCAGGATGGCAGCAAGAATTCTGCACTGTTTAAACTCCTGCCTCCTCCAGCCTCTCCAGCGGGCATCACTGAGGATTTGTCTGCTGGATCAGATCCACCCTATTCCTCAGCCAGTCTTGACTCAGGAATAGAAGTGCAGTCACAACCTGATGTCATTGTGCCAGACAGAAGTCCTCACTAGTTGTTTTCAGGCTGCAAATTTTCCCTGAAATTTCTTCTTCCTCCACCCTATGAATCTATCAGGTCCACCCTTGGAACTCTGTTTTGTCTTGATTTCCCTATCGAATGAAAGTAATAATAATAACATAGCTAATATTTGTTCAATGTCAACTATATGCCAGGCATTTTTTGTAGAACTTTACATTTCTTTACCTATTAAATTATCACAACAACCTATGAAGTAGTTGTCATTATCATCCCCCATCTTACAGATGGGGACATGGGGCACCAAGAGGTTAAATAAGTTGCCCAAAGTCACAGAGTTACTAAGCAGTATAGCTGGAAGAGAATGTGGTCTGGGGGACTATACTTCTAACCATTACTCTATGCTTCATTAGAAATGGAACTTTTCTCTGAACTCTTGCCTATTTGGGTGTCAGAAGCCATATATCCTCTCAACAAGTGTCGTTCACCTGAGATGGGGAGGAATATGCCCTATGAAGCTCCTTTGCTGGCTGTCGCAAGTTAGAGTTTTACTGTGAGTATAATATTGCTTCAAAACTTTAATGCTTTATTTAAAGCATCAGCCATTACTGCACTTTTCTTATGGCTAGAATCAGCATATTAACTTTATTGCTTGAAACAAATGTCCAGACCATAGTTGAGTGTGTTACTCTCTTTGGATAGTATAATGGACATTTTTTTAATTGCTTCAAGTTTCAGCAGATATAACCCATTTAATTTCTCCAATTCTGCTTCTTCTGGCCTGTGTCCCTCTCTCTCCTGGGCTATTTGGTCATTTGAGTTAGATGGTCAGGTAAATTTGTACACTAAGATTTAGGCTTCCACAAAATAATGCACATAGATGGATTATAGCACCAAAGAAAGGAAACTGTGGAAAATGTCCCTAAGGAAAAATAACCCAATGGGAGTTTGCAAGAACAGGGATGGGAAAGAAGTTAGCATGTATCAAGCAACTGTTATGTTCCATATATTCTACTTGTAGTTATGTAAATGATCTTTTTAACCTGTTATCCATAAGAGTTTTTGAGAAGCAAGATGGCAATAAGCTTTGGGAAGTACAAGAGAGCGAAAGTGGCAATGGGACTCAGGTGGGCTCATGATGGGGCTTAAGGTGACAATAATAAGTAGTTACTTTAGGCTGCATGGTGTGGAACCAGTATGTGAGGTGTTTTAATTACACGAAGTCATTGAATCCATAGAACAACACTTCATGGTAGGTAGCATTATCCTAATGTTAAAGATAAACAAACTAAGACTCAAAGAATTTGAGTAACTTAACCAAAATGTCACAAAATTAGTAAGTGGCAGAGTTAAGAATGAAATCTTAACTTTAATGCTTGAAAGCCATACCATCACAAGCTACACTTCATGCTCATAGTAAAACAAGAGCAAAGCATGCTACAATAGCAGCTGCAGACTGGCAGGAGCCTTCAAACATGATAGAGATAGCAATCCTGAAAAATCCTGGGTCTGCCCATGATCATGATGGTAGTGGAACCAGCAAAAGCAGTGACCGTGACCATGGTGTTGGACTAGAACCAGCAGAAATAGCTACAAAAATGAAACCAAGGAAGGAGCAAGAGCAGCTAAAGTCAGAAATGAGATCCCAGCAGCACTGGTGACACTTATTGGAACAACAGTGTGGAAAGGAGGTACTCAGCACCATTTGGAGGAGGCAAGGCAGAGATCATGAATAACCTCCAAGCCAAAAAGAGGTAAGCATATGCCCCCAGAAATCATCTCTTGGCATCCCACTGGCAAACACAGCCTGAAAAACCACAGAATCATGTGCCACTTGACATTGGGGATGTATCCTGAGAAAAGTGTCATTAGGTTATTTTGTTGTTGTGCAATCGTGGAATATACTTACACAAGCTTAGATGGTATAACCTACAAGACAGCTAGGCTATATGGTATACCCTATTGATCCTAGGCTACAATCCTATACAGCATATTACCATACTGAGTACTGCAGGTAATTGTTAACACAATGGTAAATATTTGTGTATCTCAACATATCTAAACATAGAAAAGGCACAGTAAGAAAATATCAAAGACAAAAAAGGATACACCTGTACAGGGCACTTAACCATGAATGCAGCTTGCAGGACTGGAAATTGCTCTGTGGTGAGTAAGTGATCAGGGAATGTGAAGACCTAGGACATTATCGTCTACTACTGAAACCGTGTCCCAAGGAGTTAAATAGCTAACAGAAATTTTCAAGTTTGAAAGATGGCAGATAAGAAAAGAAACAACTTGCTGAACTGCTGAAACTCCCTTCACTTGTAAGATAACAAAACTAGCTGAAATGGATGGGAACCAATATGGCTGACAGCAGTGTGTGCAGAACAAACTTGCTAACATTATAGCCTGAGTTTCCACCACATGTTAAATCCTAACTCCCCCTGAATTTGCACTTGTGACCCATGACGTAGCATGAAAGATAACTGCATTCCTGAGGACTTTTCAGACCTCCTCTTTCTTTCCACCAATCTACCAATCCCAGAATTCATCCCTTAAACCTTTTCTAATAAAAGTACTATCTTAAAGTCAGCACAGGGAGACACATTTGAACTGGACTCCTGTCTCCTCTGTTAGTCAACCTGCAATAAAAAGCTTTTCTTTTCTAAAAAACTCGGTGTCATACTATTGGCCTCTAGTGCATCAGGCAGCAAGCCCCTTTTGCTTGGTAACACTACTACAGACTTTATAAACGCTGTACATGCAAGCTACACCGAATTCATTTTTTAAAAAAATTATTTCTTCCATAATAAAATAACCTTAGCTTGCAATAACTTTTGTACTTTATAAACATTTTAATTTTTTTAACTTTTTGACTCTTTTGTAATAACACTTAGAACGCAAACACGTTGTATAGCTGTACAAAGTTATTCTTTCTTTGCACTCTTATTCTATTCTATATTTTATTTATGTATTTATTTTTTTAATTTTTAAACTTTCTTGTTGAAAACTAGACATAAGCACAGACATTAGGCCAGGCAGGCATGGTGGTTCATGCCTGTAATCCCAGAACTTTGGGAGGTTGAGGTGGGCAGATCACTTGAGCCCAGGAGTTGAAGACCAGCCTGGGCAACATGGCGAAACCCCAACTCAAAAAAAAAAAAAAAATTAGCCAGGAGTGGTGGTGTGTGTGCCTGCAGCCCCAGGTACATAGGAGGCTTAGATGGGAGGATTGCCTGAGCCCAGGAGAGGGAGGTTGCAGTGAGCCTAGATCATGCCACTGCACTCCAGCCTGGGCGACAGTACAAAACCTTGTCTCAAAACACACACGCACGCATACACACACACACACACACACACACACACACACACAAGACTAGGCCTACTCAAGGCCGGAATCATCAATATCACTGTCTTCCATCTCCATATCTTGTCCCACTGTATGGTCTTCAGGGGCAATAACATTGTTCTCTTATATGATAACAATGTCTTTTTCTGGATATCTCTTGAAGTACATCCCTGAGACTGCTTTGTGTGTGTGTGTTTTTATTTATTTATTTTTTTTTAGAGATGGGGTTTCACCATGTTGGCCAGGCTGGTCTTGAACTCTTGACCTCAGGTGATCCACTTGCCTCAGCTTCCCAAAGTGCTGGGATGACAGGCATGAGCCACCACTCCTGGCCTGCCTGAGTTTGTTTTAAAGTTAGCTTTTTTAAAAATAAGTAGGAGTAAGTGCATTATAAAGCAACAATTAAAAATTATAGTTTAGTAAATACATAAACCATTAACATACTTGTTTTTTATTATTATCACATATTATGTACTGTACATAATTGTATATGCTATACTTTCATACAACTGGCAGTGCAGTAGGCTTGTTTACACCAGCATCATCACAAACACATGAGTAATGCTTTGTGTTAGGACGTTACCATGGCTACAACGTCATCAGGCAACAGGAATTTTTCAGCTCCACTATAATATTACGGTACCACTGTCACACATGCAGTCTGTCTTTGACCAAAGCATCTTTATACATTATGTATATATTATATGCAGTATATGACTGTATATAATTCTTGTAGGTTTATGGGAGATAAAATCTTGTCATTTTTTATTTACTCTCTTCTTCATCCAAACTACTTCTGCCCACAGTGTATTTCGTTAGAACTATCAGAGTAGTCTCCTAAAATCTTCATGCCATCTCTAATCCATTCTCCATGCTGCTGCCAGAAGGTGACCCTGATCATGTCACTCAGTCACTGAAGACACAGTGATCATCACGGCAATGTCCAGATTCTTTAGTGAAGCTATTTTCTTCTAACCATGCCAATAAATACCACTGTGTTAGTTCCCATCTCTGTCCCTTTTGTAATTCCACATCTTCTACCCTTTTTCTCTTTCTCTACTCCCCGTTCTATCTAACCACCTGGAGAACATACTCAAGGCTGAGTTTAAACATTTTTCTTTTATGAGAATTTCAATGACTCAATTAGAATTAGCCACCCCCTTTTCATAAATATATTGACATAGTATTGCGAACTGAGTTGTGTTCCCCTGAAATTCACATGTTGAAATGTTGAAGCCCTAACTCCCAGTATATTAGGAAGTGGGGTCTTTAGGAGGTAATTAGGTGTAGATGAGGTCATGAGGGTAGGGCCCCAATAATGGGATTAGTGTTCTTATAAGATGCGGAAGAGACATCAGAGCTTACTCTCTCCGTCATGTGAGAATACAGTGCAAGAAGGTAGCCAACTTCAAGCCAGGAAGAGGGCCCTCAAAAAAAGCCTGACCATGCTGGGACCCTGATATTAGATTTCCAGCCTCTAGAACTGGGTGAAATTTTTGTTGTTGTTGTTCTTTAAGCCACCTAGTCGATGATATTTTGTTATACAGCCCAAGCTGGAGAAAAGTAGATAGATACATAGCTAGGTAGTTAAATAATACAGATAACTACATAAATACTTAGATATACAGCTATAGAAAGAGATATGTTAATAAATATATTTATAGTATTCCCAGTGCCCAGGATACTCTAGAATATAGTTGTGAGGTGGTAAATACTGGTGGGAAGGAAGGAAGGGAGGAATGAAGGAAGGAAGGAAGAAAGGAAGGAAGGAAGAGGGGAAGAGGAGAAGGGGGAAGGAGGGAAGGGAGGGAGGGAAGGAAGGAAGGAAGGAAAAGAAAGAAGGAAGTAAGAATGGAGAAAATGAGGCAGGGAGTAGGTAAAGGGAGAAAAAAACGTAAATAATAATTTATCTAAGGCTTAATAGCTATGTTATCTTGAAAGCTATAATCAAAAACATATTCATTTGACAGCATTATATACAAAGATGCTTCTAATGATTTTGCTCTGTGTGTGTCAGTTCCCCAGAAAGGACTTACACATCTTAGAATGTGACAATTCTCTGATTTATAGCTTCTATAACAATAAAAACAGTATTATTATCCTTAGTATGTACCAGGTACTGTATTATTTACTTTATAATGTGCCTCTTTAATCCTCACAAAAAGCATACCATTAGGTACTATTAGGTAGTAGGTACTATTAGTACTACCACATTGATTAAAAATGTAAAACTGAAGTTTTCCCATAGCAAGTGATAAAAGAGATACAAAATCAGATGTTTTGCTTCTCAGCCTTATGCTCCTAAAATTTTGCTCTAAGTTCACCCACTTGATCACTTTGATTTCCAACCTTCCCTTGACTTTCCAGCTGAAAATGGTCCACTGCATTTCTATTTTCTGGGTGCCAAACTACTGTTCCTCCTGCCTTCCTCTGCCAACAAGTCACAATTACAACAATACTTCAAGTTGTGCTTTGGGAATTTGAAACATTTCTTCACTTTGAGCACATTCTTCAAAACATGTCATGTTTTGGATATCTAGCTAATACATCTTTCCACAAAAATTCAGATCAGAGAAGCCACATTCTATCAAGCATCTTAATAGACTAAGGAATTGGAGCATGTGTTCATTTAAAGGAAGAACATAGCATTCCATTCATTAGTAACATGTGTAGATATTCATTATGTATACAATGGGAATTGACAGATAGGAGAGAGAAATAAAGAATTTGTTGAAAGGATATCACAAATTTCTTCACTGATTCATTTATTCAACAAGCTTTTTCAGTATATTTGATAGCCAGTGCTAGGTGTTATGGATTATTAATGGGAAGATCAGAAAAAAGTATAAGGAAACCACAAAAGAGGCTAAGAAATCCAACCTATTCCTCCAGTCTTTCAGATGTCCCTGTATTTCATGCAGGTAGTACATGCTTGAGGCTACTGATGAATAGTTTGCTTCACAATATTATGTAGCAATAAAAACTACTTTTAAACTAAGTGAATCTCTATTCTGAGTAACCTAGTGCGTTTTATTGCTCATGTCAGAGTCTAGCTTTCTAAAATTCTTATATGTTTGGTTGAAAGCATTTCAGTATTCCAGGATATTAAGAAGAATGTATGCCATTTATATTATTTTAACGCTTTAAAATGGGAATATGGACTAATAATTACTTAATATCTCTTCAATACGATGGTTTAATACAGCTGCCAACATGTCACAATAATTCACAAAATCATTGCAAATCAAAAACTCAGATTCAGAGATGGTTAAAACAATCACTATAAACAACGAATCAGAACATACTAATGAATGCAGAAACTCTGCTTTATATTAAAATATTATCAACTTCATTCTAAACAACGAGAAATATTGTAGACTTGAAACAAAAAGAATAAAAAATGTAAAGAGAGTTTACAGGCAAGTTACAAAAATAATTACAGGTTTAGAAATTCTCTATCTTGGGAAAGATTCTGTGAGCTGAAATTTTTCAATCTGAAGAACCAAAGGTTGAAAAATTATTTATCGTTTTCAAGTACGCGATATTTAAAACAAAGGATTCAGCAACTATTTACTAATTCCTAAATGACAGATTCAGCAGATATATAAATACATCCACAGCATTGGCCTCATCATCCTTTTTATCAGCATAGAATTTTGTCCAAATCCAGTTTCTTTCTACTATATGACACATTCATAGACCAACTTCATGAGCTCAGCAGTGAAGGCAAAACAATGTTGAATATGTCAGATGACTGCAAGGAAGCCACTCTGATGGGAGCAGCAGGGTTGAAGGCAGGATGGCAGAGTGATGCCAGATCACGGAGAACTTTTTACATCCAGGAAGCCCAGACTTGAGCAGCAAATGTAGTTTAATAAATAAGTGAATTCGGAAAGGGAAAGAGGATAGTGCACTCAACCAGAAAGATGGTTGTAGCTGTCCCACTTTGCCGTAATTGCAAAGTAGCAGTCCAACAGCTGACGCTGGACTTCCAACAGGGTTAATTTAAAATACAAGGTACTTTTAAAATTTTAAATCTTTGTCAACATTTAGAAATTAGAAATAAATATACCTAAATTTCTGCCTTCTTTCAAGATTCTGACCACTTGATAATATTGTCTATTGATTTCTTGTCATTCTGAAAAGACAACCAGCGTCTGTCTTTTACAAATTGGGGATAAACTAAATCTAGCGTCTCCATTCTGACAGGCGGCTCTCTAATCTCTCCTGCCTGGCACCTGAGGGCGTTTGAGTTTGTAATCTATGTTTAGAATCTATTAGATTTGCCTTAAATTTTAGAAGGAACAGCTTTGACACTGATATTTTAAAATCATTTAATTGGATCACCAAGGGAGAATTATTTGCGTTTGCTTATTATGATGATCAAAAGATAGCACAATAGGATTTTGAATGACTGCTATTTTCATTTCTTCAATAGAAAAATATTGCTTTTAAAACACTCAGAATAATGGTCACCTGTGGAGAAAGAGGAAAGGGAAAGGGATGAAAGATAAGTTTTAAGCTATATGTTATGATATTTATTATTACATTAAGTCAAGCATATGTGAGAGAATTTTATATCAATTTAATTTGCTGATTTGCTACACAAGAGACATTTTATTACATTTTTTACTTTAAAAAAGATTTCAAAATGTGATGGATGGATATACAGACAGATAGAGATAGGTAGATAGATAGAATTCTGAAAATGTATTTCTAAACTCCCTTAATATATTATCTCTCAGCGGAAAAATGATCAGCTGGAATTAGCGAAATCATTGTGTGTTTTCTCAACAATTACATGTTCAAATGCTTAGAAATGCTTTCAATTGATTTTTTTATTTTAAAGTGATTTTACTTGTATTTTATTTTTAACTGACAAAATAATTATATATATATTTATGGGGTACAATGTGATGTTTTGATACATGTACACAGTGTGGAATGATTAAATCACGGTAATTAACATATCCCATATTCAACACATACTTATTTTTTATGGTGAGAACATTTAAAATTTACTCTTTTAATAATTTGAAATACATAATACGTTATTATTAACTATGTAGTGACCATGCTGTGCAGATTACTATTGCATGCTGTGCAGTGGATCATCTAATATGATCCAGCAATCCCACTTCTTGGTATATATCTAAAGGAACTGAAATCAGTATGTTGAAGAGATATCTGCACTCCCATGGTCATTGCAGCTTTATTTACGAGGGTCAAGATACGGAATAAACCTGAGTGTCAATGGATGAATGGAAAAAGAAAACGTTATATATATTTTTATATATATATATATATGTATATATATAACCATATGATGTCACTTACATGTGGAATCTTAGTCAAACTCATAGAAGTAGAGAGTGGAATGGTGATTACTAGGGTCTGGGGAGGCAGGTGGGAAGAACAGAGAAAACGGAAATGATGATCAAAGAGCACAAAGTTAGTTTCACTTGATTTTTTACAATCTAAAAAAGAAGTATCATTTTATATTTATAGCAAGTTAGCAAATACATTTGGTTGTTTTGGGTTTTTGTTTTTTGTTTTTTTGAGACAGGTTCTCACTCTGTCATCCATGCTGGAGTGCAGCAGGGTGATGATGGCTCACTGCAGCCTCAAGCTCTCAGGCTCTGATCTCCCTCCCTGGCTCAAGCAATCCTCCCACCTCAGCCTCCTAGGTAGCTGGGACTACGGGCACGTGCCATCACACTGACTAATTTTTTTATCTTTTGTAGAGATGGGGGTCCCACTATGTTGCCCAGGCTAGTCTTGATCTCCTGGGCTCAAGCCATCCTCCTACCTCAGCCTCACAAAATGCTGGAATTACAGGCATGAGCCACTACGACTGGCCAAAAACATCTTATTTTTTTAAAATGTGCTTTCTCATACATAGCTGTGGAATTTTATTTTCTGGAATTCAAATATTTACAAAAACTATAGCTTCTTATATTTAGGAATTCATTCAAATACTACACAGTCTATTTTCTTTTTTTTTTAAATGTAAAATCTTCAGTAGCAGCAAACCCTCCGCTGCTTCTCTTAAGTTTGTCATCAAGGCCATGTTTCCTGACTTTTGATAGTCTAATATTATGTCCATCATGAATACTTTATTTCGGTCCATAGTTTAATGATTAAAACATTTTTAAATAACCAAAGTCCAATTTAAAGCTTACTTCAAATACTACTGGACTTACTTTTCTTAAGTTTAACTCTTATTCCAAATATTAAGAATAATTTTAAATAACTTACCATAGATATATATATCAAGAGAGAGATGTTTAATCTAAAACTCTGAACTCAGAGAACAACTAATTTCAGCTTTGGAATTCATCCTGATCAAAATATATCTTTTGAGGTCAATTTGCTATTCCAGACTAAGAGAAAAGGAACACAAAATAAAAACCATGAATTATCGTTTAAGCTATGAGGACCCCAGAAGAAAGTGAACATTCTCATATATATATATATATTCTCATATATACTCATATATATTCTCATATATATACTCATATATATACTCATATATATATACTCATATATCTATTATATATATATAATATATATTATATATATATAATAGATATTATATATATATAATATATATATTATATATATTATATATATATAATATATATATTATATATATATACACATGAGCTTTTACCAAGTAAAAATGCTCATATATATATATATATATGAGCTTTTACCAAGTATATAATGGGAAAAAGTACTGGACTTGAGTCCCAAGAGATAGACTTTAACCCTACCTCTCTCACTGACTGTGGGACCATAGTTATTGGATAGTTGCTGGATTACAGTCACTGAGTCACTGTACATCTGTTTCCTCATTGATTAAAACAAGCTCCTAACATCTACCTACATGTTCGGCATGTGCTAGACATTTACCAAATGTTTAGGGAATCTAAATCTATTCAAAAGGAAGCTACTTGTGAGACTCAAGGAAAACCATGTGAAGCCCAAGTCTGTAACAAACGTTCCCTAGTAAATAATCCACAAACCATGGGAAAAGATAGTAAAGACTTACCATAAATTTTCCCAATATCCAGAGTCAGTCTCCTCATTTCAATTAATAAGTAGCATCAAGTTAATAGGAAAAGTTGTTTGGTTTTTAATTAAACACCAATAAGCAAAACAATCTGTGGAGGTAAAAAATTATAACACATTTAAATTTTCATATTCCTTGTTATGGTGAAAAGCATACCCCCTCCAAAAATAATTATCACATAGATCTATTTTAGAAAAGATACTGAGAAGCAATATAGAAAAATTTTAAGCACAATATTTCAAGTCAGAATTATGCAGGAAGCCTGAACAATTTTGTAAAATATTTTACAAGGAAATGTAGGGCAATATCAATAACAGGAGAGACATACAATTAACTAGGGAGGAAAAAAGGAGAGAGGGTGAAATTTAGGAAAATAGACCTAACATCTAAAACCCCAAGAGCTATAATATGGTAAACAAAGACAAGTATGCTGATGCTATAAGATGGCATCTTTCTAAAATATTGAAATGTAACTTAGGATATAATTAATTCATTCATACATTTATTCATTCAACAAATAGTTCTTGATTGCTTAATATAGTTCAGGCATTATTCTAGACACTTGGGACACAGGGATATGGGAATTGTCTTGGGCAGTGAGTATTAAAATTGGCGGCCGGGCGCAGTGGCTCACGCCTGTAATCCCAGCACTTTCGGAGGCCGAGGCGGGTGGATCACGAAGTCAGGAGATCGAGACCATCCTGGCTAACACGGTGAAACCCTGTCTCTACTAAAAAATACAAAAATTAGCCGGGCGCGGTGGCGGGAGCCTGTAGTCCCAGCGACTCGAGTGGCTGAGGCAGGAGAATGGCGTGAACCCGGGAGGCGGAGCTTGCAGTGAGCCGAGATCACGCCACTGCACTCCAGCCTGGGCGAAAGAGCGAGATTCTGTCTCGAAAAAAAAATAAAAATAAAAAAATAAAATAAAATTGGCATCAATCCTAGGGAGAGAGACTGGGAAATCAGGAACTTATGAACTTGAAGCTAAAGGTAGCAGCATCTTCAAAGCCAAATTACTAAGAGCTCTAGTATCCTCTGTATTCCTCAGTATGGTTGTGTTCTGGGATATTCCAAGTGACATTTACCTACATTTGAACATATTTTAAAGTAGAAACAGACCTCCTTGTAGTTAGTAAAGTGATAGAATTAGTGAGTAATCAATGAGAAATCCCAAGAGAAGGTAAGTCATAGATTCAGGTTCTATGCTTCATGGTCCAGCTATCAGGACTCCACATCCCCACTTCTATACCCTGTCAAACACATTCTTCTTCCCAGTCCATTTCCTTCAGACATGCTATCCTTTGATTATACAAAGAATTGATTTCTACAATTGTTTATTTTGTAGAAAATAAATTATCTTCTGTTTTTCTGTCTTAATTTTTAACTAGTTAACTCTTTAATATTTCTCCTTGAATATAAAACCAATCAAATTGCTTTAACTTTTACAGCCCTCTGAGGGGAACCACAGAGTTTTGAGAGCCCACAATTCCTGACCTACAATAAACTTATCTATTTATCACTGACTCATGTATTTCCCAGAATTTCATGAAGCCTTCTTGAAGCAATCAATAAATAACTAATTCATATTAGTTCTATCTCCTGTTTCTTGGAAGTATCCTACATTTGTTTCTATCCCCTTCTGATTATTTCTGTTTTCCTGCTAGTTTTTTTTTCCATCTGCTCTAAGAATATCTTTCTTGTAACCATTTTTTAAAAGAATTATAAAAAGAGGGTGCTGAAAATGAAATCTTGGCATTAGATTTCATTCTCAGCACACTTCTTTTTATAATTTACACATCCACACACTATCATAATATGATAGCCTCAACAAACCTCTACATGCTGATGACTTCCCATTTTTTAAGAAAATATACAAGATGAGTCTAGAGCATCTTGGGGTACCAGAAAGTAAAGGAAGGGACATGTGAAAAAGACAAAGAAGCTATTCTGAAAGAACATCCAGTGGCTAAAGCTAAACCAATTATAGCAGTAAAATAATGTAATATAAAATATTATGTTGCAAAGTATAAAATATTTTATCCATGTGTCCATGTTCATACATATAAATGATTAAATAAATAAGGAAAATACAGTTCAATTGGGATATTTAGAGCAAAAACAGATCCCTGGGTGTCCCCTAATGATTGGAATTGGATCAGTGGTATGAAAGTCTACTGTCTATTACCGACAACTGGTCAGGGCCTTGGCAAACTAATGGATTCTAAAACTTTCAGGATTGTCTCTGACATCACCCCGGGTCCATTTTCCCTATCTATTTGTCCTCTAGGATAAATAGATCGGTACATAATTTAACTCAAGAAGAAGAAAACCCAGCCCTGATTCAAGAACTAAAATGCAAACTATGCTACAATTCTGGATTTCTTCTCTCCTCTGGCTTCTTTATGTTGTTTTACAAGAGACCTGAAAAGTAGGGAGAATCCTATCTGCCATCGTTGAGATATTCTCATCTCATTCTCAATGATAGATGAAATGCTGCTAAAGCCAGAGAACTCCACAACCAAAAGGCTCGTGAAATTGGACATTGGTCGCTTGGGATAGAGCTGAATTAGAGATAATACTGGACTCCTGAGGAGCACTGGGTGCTGTTTTAGGGCAAGGACTTTGGACTTTGAACATCCTTGCAAGCCTCTCTGAGATTCTTTAAATATTACTAAGAATATCTGGGAAGTAAACAAAGAACAATAACTTCCTTGTTTATAAATATGTGAAAAAAGAGGACTTCTCACCTTTGGTGAGCTGCCTTGAGTATGCCTAATACTTCACTTGACAATTTCTGAATTAGAAGCCTCTATTCCCAAGTGCTTAGTAATTAGATACAAAATTGATGAAGGAATCAGTATGTAAAAAAATTGCATATGTTACCATTTACTGTCAAAATGGTTATTACCTTCATTTCCCCAGACTATTATAAACACTGAAGAGAATTTTCAGCCCAAAATATGTATTGTTTAAAATCTGAGCTCAGCTTTACAATTGAATTCTAAAGCTGAACTTATGAAGCTTGAACCCACCAACTATAAGAAATTTTGGTTGACTTTCCATAGAAGCAGCTGAGGAAATGGTCTCAGTGATTAACCCACTCTGCTTTAAAATTGGCTGACTTGGCTGATAAAATGGGATCTTCAAAAGATGTCTGGTTTAGAAGTCACATATCATTTAATTATGGCATATGACTTTACACCCTGTGTCTGGTAGCAGCAAATCAACTGATTTGCTGCCATAAACAACAATGCAATGGCAATAAAACCTCAAATTACCTGGATGATTTACTAGTTAGACTAAAAGCTTTTAACAGTCATGGCCTAATGTGCTAACCACTCTACACATCAGCTACTAATTGTAAAAAGGAAAATTGTGTCTGTGAGTTAAGAAAAGCCACTGTAATTAAGCAATGTATAGTTTCGGTAGAGGAAAAATTAAAAGATACATTCTAGGATGACTTCTGTAATTTACCCGATCCCAAGAATCACCTAGGACCCTTATTTAAGATAGAGATTCACTTAGAAAATCTCCTGACAGGCTGGTTGGGTTGGGACCAGGATATTTTTAGCAAGTGTGCCAGGTGATTTTATTATGAAAAAAGTTTGAAAAATACTTCTCGAGTATACTGTCTATTTTTCTATTAATTTCTCAAATTGCTAATTTTTAATTTCTCTACCTCTTCATGTTGCTCACACTACCCTGGTTCACTAGGCTGAACACCTAGGGCCTCCACTTTAGTTTATGCCTGAAGCTCCTGGCATTTTGAAAGACCAAAATAACCTCCAAACTAATAATCCTCTCTCTAGGCTCTCATGCAGATGCCAGACTAATCTTCCAAAAATACTTCTATAATTATGTTAATCCCTTGATAAAGAAAATATTTAAGAATACAGCCAGTAAGAGTGCAGGCTTTGGGGTAGATTTCCTGGGTTTGAATCTTAGTTTCACCGTTGACTTACTAGTACTGCAAGGATGGCAAGATATTTAACCTCTGAGTTCTGCTGTCTTCACCTATAAAATGCAGATAGCAGTGGTGCACAACCCTTAAAACTGTACTGCTGATTACATGAAATAATCTATGAGTATTGCCCCAGGTTCTGACACAGACTAAGTAGTCAATAAATATAAGCTATTATTATTATGTACGGATAACAATAGCTTGCTCTTTTTCTTATTCCTTATATGTGATTCCCTAGTCAGTCAGAGGTATCTACTTTGCCTTCATGAAATCAGAATTATGAAGCAGGAATAAAAATTAAAAGAAACTGCTAGTGATCAATTATTGTTCTCGTTGCTATTTATTTGACTTAAAATAGACTCCTGGCCGGGCGCGGTGGCTCACGCCTGTAATCCCAGCACTTTGGGAGGCCGAGGCGGGCGGATCAAGAGGTTAGGAGATCGAGACCATCCTGGCTAACACGGTGAAACCCCGTCTCTACTAAAAATACAAAAACTTAGCCGGGCGTGGTGGTGGGCGCCTGTAGTCCCAGCTACTCAGGAGGCTGAGGCAGGAGAATGGCGTGAACCCAGGAGGCGGAGCTTGCAGTGAGCCCAGATAGCGCCACTGCACTCCAGCCTGGGCGACAGAGTGAGACTCCGTCTCAAAAAAACAAGAAACAAAAATAGACTCTTGCCCAGGCACAGTGTCTCACGTCTGTTATCCCAGCACTTTGGGAGGCCAAGGCAGGAGGATCCCTTGTGCCCAGGAGTTTTAGGCCAGCCCTGGCAACACAGACTCCATCTCTACAAAAATTAAAAATAAAATTATAATTATAAAACAGATTCTTGAACCCATGTAAAAAACAAAAACAATGTTTTCAATGTGCAGGAACCAAGATTATTGAGGAAAGAAAAGACTCCTGAGAATCAGAAAGTAAGATCTTGAAAGAATGAGAGCACAGAGTCCAATGTCATAAAAACAGATTTTTAAAAGACTAGAGGGGGACAGGCACGGTGGCTCACGCCTGTAATCCCAGCACTTTGGGAGGCTGAGGTGGGTGGATCACGAGGTCAGGAAATCGAGACCATCCTGGCTAACATGGTGAAACCCTATCTCTACTAAAAATACAAAAAATGAGCCGGGCGTGGTGGCGGGCGCCTGTAGTCCCAGCTACTCGGGAGGCTGAGGCAGGAGAATGGCGTGAACCCGGGAGGCGGAGCTTGCAGTGAGCCAAGATCGCGCCGTTGCACTCTGGCCTGGGGCACAGAGCCAGACCCCGTCTCAAAAAAAAAAAAAAAGACTAGAGGGAAACCCCGACTCTCCTACTCAGGCAAGAATATGTGAGAATCAACTGGACTCAGGAGAAAGGAGAATTCAATGGAATAGGAATTTGTAGGATATCTGTGGAGCTTGAATGAGATGCCAAAGACAAGACGTGGGGACTCCAGGGAGGGGAGGGGAGTCACATCTAGAGCCTGCTGAGCATTGTCAGATCAGCAATAGGGTTAGGCAGGAGGGAGCCAGGCAAGCCGACTGTCCATCCATCCCTGTGATAAGTAGCCCTGCTAGCTGTGCCTTTGTAGCTGCCTGGTGGGAGCCTTCTAGCAGCAAAAGTCTGTCTGTCTCCCACAGAACTGTTGGTGGAAACATCTTCCCACAGCTAGGAATTTGCTGCGCTTCATCCAAACTCTATGTAGACTAACATTTTTCAACAGTCTATAACTTTCATAAGCTTTCCAAAACAAAAGGTTGAGTCCTCAGAAAAGGGGTAGAATAGAAAAGAAATGCTAAACAATTATGCTTGAGCTAACAATAGTAAAACCTACACTAATTACATTTTATTATTACAACAATTGTTTATTGCCTCTTATGCCCTGTCTAGCCCAAGACCTCCATAATCAGGACTCTAGGGTCAACTATATTTCCCTCTCCTCTCTCAGCGTAAGTCATCCAACCAAATCCAATCATTCTCTTAATGTCTATATACCACACTAATGCCCACTGATGTCTCTGATTTTGCTTACATGATTTCTGCTATTGCTTCTTTGTCTATTCAAAACCTACTCATTTTCATTGTCCAGCTTAAATCCAATTTTCTCCACAAATTTTCTAGAACCAGCCCAATCAACTCACCCATCTCAAAGCCACTATTATTTAAGCCCTTAAGTATATATTGCCTTGTATCAGTCCCTCTTTGTATCTTTGTATTTTGTGCATTTTTCTCACCTCTTCAAATAGGTTAGAGATTCATAGTTGTTAAAGACTTACTTTTCCTGTGTATGACACACAATGCAATTCCAAATTTTGAGTCATATTGTAGGTGCCAAATAAATATCTGATCATTAATTGAGAAGATGTTCTAAACATTGTAGGTTCATAAACCACGTGAAATATTTATTTACCTGTATACTAGCTATACGTTTCAAAACTGATGCATAAAATTATATCAACAGACTTTTGATGAGAACTAAAAGGTACAAATGCTAAATTTTATGAAGGAAAGAAAGAATCTGTAAATCCAATATATTTCTGTGTTTTGTATCACAATGTGTTACCTATGTTTTTCACTTTTCTTTCCATAGGGAAAAATCAGCAGAGGTGTTTAAAAAGAAGCTAAAAGAATTTTCTGACCTACAAAACTCCCTATTAGCCTCTCTATTATTCTAACCCATCCTTTATTCTATTCTTGGTACCACAGAGTCTTAACATACTAAACTTTTCATAAAATATTATGAAAATTAACATAAAAATACTAATAAAATAAGATTTAGTAATATATGCTACCAATGTGTTTTCCAGGGTTAATATCTGATTCCATTTATATATTAGACATACCTTTGTGGGTAAGTCAATGACCAGGGAAATAAAGGAGATCTTAATCCAGTTCTTCTTTCACAGGTTTTATTTTTATTTTCCTACTTCTGAACAAAGATAAACTTTTCTAGAATTCCTCTGCAAACTCCATCTCATTTTCCCTTCTTCATGTCCTCTACCCCAAATACGAAGAGGAAAATGAATGTGGTAGTTATAATTGTGCTTGCTCTGTGTTGCGGATTTGATTCCAGGGTTCCCATTCCCACCTGTCCTGGTTGTCCAGGCTTACCTAATTCTAATGGTAAGATTGTTGCCATTGGTCAGGAGTATGGAATATTTTAGTAACGTCAATCTCTTTAAATGTACCCAAATCAAGCCAACTACATATAGTTTTTCCAAGGAAAATCAGGCAAGCTTATGTAATCTGTTAATATGTGTTGTAATGTCAGAATACCTCACAAGAAGGTAGACTTTCAATGATAGAGAACTTTGTTTCAACTGTGCTTTGACCATAGTAGTGTCAAAATACAAACACACACACTGTGGCAGCCATGGAGATGTGCTACTCATATCTGTCTTCAAGAAAAAACTTCTTTTTCAGCTTCAAGAAATGCAGTTACTGACAGCTCCCAGCTGTTATTGCCTTCAGTGTCTACCTCGGCTTTCCAGCAGAGGCCACGCTCTTCCCCCACACCCCCCAGCCAATGACTGAGTGTGCTGCAGGTACCAGGACCTAGTCATTTCTGCCAACTGTCAGACTCCCAGCAGGCCTCTTTGATCTGGAGCCCCCTGTTGGTTTGTCGGATACTGACTCGCATCTGCATCGCAGACTGAGGCTCTTCCTGCCCCATCTCGCTCCCCTTCCTCCGGTTTCCTTTTCAGGTGTAAAATTGGCTTCCTCCTCCCTTTGTCTTTCATGGGCATTACCTCCAATAAACTTCTTGGACTGCTAATTGTCTCTCAGCATCTTCTCCTTCAGAGGACCCCAACTGGTGCACACACCAGTATTTTACATTTTACCTTGTAATACTTGAGTTAAAAATAAGTGTGTATAGTATTTATTTTTACACACACACATTTACACATAATCTCATGTACAGCATGAAGCAAATTGAGTATTCTTCAGTTTTTAGGGCAATCTAACTCATCTCAAACTTTATGTAAGTTGCTCCTAAATTTATGACTCTTTTGTTAGGAAAGAAATTATGTCACCTCAACAGAAACTGGATCACAGTGTTCAGATCTGGATAAAGGAAGCACAATAAGCAAACACCTTGCGTTACACAGAAGAAGGTCTGCAGAGTGTTATTTCTTGTAATCACTAGCTATTTTTAGAAGGTTTTTGTTGTTGTGTTTTTGTTTTCATTTTTGTAGGTAAATACAATGCAGTAGATTTTCCTTAGGTTCGTAATAAAATATATATATATATATATTTATTCCCACAGGTCCCTACTGGGAAAATTATACTTTTTGCTCTGAGTCATAGCCATTGTTATTATGAGAAAACTGAAATATACAATATTAAGACAGTTCTGTTCTTTATAAATAGCAATTATTAAAAATGACATGGGAGAATTATGCACTGAACAGAGATCTTGATTAGAAATAGCTATTTTAAATAGAGTGATCAAACTAGATATTTTAAATAGGATGATCAGGGTAGGTGATGAGGAGAAATGTAGTCAAATGAATGTTGTCCTTCAAAGCAGTCATTTTGGGAAAATATAAGTCATTCTGATGAAGCAATTTTTGATGATATAGTTTTGCATGTCACTTTGGGAATTATCACTCAGTTTACAAAATGTTCAAGACAACAAGTAACATTACTATATATTCTCACATTTTTTAAAAAATTCTCAAATATCTGCTATTCTCAAATATCTATTATCATAACAGTTTTTTTGGAGTAGCTCCTAAGTATTTTCAAAAATGAAATACTCCTTCAAAGGGTAAAGATATGCCACATTGGAAGACATGTTTAAAATACACAGTTTCCAAAACAAATCTTAGAAGAGGAATTTCAGAAGTTTCAAACAATGGCAAAATCACTTAAATGAGCTAATAGTTCCCAATTATAAAATTTGAAGGGACGACCTGTATGGATTTTTCCTCTGCTAAAATGTAATCTTCTTAACTCTTAGTGATGAACCATTTATCTTCAGACTCCACTCAAAATATTTAGAGTGCAATTTTTCCAAAATACTGTTATTCAGAAGATACCTAAGCCCTTGAATTTATAAACAACAGTCTATGAACCTGTGCCAAATTTTGTCCTTTCTTAGAAGTAACATTTTTTTAAGATTCCCTCTATCACTGGGCTAACACAGGATTAGATTGTCAAAACAGACTAACATGAATCAGAGGCTTTAACTAGTACCTCAATCTACTAAGTAATTTCAAATAAAAGGATCAGACAAGCAGGGAAAGGACTGGGATGTCAAGAGTAGCTCCCGAAGCCCTTCTTTGCTGGGTCTGGAATACCCTTCTTGTTAAGAAGGGATGAGGTCTCTAATGGAGGCTCAGAGGATTTCATAGCTTAAGAGACATTCTCCAAGCATGAAGCTCATCATCCTAGTTTTGTTTGCCACAGGTAATGCTTAGCCTGACATAATACTGAGGGCATTTTAGAGATAAGACTTTTCCTTCTACCAAATATCATCAATCTTTTTTCCCTAGAGTCTAGTCCATGAAAAGAAGCTCCCTTAACTCCTTCTTCCTGATTACTTAGCATAATGTTAAGGGAGGGAAGAAAAAAAAAATAAAAGAAAACTCTTGAAATACAATCTTCCCATGGTGTTACCAGATCTTGAGGTATGTGATGGTAAAAAAAAAAATAAAATAAAATAAAATTGATACATATCAGTTAACCAAAGATGGCAGGGAGAAACTCTGTGATTACCGTGGTCTGGTAACTAAAAATCACTGTCTGAGTATCTGAGTACATAAACCAATAATTTGTTAATAATCTATGATAGACTGTGGTTCATAAACAAAAATGTCAGCATAATATGTCTGGATGTCAACATGTGTCAATAAAAGCTTTTATAGCAACGTCTATTCTTATAGCCATACTGGATATTAATAAGAAATAGGAAGTTATTTATCTCATTGAAATCTTGTGAAATTTCTTGCAATGACTTTCAAGTTCCCATAAGATCTATTCAGACAACACCCAAAATTGTTCTTTCTCTGACTTTATTTCACTTATTCTATTCTGGCCACATGTACCTCAAGCCTCTTGCACTGCCTGCTTCCCTCCACATAAACTGCTCTTCCTCTGAACATGTGCACAGACATTCCCTCAGGCATTTTTCAGATGAAATTTTCTCAATGGACCTAATCTTATCATGTTTCTTAAAATAGTAACCCATTCCCATTCTCAATTTCACTTAACTCTGCTTTACTTTTTTGTGCATTGTACTTAATACCTTCTACTATATCTTAAAATTAACTCACTCATTTTATTTTTTGCCTCCATCAATAAAAGGTAAGTTCCAAAGGGACAAAGGTTGTTGTCAGTTTTATGTATTTTTATATATATATAAATTTATGTATTATATTACATATTATATTTTTATATATTATATATATAAATACATATATATATATCAGACACTTGAGACAGTTTCTGGCAATAATAGGTGCTCAATAAATACTTCTTGAATGAATGAATATGTCTAAAGACAACAATAATGCAATAAACACAGAGATTAAAAAAGGAAGCACTGAAGAATTTTGAATCTAGTTGAGCAGATATAAGAATATGAAATGTTCAGTAATTAACTAAATTTAAAATCATATAGAAGAGAGTTTAGAAGTCAAGGGTTCAATGCATTCATCTCAATCTATTTGTGATAAAATAAGGCCGCTTAGAATGAAAAGTAATAGGTAAGCCATGTGAGTGTTTTGGCTTGGTTCTAAATCCAAGCTCTACCACTTATTATCTAGGTGAACTTGATGAATCCCTTCGATTTATCTTATCCTTGGCTAATTTACCTATAAAATAGGACAATAATGCCTGTTTTACAGGTTTCTTGGGGCTGCTCAGATGAGATAGTTCATATAAAGTATTGATCCTATCAAATGATTTAATAAAATGGTGACATTATTAAGATTTTTGGAGAGAAATACAGAGGGAAAAGATCTCACTATCAAAAAATATATAGCCTTTTTAAATGCAACAAGGAGGGTCACACATTTTATAGTATGACTTATTTATAAAGAGTTGTAACTCCTTTATTTTGTTCATAAATAATCTCTCCACAAAATAGAAACTCAACTACATTTGTAGTTTAAATTTAGTCCCACACCATAAATTAAAAGGCCATGCAATTTCTATTAACATTTTTATTAATACAAATATTTCATATCCCATATAGCCACCATATTTTCTGTTTCTCTCTCTAACATTGAGGGATATAAAGGGAAAAATGTATGGCTTACATATCCTTGGGTCACAAACAAGCAAGGATATCCCTTATTTCATGCAGACACTCTTGGGGCAATGTCCTTTTTAATCTGGTCACTGCAGCTCTAATGGCTTCTGATAACCCAGGCTCCCCTTGGAATCCTCATGGTTGGTTCTTGGCTTGTGCTCTCATCATAGACCACTGACCCTTGAGTGTTTACCATCTACTCCATCCAGCCTCCTAGCCTGGAATTTTCCACCTGCCTCTGCTAAGGGGTCACCTAAACTCACCAGAAGCTTCCTGATACAAAGCCAGCTGACATAACACACAGAGAGTTAACTGGGTACTCACTCTATCAGACTGTACCACTGTCCTCTAAAGTGAGTTTGTTATACCTTCTTCGTACAAAGTAAGTTAACCATATACACTATATCAGTTTGTCTAAAAAATGCTGGGTTTTATGATCTGGCCCAGTATGATTTCTTTTACTCTCAAAAATATTGCATTCTGGACAGCATACTGGATTGTCACCCAATAAATGGGTAAGCAGTAAAAAGGTCCTTCTCTTGCCATCCCACTTATTTATCTAAAATACCTGTGCCCGGCACCACCCCTTGAAAGACAAAAGCACAGAGAAGGAAATTAAGATGCAAAAACTGGACTGTTTAACTTGCCTCCCTGAGGTCCTCCTCTTCTCCCCTCCCTCTTCCAGACTCCAATCTCCTGCTGAGGTTTTATGACAAACGAAAGTATTTCTTCCACATTTCAGAAGACATCTATGAGCTAAGTCCTTCAGGCTGGATTGCTGGTATAATAATGAAGTAGGTAAACAAATGTTGCTTAATTCCTTCTGTAAACAATAGACTTGCAAAGTCTGTACTATTGCATAATCCTGTTTTTGCATGTGAAAAGCTAACATTTGGCTGTGTGCCTTGCTTTGCCAGGGCTTACTCTGCCCACTGGGTCATATTCCAGGGGCTAAGACTATAATACCTGCGTTACCCACCTTAAAGAGTTCCCTTTTATTAATTTCCTCTTAATGACCTTTTCAATCTTAGATCAATCCAACTGAGATCTCTTTCAAAAAGATTAACTTCAATTACTTAAATCCCAAAGGCAAGAAAGAGTGCTCCCTACATTATAAAGTGAATATGTATTAATGGAAAGATGAAACCAGAACTGAATAGGAGTAAAATTATAAAGAAAGCAACAGTTTGTCTCCAGATTGCTTACACATTTCTGGTCAGCATCTTCCTCAACACTGAGGCATGTTCATTTCCAAATGTCCTTCCTACCATTCCTCAGACAGGTTATTCTTTTTCTTAAGCCATGTATTTTGTTCTTGAAAAATATTCTTGGGTGCCATTTTATCTTTTACTAATATCTGCTCCCCCAAAAAGAAATAACTGGGGAAAATCTAACAAAATAACACAGTCTATGTACAGTATACTAAAAGACCAAGAGAAATATATAATTTTAATAAAAGACAACATAGGGATTTTAGAAATTTATTTTTAAAAATCTGGTTTCTTAGAAAATTGGTTTTGCAAATATAGTCCACTTGAATAATCTTTCTCTAAGAGGCAGAAATCCAGGGGCCTTGGGCATTTCTGTAAAAAGATTTTATCTGCACAACACCTTCACAAATCACACAAACATAACACACACATACACATACACAAAGTTACATAATTACATATCTTTATGCACAAAAAAGTGAGCTGAGTTCTGTGTGTTCTATGTGCCAAGCATTGTGATTACATACATTGATAGATCTAGATATGAGTCAAAACAATAAGAAATTAATAATAATTATTAACATTTTCCAACCACTTAACATGCTTAGCATGGTCATGATATACTTTTATGAGGTGATGTCATTGCATTTTTATAACAAATCTGTGGGATAGGTACCACTGCTATTTATACTTGATGAATGAGGATAAAAAGACTGACAGAAGTTAAATAACTTGCTCAGGATCACACAGCTAATAAGTAGGCCAGCCAGGATTTAAACCCAGACTTTCTGCTTCCAGAACCTGCACTCCCCACCACTAACCTATACTGCTTACCAGAAAGGGAAAAGGAATAAGAAGCAGTCAGTCTAGGAGACAAATATCATGTGCAGGGCTAGAATGCACAGCAGGTAACACACAACCAAGATTCTGAAAGAACTTTCAGGTGAAGAAGCAAGCCTAACATAGCAGTGAAGCTACCCTTCCAGTAGTTCAGCTCTCAGCTCTCCTGTTCTTAAAGAGTCCAAGTCCTGGGTCATTGGTAATGAGAGAATATTGTGGCAGACATTGTCCTTTAGCCAACTCAGAAGTCATTTTGCAACTGCTACTTCCATTGCTGCCCACTTTAGAATTCAGAAAGCTGGATACTCACTTTCCCAGACTCACCGTAATGGGTAGCCATGTGACAGGGTTCTGACCTAAGGGCCACAAGTCGAAAAACAAATACCAGTTTAGAGTTTCCAGGAAAAAATTTATTTGTTGACAAAAAAAAAAAAAAAAAAAAGAAAAACAGAAAATGGCACATTTGCTAGCTCCCTCCAGCCTTAAACATGTGCATAAAGCCAGGAATTGCAGCAGCCACCTTAAGCCCATGAAATGATAAACCTAAAACTAAAAATTACAAGATGAGGATGGTGGAGCAGACATAACAAGGATATGGATTCTGGATGACACCAGAGAGAGGCTAACAACACCCACCATCACCTGCCTAGAGAGTTGTTATGTGAGAAAAATAAACCATATTTCATTAAGCCTCTGTTTCTAGCAGGCATAGGCCTTAATAAATTGGATCAATCTTTATTTCATTTTGTCAGACTAGGATCAACAGAGTTTCAAATAAATGATTAATACATTACTTATTATATCTGCTGCCCTCTTCCACGGGGTAGAGCATTTTGTGAGATTAAAGATATGTCAGTAAGCACAGAAAAAACTTTTGGCACTTAGAGATTCTCTTTATTTTTTACAAGTCAATCTTAGACATATTTTATGGACCTATTTGTACTTCTTCTCCCACAAAACCTTTCAATTTTTTTCCCATCATTTTAAAATTGTGAAAATCAAACAGGTTTATGCCACATTTCAAAATAAAAAGTAAGGAGTGGCTCTTTTCTTTGAAATCAAAAATAACTGAAGATGTCATGTTAAAAATTCCAAATACTTAGGTCACCATGATGATTCAGTGTTCTAGTATATAAACTATCTCATTATTACTTGCAAATATTAAGCATCTACTATGGGTTCATCCTTGGGCTAAGCCATGAATGTAATAAAAAGATTTATAGTCTGTAAAATGATTTTGCTCACTATTTTGTGGCCTCTTCATGTATGTTATATTGTCTCGTGTTAGATAGTGTGGATTTCTGGAACAAAGGTTATAAAACATCAGGAACCATAGGAGTCATCAAAGGCACTTGCTAAGGATGCAGCCTTCTAGCCTCAGCTCTAAATTCTGATTCAGTGAATCTGTGGTAGATCCAGTAATCTGCTTATTTAATAAGCACCCTGGGAAATTATAATGGAATCAGATCCACAGGGTATCATTTGAACAACTGTTCTGAAGAGCAAGAACAATCTTTCTAGTTCTCTTTGCCTAGGATGGTCCCTGATTCTTGGTTTACCAGTTGCTGATGAAAAGTGACGTAGGATTTATATTAGGTTGGTGCAAAAGTAATTGCAGTTTTTGCCATAGCTTTAAAAAAAAATGGCAAAAACCACAGTCACTTTTGCACCAACCTAATACATATAATTTTAAATAAATGAAAGTATGATGTACAGTCATCCCTCGGTATCCATGGGGGATTGGCTCCAGGACCTCTGGAGGATTCCAAATTCCACAGGCGCTCAAGTCTCTTACATAAAATGGCTGAATATTTGCATATAGCCTATGCATATCCTCCCATACACTTTATCTCATCTCTAGATTACTTGTAATACTTGAGACAATGTAAGTGCTATGTAAATAGCTGTTACACTATATTGTTTCAGGAAGAATAAAAAAAAGAAGTCTATCGTACCCATAGCCTCTTTCCTTTCAAAAGGAATGGGAACAACCTACCACCTTAAGCACTGACCTCCCTACTGAAGTCCATATTCTAGCATCCTCCCTTTCTCCTCCACAGAGATTTTCATATGTGTCTTGTGGGTTGAATGAGGTAGAGGTGCAAAATTGTTTATCAGAGAAAGGTAAACCCTTATAAACTCTAGGGAAATTATGTCAATTTTTCTTCTCTTTGATAAAACCTAGGGAAATGATGCCAATTTTTAGTTACTTGGAGGTAGCTTTTGATGCAGAAGTTTTTGCTCCTTAGTTCAGCTAAAATCAGGCTTTTGTCATGTGACCAGGAAAGATTAGGCATGCAGACACATCGAAAGGTGAGGAGAGCAGAATTTATTTTTAAAAAGCTCTCAGTGAAAAAAGAAGAGGTCCTGCTAACATACTCCCACCTCTCAGATTGAATACCAGGCCACCATACACAACTCATGTTTAAAAGAGAAAGACAGCATGAAGTTTTGGGAAATTTGCAGCCTGACCACATAGTAGAAATTAAAAACCCATTTTCTGGGAAGGAATTCAAGACAGTTGCAGAAATTTGCATAAGTAATGAGGAGCTGAATGCTAATAGCCAAGACAATGGGAAAAATATCTCCAGGGCATGTAAGAGACTTTCACAGCAGCCACTCCCATCACAGGCCCAGAGACCTAGGAGGGAAAAATGGCTTTGTGGGCCCAGGGCCCCGTTACTCTGTGAAGCCTCAGAACTTGGTGCCCTGCATCCCAGCCACTCCAGCTCCAGCCATGGCTAAAAGGGGCCAACATACAGCTCAGGCTGCTGCTTCAGATGGTGCAAGCCCCAAGCCTTGGCAGCTTCCATGTGGTGTTGGGACTGCAGGTGCACAGAAGACAAAAGTTGAGCTTTGGAAGCCTCCACCTAGAGTTGAGAGGATGTATGGAAATGCCCAGATGCCCAGGCAGAAATCTGCTTCAGGGGAGGAGCTCTCATGGAGAACCTCTACTAGGGCAATGCAGAGGGGAAATATGGGGTTGGGGCCCCCACACAGAGTCTCCACTGGAGTACTGCCTAGTGGAGCTATGAGAAGAGGGCTACCATCCTCTAGATCCCAGAATGGTAGATCCACCTACAACTTGCACTGTGCACTTGGAAAAGCTGCAGACACTCAATGCCAGCTGTACCAGCTGTACGGGCTGAACCCTGCAGAGCCTCAAGAGTGGAGCTGCCCAAGGCCTTGGGAGCCCATCCCTTGCATCAGTGTGCTCTGGATGTGAAACATAGAGTCAGAGGAGATTTTGGAGCTTTAAGATTTAATGAGACCTAGCACAGTGGCTCACACCTGTAATCTCAGCACTTTGGGAGGCTGAGGCAGGTGGATCATCTGAAGTCAGGAGTTTGAGACCAGCCTGGTCAACATGGTGAAACGCTGTCTCTACTAAAAATGCAAAAATTAGCTGGGCATGGTGGCAGGCACCTGTAATCCTGGCTACTCAGGAGTCTGAGGCAGGAGAATTGCTTTGCCCCAGGAGGCGGAGGTCGCAGTGAGATGAGATCATGCCATTGCACTCCAGTCTGGGTGACAGAGAGAGACTCCATCTCAAAAAAAAAAAAAAAAAGAAACAAAAAAAGATTTAATGAGTGCCTTGACAGGATTTGGACTTTCATGGGGCATGTGGCCCCTTTGTTTTGGCCAATTTCTCCCATTTGGAATGGGAACATTCACCCAATGCCTATACAGCCATTGTATCTTCGAAGTAACTGACTTGTTTTTTATTTTACAGGCTCATAGGTGGAAGTGACTTGCCTTGTCTCAGATAAAACTTTGGACTTGCACTTTTGAATTAATGCTGAAATGAGTTAAGACTTTGGGGGACTGTTCAGAAGACATGATTTGTTTTGAAATGTGAAAAGAGCATGAGATTTGGTAGCAGCCAGTGGTAGAATGATATGGTTAGGCTCTGTGTCCCCACCCAAATCTCATTTCGAATTGTAATCCCCACATATCAAGGAAGGGTCCTATAGGAGGTGACTGGATTATGGGGGTGGTTTCCCCCATGCTGTTTTCAGAATAGTGAGTGAATTCTCACAAGCTCTGATAGTTTAAAAGAGTTTGGTAGTTCCCCCATCCTTGCTCTCTCTCTCTCCCGCCGCCACGTAAGATGTGCCTTGCTTCCCCTTCACCTTCCGCCATGATTGTAAGTTCTCTGAGGCCTCTTCATCCACGCAGAACTGTCAGTCAATTAAACCCCTTTCCTTTATAAATTATCCAGTCCCAGGTAGTATCTTTTGTTTGTTTGTTTGTTTGAGACAGAGTTTTGTTCTTGTTACCCAGGCTGGAGTGCATTGCTGCAGCCTCAGCTCACTGTAACCTCCACTCCCCGGGTTCAAGCAATTCTCCTGCTTCAGCCACCCAAGTAGCTGGGATTACAGGCACACACCACCACTCCTGGCTAATTTTTTGTATTTAGTAGAGACGGGGTTTCACCATGCAGGTCAGGCTAGTCTCGAACACCTGACCTCAGGTGATCCACTCACCTTGGCCTCCCACAGTGCTGGGATTACAGGCATGAGCCACTGCAACTGGCCCCCAGGGAGTATCTTTATAGCAGTGTGAGAACAGACATTTCTCCATAAAAGAGAATCAGTGATTTTCCTAGCGCATATCCATGTGAATGACAAAGCTAGGCTTAACCTCTTTGCTATCTTCTTTCCTGTCTGCTATTTAAAGGTTCTAAATTGTTAATAGGTACCTCTACCTTTAGTCATGGTACTCCCAAGACCCTTATCCTTGACAATAACCAAATCTGGGACTAAATCTTCAGACACTGACAAAAGTGAAAAATCAATATCTAAATTAAAGGGAAAGCTACTTGCGTATATAAGAAAAATACAAATAAACTAGGAACATGTTTTCATGATATTCTAAGTCTACAATCACAGCTTCATAGTTGCTTTGCAAACTCTAATAGTAATCATTGTCTTCATCTTGGTGTTGCAGTATGCAAGTGTGTCTTAAACACTGTTGTGCAGCCACTATTATAACAGATGATCATTCTAACAAAAAGACCAAGAAATCTGGCCTTGACACTATTAGATATCAAAATGACTCACAACCCATTGAATACCATTATAGATCCAATTCAATCACATATCCAGAGATAATGGTTTTTCCCTTAGCTTAGGCTAAGGAGGGAGGGACACTGGAAAATAAACAGAAAAGTACAGAAAACAGAGATAGTAGAACTATACTGTGACTCTCAAAACAGTTAAACATCATTACAGGACTAACCACAGCATACAACACAGAAGACATAAGGTCACTTTAACACTTTTAACACAAACTCATACTAGACTCATATGTTTCAACAATAGAAACACTGCTCCAGTAACTTGCCTAGTTGATAAACTTGTTAACCAATCCCTGCCCAGACCACACTATAAGTATTCTTTTCAAATTTCTCCCTTTTGAGGAAAAATTTAGTCTTCCTACTGAGACTTTATGAAGGTGATGCTCTCCCTTGCCCAGGAAATTTATAGGATAAACAAGTTTTTCTAGTGTTCTAGTGCATGGGAACTTCAAAGTCTTACAAACTCATGGAATCAGGAACCAAACATTATGGGCCATTGTTATGGCCGAACTGTTTCCTGTAATTTGTATGTTGAAGTTCTAACCCCCTAGTACCTCAGAATATGACTATATTTGGAGATGGAATCTTTAAAGAGATAAGTAAATTGAAATGAGTTAATTAGGGAGGGTCTTAATCCAATATGACTGCTGTCCTTATAAGATGAGGATATTAGGATACAGACACAAACTGAGGAAAGAGACATAGAAAAGATCATCATCTACAAGCCAAGGAGAGAGGCACAAAAGAAACCAACCCTGCTGACATCTTGATCTTGGACGTCCAGTCTCCAGAATTATAAGAAAATTAATGTCTACTGTTTTTGTCCCCTAATGTGTGGCAGTTTGTTATGACAACCCTAGCTAACCAACACAGTCATGTTAAAAATTGTAGCCTCCATCCTAATTGTAATTAGAAAACATCTGCAAAGTTTCACCCTAGAAGAAGAGTGGGTAATAATCTGATCTTCAAAATATGAATTCTGAAAACATTAGTTAGACAGCAAAGTGGAAAACAGACTGGAGAGGTCTAGACTGAATTGTGTAGACCAGTTAGAAAACCATTGCAGTAGTCTAGGCAATCAGTAAATGTGTCAGGCTAAAGGTAATGGTGGTGGTGGCGGTGATGATGAGAAGGATGAGAGTAGAAAGCAGGGAGAAAAGGACAGATTTAAGAAATACAGGATAAAAACCTGATAGGATTTGGCACTGATCTCCCACAGTGTTTGTTAAGACTTAGATTCTGGTTCATTTAACAGAAAACCAAAATGGCTTAAACAAAATAGAAGTTAATTCCTATTTCATTAAAATCTAGAGATAGGTAGTACAGAAATCTAGATTTCTTCTATTGAACCTTTGATATTCTTATCTTATTACTCTTTATCCAAAATGGTAGTTCGAGCTCCAGCCACATTACACATAGCAAGCAAGAGGGTAAGAAGAAGAAAAAGTATGTGACCTCTTGCTTAAGAAAACTTGGGAAAATCCCATATATCACTTCTACTTGTATTTTATGAGTTAAAATTTAATCATATGGCCATATCTAGCTGAAAAAAGAAACCCTAGGAAATGTTGACTTATAACTGGATTCATAAGATTAGAGGTCTCTTTTTCTTTTTTTTTTTTTTTTGAGATGGAGCCTTGCCCTGTCACCCAGGCTGGAATGCAGTGGCAAAATCTTGGCTCACTGCAAGCTCTGCCTCCCAGGTTCATGCCATTCTCCTGCCTCAGCCTCCCGAGTAGCTGGGACTACAGGCACCTGCCACCATGCCTGGCTAATTTTTTGTATTTTTTAGCAGAGACGAGGTTTCACCATGTCAGCCAGGATGGTCTCCATCTCCTGACCTCGTGATCCACCCACCTTGGCCTCCCAAAGTGGATTAGAGGTCTCTTAATAAGAAGAAGTGAAGAAGGGATGTTGAGTGTGTCCCTAATGAAGAAGTCTTTGCATGACAATAATTCTGAGCAAAGCAATAAGTTATTTTTATTCCGTTCCCTGGTCACTGACTTTTACTGCCATGTAAAATAAATGGGGGTCAATGAAACACTCAGTTTAAACCAAACACTACAATATGTCAAAGTATATGCCTTATTTTGAGAAGTTAAGAGCATCATTCTTATATAAGGAAGGATATTAACAACAACAATAGACGAAGGGCCTACTAATACTTAAGTCATTGTATTAGTCGGTTTTCACGCTGCTGATAAAGATGTACTGGAGACTGAGCAATTTATAAAAGAAAGAGGTTTAATTAGACTCACAGTTCCACATGGCTGGGAAGGCCTCACAATCATGATGGTAGGCAAGGAGAAGCAAGTCACATCTTACATGGATGATGGCAGGCAAAGAGAGAGCTTGTGCGGGGATATTTCTGTTTTTAAACCATCAGACCTGTTGGGGAGATCAGTCCCAACCCCCAGCCATGGGTACCCAAAGTCCGGCAGTGACAAAGGAATGAGAAAAGACAAGTTAAGAGTAAAAGCAGGTCCAGGGGGCCATCTGCTAGAGTGAAGGCTGCAGAAGGCCCAGAACACTGGTTTCCTGAAAATTTATTGAGTACAATCTTTTTGATCTAAGAAGCAGATGGTACGGGGTGAAACGGTGAAGGTGGGGGAGCATGCGTCATTGGAAACATGTATAGCACTGGCGGTTATGTGAATTTCCTTTAAGCTCAAAGCATATGTCTAACCACTATGATAATCTTTAACTTACCAGGCTGCAGCTGGTGGGAGCTAGGATAGGATGTCTGGTCACATTCCAATGCTTCAAGGGAGTGTTTCCGCCCAGAGCATTCTGTGTAAAGCCACAGAGCAGGTCATGCTCACTGGCCTGGGGGCACAATGGCAATAATGAGATGTTTCTCCTCAGGTGCCCCCTATGGTGTTCCAGAGGTGTCCTACACAGGGGTGACTGACTAAACTGGCACCCCATAAACCCTTCCACCAGCAAGATCTCATAAGACTTATTCACTATCATCAGAACAGCATAGGAAAGACTTGCCCCCATGATTCAATTACCTCCCACCAAGTCCTTCCCACAACACATAGAAATTCAAGATGAGATTTGGGTGGGGACACAGCCAAACCATATTATTCTATCCCCTGGCCCCTCCCAAATCTCATGTCCTCACATTTCAAGACAAATCATGCCTTCCCAACAGCCCCCCAAAGTCTTAACTCATTGCAGCATTAACCCAAAAGTCCACAGTCCAAAATATCGTCTGACACAAGGCAAGTCCCTTCTGCCTATGAGCCTGTAAAATCAAAAACAAGTTAGTTACTTCCTAGGTACAATGGGTGTACAGGCATTGGGTAAATACAGCCATTCTAAATGGGAGAAATTGGCCAAAACAAAGAGGCTACAGACCCCATGCAAGCCCAAAATCCAGAAGGGCAGTCAAATCTTCAAGCTCCAAAATGATCTCCTTTTACTCCATGTCTCACACCCAGGTCACGCTGATGCAAGATGTGAGTTCTCATGGTCTTGGGCAGCTCCACCCCTGTGGCTTTGCAGGGTACTGCCTCCCTTCCAGCTGCTTTCACAGGCTGGCATTGAGTGCCTGCAGCTTTTCCAGGTGCATTGTGCAAGCTGTCAGTGGATCTATCATTCTGGGGTCTGGAGGATGGTGGCCCTCTTCTCACAGCTCCACTAGGCAGTGCCCCACTAGAGACTCTGTGTGGGGGCTCTGACCCCACATTTCCCTTCAGCACTGCCCTAGCAGAGGTTCTCCCCCTGAGGACCCCACCCCTACAGCAAACTTCTGCCTGAGCATCCAGGTGTTTCCATAAATCCTCTGAAATCTAGGCGGAGGTTCCCAAACCTCAATTCTTGACTTCTGTGCACTCACAGGCTCAACACCATGTGGAAGCTGCCAAGGCTTGAGGCTCGCACCCTCAAATTACTCCTGAGAGCTGCCTCACATTTGGAATTTTCAGCCAAGGGAACAAATTCATTTCTACGTTTTAATTTAAATTTAAACCTTTTTTTTTTCAGTTTTACGTTACCTGCAGGTGAAAAAAATCCTAAGAAATATTCTTTCCAAATGCTCTATTTTCCCAAATAAAAATTTATTGATTGAGAACAATTTAGTATCTATTACTATCACATTCATGACTTCAACATTCTTTTGTTGAGCTCCTACTGTGTGCCAGATCCTGTGGCTGATTCTGTTTCTACAAAGATGCCTAAGATATGTTCCTCCCCTAGAGGAACTTAGATCTTATTAGGGGAACATACATGTATTAAATTATATTATGAGGTGTAAAGTGCTTTTAATAGAGGCACAGGGTGATGCGGATGCAACAAGGACAACAATAGCAGTTACGTTTGAGGTAGTGGGAGGAGCAGAAATATCTTGAAGAAGGGAGGGGATCTTCCAAGAAGAGAGAGTTTGCTTAAAAAGAAGCTATAAAAATGCAGAGCGTATGTGAGGATTTTTTTTTTGGTGTTTATATAATTCAAAATAAATCTGCTAGAAGGGAGTGAGCTGTTTTCTATGCAGATGAAGAATCAATGCCATTCTCTCTTTTTAGCAGTAAATTAAAAATACTTTTAAAGACAAAATATAAAAAGAAAAAAGATATTTTTAATTTTAGCTTGACATTTAAGATCCTGCAAATAAATTAATGGTGCTAGTAAAGTAGATTAATATTACAATTAAACAAACATCAAACCCAAATTGTGGGTTCATTCCTTAGATCTGCTGTACAACCTTCAAAAGGCATTTATTATCTCTAGATATTAGTTCCTTCATCTATAGAAACAGTCTTTTACTTTTGGAGATTCCATTTCTGTTTCTGAAAAGGAGTTATTTTAATCTCATGCATTTTTTTTAAACATCAAATGTGGTTCCTGTTTACTTGCTTTGGATTTTACAAAAAAAAAAAAATTAACTCACTTTTTGAATTATTTGTGTACTTGCTTTATTATAAATTATTAAGTAAGTGTTCGGGGGGAATATGTATAGAGTAAAGAAAGATGACTGATATGGTTTGGCTGTGTCCCCACCCAAATCTCATCTTGAATTTCAATTCTGTAACATATATAGACTTTTAAATAATTCATAAACAAAGTAATAAGGATATCAGTGAGATTAATGGGAATAGAAACCCTGAAACTTGGAAGGTACTTTAGTCATTGTTAGTTGTAGTAGATATTTTTGTCTGGAAATGGGAAGTGGGGAAAGAACTGGTAAGAAATTAATTACATCAACAACAGATAAAGCTTTGGGACAAATCATGTGGAACAACAATCCAGTTGTTTTATTAAATGAAAGTTGTAAATTAATCAGGTGCCACTTGGCAGAGGAAAGCTCTTTTAAAAGACATGTAGCATTATTTCCATCCTGTCCTGCAACTGAAGCAGAATTTTTCTAAGAATATATGAAATGCTCATTCATTTTTTTCTGAGTTTTAATGGGAGAAGGTTCAGACCCAAGCAACATGAGCCAGTGAGGAGGGGTGAGAATCCAGAGTATATGAAAACTGGCACAAACACACTGAGAAACCTTGAAGAATAAAACCATGACATCCAAGGCAGAGTGTACAAAGGTTATGGTGAACTTCCTTGGTTCTAAAAGTTGGAAGCAGCAGTAGAGGAACACTTGGGGATGCTCTGGTTCCAGGAAAACTGCCCATTTCCAGCTGTAAAAAGTAAAGTAGAGATTCCTCTTCAAAGACTTTCCTCCTCATCTAATTAGGAATAAATAGTAACCTCTCTTAGAAGCAAAATTTTTTCAAAGACCTGTGCTAACATTCTTAAATATCTGCTAGCCGTAATAAAGAAATCAATGTACTTTATGTTCTTAGCTCCCACAAGTTAGCCTAAATATTTGCCCTGGCATGCTTATACTCGTTCAAGCAAGCATTAGGTCATAGCCTGGTCCTCTTCCTTATTTGAAGGTGTTTTTACCTTTCTCAGCATTCCACAAGTTACTTCCTCCTTCCTTTGTTCTCCTCCGCCTTTGCCTCTTTTAAAAAGTTCTAAGTTACTAGCCAATCGGGACAAATACAGAATGTGAGGTCCTATTCCAGCCAATGGAAACTGGACACAGCAGTAGGGTGGATGCATCAGGTTATAAATGAGCCTGTCTCCTTTGTTCAGTGTACTCTCATGGCAAAACTGCTGGTGCATATACCCTTTCTGCAGAAAGTATACAAATGGCCTTGCTGAGGAAATTAAATTTATGTTCAAGTGCTATTTCTTTATGGCACCAGGGAACAGCATTTCAAACACAGCCATACCTTGGCCAATGAGTGGCTAAATCTATTACATGGAGTTAGCTTCTGAAGAAAGGAGGGAAGAAAAGGAAGAGCATGAAGATAGAATAAAGGTAGGACTGAGGAAAACAGGGAATGAAATAGAAGGAAGAAGAAAATAAAGGAAATTGAGACAGAAATCTCAAGACTATGGGAAATATCTAAATAAAAGGTGATGGATGCAGATTAGGAGTGCTTTGACTTCTTAACTTTGGAGGATACATAACAATGGCATACTGCTAACAACTAGATTTCTGAATAAAAAATAGCTTGATTTTTAGCATTTGCAGATTCCTGTGGCATTAATACTCTCATTATGGCCAATTTATAAGCCAACAATGTGATAACACTTTGCAGAAATACACGATAATACACTATTATTTGGTATTTTTACTTTATAGATGTAATATATGTAAATATCCTCAAAAACATAGAAAATAGTAAAATAATTAAGAAGTGATGAGATTTAAGGCTATCTTAACTTTGCTTTAAATACGTTTAATAATAAGGCTATGTAATATAAATTTTAATAATGGCTGTGTATACAACTGGCTCACAAAGCTTGAGAAAAATTAACAATTTAATTATCATCAGCTTTTGCAAGCTAGCTTCTGCATACCACACATGATATTGTCATCCCTGGCAACCAGTTGCAGAATTTATTGACAGCCACTCAAAACTTCTTAAATATGAGGGCAAAGCTATGTTTGTCAAAGTAAAAATCAGTAAAATATTGAAGCAGAAAAGATCCATTTAAACTTGGTGAAATAAATTCACATTTTTTCTATTGTTTCCCACAAATAATGAAGGAATTATTTTTTAAAAATCCACAAGCACAAAGAGAATGGGAGAGGACCACATACCAGAAAAAATATGTCACCCAAATTTGGTAAGCTGGAAAATAGAGACATGAAAGGCAACTGTTAATAGCAGAGTGGAAAAATGGAACCTAAATACCTACAGAGGGACAGTTAGAAATTTGTATTTCCACCCACACATATTTCACACAGTCAGGTGTTCTCCTCTCCCTAACTACTTACAGGAGACAAAAAGGTTGTAGAGAGAAGAAGGGTGTGTGTGCGTGTGTGTGTGTGTGTGTGTGTGTGTGTGTGTGTGTGCGCGCGCGCGCGCGCATGTGTAAAATATAAGATAAAGTGCTGCTTAAGAGCTTTTTTTTAAGATTATACAAAGAAAAATCAGAGGCTGTCCACTGGAGCCATTATGTTTGAATTACTTTTGTGTACCCTTGGAATTCCGTGGTCTTTCTATCAACTAGACATCCTCCAAGCTGCAGCAGCTGAGTCTGCCTATGTTTGCTTGCCTCATTATTTCAAAAAGTATATTTTAAATGACTGCTGTCAGCTGGGAAATTTCCTATGCCCTAGATTTACAATGAAGCATAAGAGGCACTCTCTTTCAAAAGACACTCAAAAACAAATATAGAAGATATGCAAGCAAGAGAGCAACCATCATATTGTGAGATAATTCTTAATCCAGGGATAAGAACAGAGGCAGCACAAAGAAACTGAATCTGGAAAGTTAACTAGGTGTTGAGTAGAGTGGTGGATGGTGTTTTATCAGAGAAATAGATTATATGAAAACCAAGATTAAAGAAGAATACCTCAAATTCAGGAAATGGCAAGTATATCAATAGATCAGCATGGTTGCGGAGTAAGTGGCGAGAGAAAATGATACAAAGAAATACAGGGGACCACATTATGACTGACATTAAAGATCATGTTAGGAATTTTGGACTTTATCCTAAAGGTGATTCAAGGTTTAACAGGAAGAAGCCATGATTCACAATTTGTTCTGTACCACTGGGATCCCAACTTGACACTTTCCACCTGCTCTAGCTGCAGTTAACAGGGCTATGAGTACTTGTATTCCATCATGTTCCCCCTGTGAAATTTCCTCATAATTCACAAAAATTTAAAGCATTAAATTCCGTCACAGTGACTTAGTCACACTAAATTCTATTTAATTTTCTACTGGCTGACTCCCAAAGTTCATTGTATAACACTTAGTTATTCTTAAAGCATTTTGCAGAATGCTCATGTAAGGAAATTAAAGACCTATCAACAAAGATTATTGAACCAGCAGTGTGTTTGGTTGGCAGATAGAATTTTGGTGATTTCATGATTTTTGAAAATAATCTCTTGTTGTTATTGTAATCTTATTTACTGACAACTATGGAATTCTTATTCTCAGGGTTCCTATGGAGTGGTGGATTGTAGCTGACCCTCTGGCAATTTGACTTACAACACTCTAATTTTATGATATTTCTTGTTATAGATGATAGTCCTAAATTATCTATACAATTTGATTTATGAATATCCAGTATTTGGAAACTTTGGGGAAGAAACTGAATCTAAAATCAGAGAAAGCAGATGTATATGCCTATCCAGAAAAGCCAGAATGAGAATTCAAATTTGAGGACAAAGTCATTTACCAAAGTGGAAACTAGATTAATACGGAAATTGGTCAGCAGTAAATGAGGAGATTCAGGACAATTCAAATTTAAATTTGTATTTAAGATTTATATTTATGGATAAAAGTGGAGCGTGTGTGTGTGTTTATATTTATGGATAAAAGTGGAGCATGTGTGTATGTGTGTGTGTGTAAAACACACAAAGACATAGTGGTAAGAATGAGAATACAAATGCTGTATTCTCACTATTGTGCTGGTCATGCATTCATTTTAAGGCATCTCCTACAGGTGAGGCCGTGCTACATTAAGTTTTCTCTGGAGCTTCTTTTTGTCTTGGATGGGCTTGCAGGTGGTTGTGTATCAAACCAAATTACGGTCTACATATCATATCATAATGCAACTTCAGTAGATATTTCTTCAGATATGTTTTCAGGCTCTTCATTAGCAAGAGCCATATTTAGCCAAATACATGTCTGTGGGTGGGAATGGAAAGCTCTTCTCTAAATTGTTGGTGCAGTATTCTAGCAGAGCACTTTGTCTTTTTAGGGGATGTTGTAACTTTAAGACTAAGAGGGGCTGTTTCTGGACAAAGCAGTTCCTGAAAGTCCTGACAAATCATGATCCATCTCTGATTATCCAAACCTCTGCTCCAGGAGAATCCCTCTGCCATTGTGCATGACCAGCTCATCTTCTGCATCATCCACCTCTCAGTTTTTCCAGTGTTCCCAGGTTTCTTAACTGCCTGACCTTTATTTGCTAGTCCTAATATCTGATCCCATTTTATCCAACAAAACTTTTACCCTTGTAAGAAGCTCTAGACTTAATTCCTGCCAATGTGCCTTACTCTTTCCTGTTCTGCCTTCCCATTTTCTGCTTTAGATTTCCACATTGTGGATGATTGTCAAAGTCCAATGTAACAGTAAATGCATTACATGAGAAACTTAAAGTCATAGTATGAGCCAGAGAATAAAGCTGTAAATAAGAAATCAGGGTAGGAGATGCTGGCTGATGATGAACTCAAGATATTGAAGCTTGAAACCTCAAATAAAAAGGAATATCTCATTGAAGACCTGATCTGAAAAAAAATACCAGTAACAGAAAAGAGAATTCAAGAGGAACAAGAGCAAACCTCACAGAGATTCAAGTTGGAGGAACTCAAATTAACATTGTAGATAAAAGATGTCCAATTAAATTTAAATTTCAGATAAACATTTCAAATGTAACTAATTTTTATTTGCTAAATCTGCAACCTTAACTGAAATGGGATTTTAATACATCTCCACAGCAGCGTTAAAAACTCATCTCCCCTCTCTTTTAAATGTGCAGTCTTGGGTCAAAGAACAGTAAGGCTCGAAGAAAGAGGGATGAGCCGATGTCCAGCTACTATTACACCTCTTGCATTATATTGAGAGGCAAAATTTATAGATGTGGCCTATATCAGAAATTAATTTCAATCCAATTTAATTTTATTGACCATCAAACCTACACATGAATGATAACATGACTGACTTACAAAAGAATCCAATATAGAGATGTATAAAATTTAGCAAGCTTGCTTAATATATGACAAACTGAGTCAGAAAGATCTGGCTACATACCTCATTTTCACTTTAGCAAGGTGACCTTAGAAAATTTACAAAAGTTGCCTGGAGTTTCACATTTGTACAATTAGAATTATTATATTGTGTATATTATAGTGCTATTAAGAGGATTTTAATAATACTACATTTGTAAAGGTGTCAGCACAGAATTTGCTTTCTAGAAGTAGTTAATAAATATGATTTACTAATTAATTCATTTTATAGCTATGTTCAGAAATGCATCAATTGCATAAAAACATACCAGCTATTGACAACTTTTAAACAAAGATTATAAGTGTTTTTCTTCCTATTATTGTTTGAATTGGGGAAAAATCTTACCAACCATTCCACCATTTAAAGAAATCCTTCTAATAAGCTTACCTCAACAGACTTGAAGAACAGGGTATGAGTTCCTGATATCTATTCCACTTGGCATGAACTCTTCTCTCCTAAATCAGTCACTAATCAGATGTTTCTGCTTTTTTATCCTACAATTTATGCAGTGACATTTTCTAATGATAATTGCTTTGTAAGGAGTGAATTGCTTCCCTGCTAAACCTATTTGCTGAAACAGGACAAAGAAAAGATGCCTAGTAATGTCATGAACACCGAAGCCCTCAATAAATAGGATTTTGTATAGGTAAGATTTATTGGTCAGTGCTCTCACAGCCAAAGTTACCTCTGACATTTCCAAATGTCACACTTAATCCACTCTTAAGAGCGACGCTTTTAAAAGTGCTAGAAGGAAGCCCTCCAAAAGTCATTCGTAAGCTAGAGGAAGCATAATGATTTTACTTCAGGGTCCCTCAAAAAGAGGAAGCATAGTTATTTAGACATCTATTTTGAATGTTTGTTATCAATACTCTGAGAGTAACCACAGAAATTCAACATATAAAATGTTTAGTGTTATTTAGCGTGAACCTGGAGCTAGTAGTTTCATGAGTTTGATCCCAACATGGCTAAATTAGCTTTACTCTGTTCTATGACTGCAGACTACCCCGCACTACACCCCAACCACAGTAGCACATGTTGCAGGCCTACTCTGACAAATCATTTCAATCCCTTGACTATATAGTTGGCCCCCAAATTGGAAGGTGACCCAATTTGGGGTCACAAACCAATCAGAACCATTCTGTCAAATTGTATTCATGAATACTGTTTCTTTTCTCAGGCGTATATCTATATCACAAAACTGGGATGATGCAACCGTGAATATTTCTGTGGGCTATGCTACTATTTCCCTCACTACATACAGAAAGCCTGTCTGTTATAGGAAGAAAACCCACCAGTAGAAATGAAACCAAATATAAGAGGAAAGATGAACTGGAGCAATAAAGCAAGAAAAAATATTGTTCTTTAAATCCATAGCATTTTTAAAGACATTCCCATTCTCTTGGACTTCTTAGTTACGTGCTTGATTCAATAAATTCCCTTTATAAAATTGGTTTATTTGCATTTCTGTCATTTGCAATAGAACAATGTCTTCATCATACAACATAGCCCACTTAAGCAAAAACAGAATTCACATTTTTACTGCAAGTCTTGAAGATTGTTTTGAAGATTCAGTCACTATTGTCACATGATGTTCTTAATGACATAAATGAATTTAGATCATCTCTTTACAGTATAGTAGTGTTCAACTGGAAGGTTCTATTGCAGTAATCATAAAACACATTTTGCCACTGTTAGGATCTAGGCAAGCATCCCTTGCCTTTCTGCATGAATTATTATATGACAAGATTCTGAAATGTTACAAGAGAAAAATGTGATTTCACTTTCACATACTCCTTGAATTTGGTGGCTTATAGGAATAATTTCTGAGTTTTGAAATAGTAAGACAAATATCCTCTCTTCCAAATGTGAAACAGTACAAAGTTTAGAAAAATTGTTTTAAATCAGTGGAATAGTTGAGTGTGTTGAATACTGGCCCACAAAAGGTATTTTCACACAGCACCTCAAAATGTGACCTTATTTGGAATAAGGGTCTTTACAGATGCTTTAATGTAAGGATCTAGAGATGAAATCATCCTGGATTACAGTGGACCCTACACCCAGTGACAGGTGTACTTATAAAAGACAGAAAAAGAGGGGACAGAGACAGAAGAAGGTCATGTGAAGTCAGAAGCAGAGACTGGAGTGAAGCAGCTACAAACCAAGGACTGTCGAGAACTGCTGGGAGCCACCAGAAGCCAGGAAGAAGCAAGGAACGATTCTTCCCTAAAGTCTTCTGAGGGAGTACAGCCCTGTCAACACCTTGATTTCAGATTTCTAGCCTCCAGCACTGTGAGAGAACACATTTCTGTCATTTTAAGCTAACAAGTTTGTAGTAATTTGTTATGACAACCCTAGGAAACCAATACATATAGAAATGTATATTTCCTGTAGTTAATTTGAATGTTCTTTCTCTTGGTTTCCTGGTGGTTATCAAGGTCAGGTTTTAACAATATTCTTAGAAAATCTCCCATAATACATTGTGCCATGTGTGAAAGTTTCTGGGAGTTTTGACCTGTTTTTTCCTGGATTATTATTTTTTATTAAATCATTACCCTGTGAGAGCATGGACCCACCTGTGTGCTGCTACTAAACTGTATTTTTCAACTATATTGTTATAACTGGCTTTTTCAAGCTCTATATTGAAACAAGATGTCTGCTAATTATCAATTCATACTGCCATTCAGAAAGTACCTGTTAAGTCTTATTGATAACAATTCCATAAACAATTTCTTTTTCTGCTTCAGATCAGGTTTGTTTTGGAGTATCTGTGAGTTTTTAAATTCTATTTCCTGCATGAAAATCTCATGACTCCTTTGCTCACTGTGATGTTCACTGGTTTCAGTTTCCTAATATCAAGGTAAAAGATAAAAATAGCATTGAAAGTATACAATTTACAAGGCATTTATGCATATAATATGCCATTCAGTATAAATAAATATAATTCTATCTTTTTACTATTTGGAATCTCTAGTTTTTACATAAACTAATAATATGAATAACATTTCTGGGCTTCTTCTTGTGGTTTATCTTATATATCATTTATCCCCCAGTGCCTAAAAAAGCGCTTTCTACATAATGAATGGCTATTATATGTTTGTTTAATGGATGAATACATAAATAGATGATGTTCTATTCTTACTCTAGAGAGACATGCAGCCTCATATTCAGTACTTCTCTCCCATCATCACATTGTTTGCTATAGATGGCACCAAGAGGAATGCCCTCAGTAGAGTTAGGCAACACTGAAGGCTCTAGATTTCCCCAGACCTTCAAAAAAGCAACAAGGTAAACCAGGATTGAGACTTTGCTAACTTCTAGTTTCTTCCCAAGACATTAAAAAAAATGGTGATTGAGAGTAGACTTTCCTAACTTGGAGTCTGTAAAAGAACTTCTGGTGTAGAGTCTGTATGTTTTCTACAATAATCTATGCATATTCCTGGGAAGGAATTGCCTTTCACTAGATTTTCAAAAAGGTTCTTGATCCAAAAACATATTCACAGGCTTCAGTAATATAAATCAAAGAGAGAAATACATAATGTGTGTGTTGAAGACATTTTGTATTGCTGATGAAAAGCTATAAAGCTGTGAGGCTGGGCACGGTGGCCTAAACCTGTAATCCCAGCACTTTGGGAGGCTGAAGCTGGTGAATCTCTCGAGATCGGGAGTTTGAGACCAGCCTGGCCAACATGGTGAAACCCCATCTCTACTAAAAATACAAAAATTAGCCAGGAGTGGTGGCGAGTGCCTGTAACCCCAGCTACTAGGAAGGCTGAGGCAGGAGAATCGCTTGAATTGAATCCAGGAGGTGGAGGTTGCAGTGAGTGCAGGCAACATAGCCAGACTCCGTCTCGGGGGGAAGAAAAAAAGAAAAACTCTAAAGCTGTAAAACAGGTATCTATGGAGCGTGCTGAAATACTCAGCACTGTAGTCATACTCTGTAGAATTATTTTGTTAATAGATGGGTATCCTGTTGTGAAACTGCTGTCAGGATAAGAGTTACCTGTCATATGTTTCCAGTCTCATGGTGAGATATTTATACTACATGTAACTATAGATACAAGAAGCCCGATTTGGCCAACATATAGCTAAATTAATTTTATAGTCAGATGCTTTATTATGGAACTTCTCGTTCTTTAGTCTCATGTTTGTCAGTTTATCTTAGTCTCGCTCTTATTTTTATTCAGATATAAGACATTATTTTAAAAGTAAGCATTCATCTCTACTCAACATTCATATAAATATATGCAAATTTTTCTACTAGACTTAGCTCTAAAAGGTGTGAATTAGCTCTAAAATTATTTATTAAGGATTATATAACCACCATCCTATAGGCTTTTCTCAATTCTGGACTTCCTCCTTTTTCTTTTAGCTGCATCTTCTTCTTTGATTCAGAGTTTTAGATTTGGGTCCAATCCCCTACAGGTCTCACCCAGATAACAGGACAAATAGTTTCCTCAGAATAAATGAAACAAGAAATTGGGGGACATATTCTAATCACACTTCCAACGTCTCTTGCATCCTCCCAGATTCCTACACAAAACATAAATGCATCAGACCATTTCCTGCTTCAGCTGCACTCTGTAGTGAGGACCAAGCCATAGGGGCAGTGTCCACTCTGACCAATGCTAAGAACAACAACATTTGCCCAGTACCTGCCAAAGTATAAACTGACTTCTGATGTCACTGAGTGGAGTTACACAGTTTTGTCAACAAAGTTTCAGGATACAAAATCAATGTACAAAAATCACTAGTATGTTAACAATAAAAATAAAATTTTTGAAAGACAAGAAGCCAAATTAGGAGGGGAAAATAAGGACGCATTTTTTAAAATCCTAAAATAAGGGAATTCTTCCACACCTGTAATTTTTCACCTAAATGCTAATTTGCCCATTATGATTTTTCATAATTGGTTTCTTTCCTTCTTCATCATCCCAAACATAATAGTGTTCATTTTTTGTAGGAATTTCGGAGAAGACACATGTCATAAGCTTCTACTTTAACTTCCCTGTGATAAGCATGTGATGGCCATCAAGTCGTTTTTTAAATTGAAATGAAGACATTTTTGAATGAAGTTTGAAATTTTTCTCTAAGAAACATAGAAACAAAGGCTTCAAGAATGCATCTAGCAAATAAGTAATTAAGCATCTGACCTATAAAGGCATAAAATAGCCATAAAAAAGATATTAATACTATTAATATTTTCTAATATTTTCCTTTTCAAACTATCAATTAAAGCCTTGGATAAATCAGAGATCAATATCTGTGGTCGTGAAAAACTATATTAACAAGTTTTGTCTGAAATATTTGAATACTCAAAGGTTTTTCCAGATGTACCTTTCTAACCAGTTTAGTATTTAATGCTTAGCTCATGTTGTAAAATTCATACTTTCATTTCTGAAGCAAGTTATTCAATTATAATTTTTAACTTACTGCAAAAGGGATATAATGTTTCCTCCAGGAATCCTGGGACAAGCAAAGAAGCAAACATGAAATAAAATTTAAAATACTCATAAAGCCATCTCCCAGAAACACTTTATATATATTGTTTTACACTTTTTATAATACACAATATAGGCATTGTGGATGGAAATGATAAAAATGACAAATTGCCCACGTGCAACCTCCCATACTCTCTTCGCATTCTATATGTGCCAGAGGTTGAAAATAGCAGTGCCCCAAGAAGTAAGATGGTGATCCCTTGAATTACAGCAGGGAAGATCACCCACCAACCATTCAAGAAGCCTGAGATTTGAGTGAGAAATAACATTAAGCCACTGAGATTTTCATATTGATTTTTGGCAATAAGTAGTCTATTCTGAATAACATAATAATTTATACTTTGGCTTAACAGATCCTTAAATAGATGTCATTAGCCGAGCAGTCGGATGCTGGGTGGCAAGGAAACTGATATCAGAGGTTGGAAAATGAGCCATGTACATAGTGGAAGGTGATTACAGAGAGTAGAAGGGTTAGAGGGCAGCTAACTATTTTAGGAAATAACTAAATCAGGATGGAATTTGAAAGGGATTAGAGGGGCAAGAAATGTAGAGCCTTGAAGAATGGGAAATCTGATCACTGCTAGAAACCACACAGTAAGACATAAAATTCTTGAGGCAACAAAGTCCATTAAGCTATAGGCTTGTGAAGACAGAATAAGGATGTGAATTTTTAGCTGAGGTTGGACTTTCAATTGCCTCTATTGGAAAGAAGGTGAGTATGAGAATAAAAGTTAAATGGATATTTAGTGTCTAGAAGATTGTAGAAATAACAATGCTATGCATTCATCAAACAATTTTATTATCCTCTAAGCACACAGATAAACCACATTGTCAGGTATCCTCACTTGCATCAAAACGAGGCCTTCAACTGTTTCTCATCAAAGACAGTGCACACAGCAGTTAAAACTAAGCATGCCTTCTGTATGATCCTTTTCTCTCTGCTGACTGCATGATGCCAGTGTAACCTCAAAGCCATGTATTGAATACAGAGGAGCTTCATTATAAAAGGAATCTAGATTTCTGAATTACTACATGAAGCAGAAACATTCCTCATACCCCTCCACGAACCCCCCACCCCACCCCACCTACACAAAAATTGATTCACTTTGGACGGTGAAATGAAAGATATTATATTATATTATATTATATTATATTATATTAATTATATTATATTTAACAAATGTGATGTTTAGATTGTAACAGAAATTAACATTACTTTCATAACCAACATAAATGAATAAATAGATCACGCTATATGTACACTGGAATACCAAACAGCAATGTATATTAATGAGTTAACAATTACAGGTATATACAATATCAATGCTGAATCTCAGGAACAAATGTTCTCATGATATAAATAAATAAATAAGTTTAAGAAGAAGCAAGGGGAAAAATTAAATTCAGTATGGTAGTTATCTCTGAGGGCAAAGAAAGGGGTAAAAGACTGAGGAGGAAGATCAGAACAATGTTAAAAGAGGATGATAATGTTCTATTTCTGAAGCTAGGTATTTTTTGTACCATAACTTTTAAGTACAGCACACATATTTTATAAAAATTATTCACTATTCAATTGATATTTGCCTTTAAAAAAACTTAAAATCAATATAGTGAATAGCAACATTTTTGAGATCACCTACAGGGTAAATGAAGAAACAACTTCCCTCCTATTATGGAAACATATACTTATCACTTTAGAAAAAACATTTAGTGACAGCATTAGATAGACTTCAAATAATGCTACATGCCAAATGACCTAGCAGTCAAAATGACATTCTCTGGAAAACTGTTAGACAACTCAAAAAGCGGCTCTAATAATCAAGAACAATTATTAATATCAAATATACAAATAAAGGGTTTAAGTTATTTCTTAAAATATGAGAGAATAACATTTAAATTTATAAACTGATATATTATTTCACATAATATATGGTTTGAAATATGCATATTTAGCTATAAAGTAAATATGTAACTAGGTGGTGTAATTTTATACTTTTTTGTGGTACTCATATTGCTTAAACTTTTTTATAATACATATCATTTCTACAAACACCATAAAGTCACTCTCTAAAAAATCAGAAAACACTTTGTACCACAATGAGTGCTCTGAAACAAACTTTCCACTTGAAGTTCCACATCATTAATTAATAGTTATTGTTGTGTAATAAACTATCACCAAATCTAGTAGCTTTAAACAGGTAGTATTTATGATTTCTTCATGAGTCTCTGGGTCAGCTGGGTAGTTCTGCTCACGTGAATAGATTTAGCTGAGCTTGATGGGACTTGCTCATGTGTCTCCCATCAGCTGGTGGTTCAGCTGGGATGACTCAGCCTAGTTCCAGGATAACAGACTAACCAGGTTTGTTCTCATGGCAGAGGGAAGAGTTTACAAGGGAAGTGAAAGTGCAATGTCTCTTGAGGCTCAGGTTCAAAACAGTCATTTTCAATGAATTATTTTAACAAAGGCAAGTCAAAAGTCCAGCCTAGATTCAAGAGATAAGGAAAAAGACTCTACACCTTGAAGTGAAGAGATGCAAGCATTGCAATAGGATAATCGGGGGAAAGAATTGTGGTCACTTTGTGCAATTAATGTACCACAGAGTATAATTCAGAGCACATAAATTGAAGCCAACTCTGCACTGAACCAACCCCAAATCTGCTGCTGCTTCTCTTTAACTTTACTTATTTTGTGTCTCCAAATGTCTTGCTTTTTTAACCTTTCCAATGAGACCTTAATAGTGGACTTCCATAGCTCATAATTCTGGAACCTCATTACTATGTATTTTCATTTAGTCATTTATGTAAAATAATGTTACTGAACACCATCCTATGTGTTAGGAGTAAAACAGTATATATGACATAGTCCCTGTCCTCAGTGAAATCCAGATTAGTAGAAAACATAAAAACACAAATAATTATGCTTTAAAAATAACATGAGTGTATAATGATAAAGATATTTATAAGGGAATTATGGAAGTCTAGACTAACCCCTAAAATAGCTTGGGGAAAGCAGAGAAAGAAATCAGGTAAGATTTCCTGAAAACATGATCCTGAGGTGAGTCTGAATAGCTAGAGAGAAAAGGAATATGTGGAGGTCATTCCAGCTATGGCAGCTGCAAAGCAAAGGCATGGAGATGGAAAATAGCATGGGGTGTTGGGGGACCTCAAAGGGAGAGGAAACTGTAAGTAATTCAAAGTTGTTGGAGTGTAAAGGAAAAGAAAAGAAATGGTGAGAGATGGACTTGGGAGAAGAGAAGGAGATTGGTAGAAGAAAAACTGGAAAATGAAGCTGATTATGTGCTCTCTTATCACTTTCTATCATATATACTGTAAAATCTACTTGTTCATTACTTTTAGTATTCTCTCTCTTTCTCCCTCTCCAAGAAAGTAACTCAGAAAGGGCAAAGATTTTTGTCTACTTTGTTCGTTGATGTATCCCAAGCGCTTTAAACATTATGTGGCACAGAGTAGACATCCAACAACAATATTCACTTAATAATATTTATTCAATATAGTTGCTGAATAAATGAAGGAATCTTAGCCTGAGTTCCCCAGAAAACAGAGAATTAGGCAAAGCTAATCCACTAATATTTTATTCGGTCATTCAATTCTAGGACATTAAAAATGTGGAAGAAAGAAAAGTGAGACAGACAAAGGTGGAAATTAAATACAAGGTATCAATTACTGAGCTAGTCATAGGTTTAAAGAAAATATAAATTTGTTCCTTATGAAGGACTAATCAAGACTGCCTCCATAGAATCATTGTACCTTGGAAGTGTCCATCAGGTAAAGAACATGTGATGGTTAATTTTGTGTCAATATGACTAGGTTAAGCCCAGATAGCTGGTATAACATTATTTCTGGGTGTGTCTGTGAGAGGGTTAATTGAAGAGATTAGCATTTGGATCAGTAGATTCAACTAACTGAACAGACTCCCTCTTGGCCAAGGGAATCCCAGAGAAATCTTGAAAGCTGAATTTACAGCCATGATGGGATGGGAGATTGGACATGCCTCATTATACCCTCCTCCTAGCTGAGTCATTAGGTTTTCTTTCCTAAGGACTAAACAAAAACCAGTTCTTTCAAAAGACCACTAGCTTATCTTCCCAGGTAGGTAACAAAAATAAAATTAATCCTTCCTTCACCCATCCCCAAGATGCACCTTACCTTATATAGAATGTAGATTTACTGGGCACTGACTAAAGTCTCAGAAGTATATAATCATTTGTCTCACTGCCACCCCTGGCCCCTTTTTAAGGAAAACGTATAAATACTAAATCTCCTGAGAACCTCTTTGGAAAAAATGGCCACAGATGCTTCTGTGACTGGAGTTTTTTCCCAGTTGCACCCTCAAGCTGGCTCAATAAACCTCAATGATTTGAGACATGACTTAATCACTTATTTTGGTTGTCTGAACCAAGTGGAACCCATCAGAACATGCTAGGACCTTTTGTTCCGTTATTATTCCTTCACATTAGCCATCTCCCTCCTAAGAGGATAGACGTCCCAAAGCCCTGGAATGTTGACTTCATTTTCTCTCTCCCAAACATATATTTCAGACATATTGTAAGAAATATTATATCTGTCATGCCATCCTTGAGTTTCCCATGTTCGAAATGCTGTATTAAAAACAATTTTTATTAAATTCTTTGTGTGAAAAAAAGATAGTTTTTGAAATATCTTGCAATACCTGTTCTACGAAATTTCAAGACACTGAAACCAAGTAAAAATATGTGATATTGATGATAGCTGCCCTTACTTCAAGGATCTATTGTGATATTAAAATAGCATGGTAGGAGACATTCTATAATTTCTAAAACTTTAGAAACTACTAAACCATATGACCATTTGACTATCTTTTTCATCTCTATGAATCTAGACAAAAGTTAAATTAAGTATAACTAATGCTTACTGACAGCTTCAAAGTTTATAAATGTTTCATATACATTACCTTATTTGGTCCTAATTCCAATCCTGTGACTGGTTACTGTTATTATTCCATTTTAAACATAAGATAATTAGAAACTTTTTAAAATATTACATATATTTACTTTTCATAAATAGGTTTTTATTTAAGGAAAGTAATCTGTTCTGAAACACAATAGAACAGAAAAAAATGGAACAACAGAAAAAAATGTCATAGGAAGAATTTTAAAGTGGTTCCCATGACCTTTACTGCCCAGTGTTACTTCTGTGACTGTTACAGTAATCTGGCAAAACGGAGATGACAGGGCATAGGCCTAATCTAATTACATGAGTCTGGAATGTTTTTCCATTTGTTTGTGTCCTCTTTTATTTCCTTGAGCAATGGTTTGTAGTTCTCCTTGCAGAGGTCCTTCATATCCTTTGTAAGTTTTATTTCTAGGTATTTAGTTCCCTTTGTAGCAATTGTGAATGGGAGTTCGCTCATGATTTGGCTCTCTGTCTATTATTGGTGTATATGAATGCCTGTGATTTTTGCATGTTGATTTTGTATCCTGAGAATTTGCTGAAGTTGCTTATCAGCTTAAGGAGATTTTGGGCTGAGATGATGGGGTTTTCTAAATATACAATCATGTCATCTGCAAACAGAGACAATTTTACTTCCTCTCTTCCTATTTGAATATCTTTTATTTATTTCTCTCGCCTGATTGCCCTCCCAGAACTTCCCATACTGTGTTGAATAGGAGTGGTGAGAGAGGGCATCCTTGTCTTGTGCCAGTTTTCAAAGGGAATGCTTCGAGTTTTTGCCCATTCAGTATGATATTGGCTGTGGGTTTGTCATAAACAGCTCTTATTATTTTGAGATACATTCCATCAATACCTAGTTTATTGAGAGTTTTTAGCATAAAGGGATGTTGAATTTTGTCCAAGGCCTTCTCTGCATCTATTGAGATAATCATGTGATTTTTGTCATTGGTTCTGTTTATGTGATGGATTATATTTATTGATTTGCGTGTGTTGAACCAGCCTTTCATCTCAGGGATGAAGCTGATCTGATCATGGTGGATGAGCTTTTTGATGTGCTGCTACATTCGGTTTGCCAGTATTTTATTGAGGATTTTTGTGTCAATGTTCATCAGGGATATTGGCCTGAAATTGTCTTTTTTTGTTGTGTCTCTGCCAGGTTTTGTTATCAGGATGATGCTGGCCTCATAAAATGAGTTAGGGAGGATTCCCTCTTTTTCTATTGTTTGGAATAGTTTCAGAAGGAATGGTATCAGGTCCTCTTTGTACCTCTGGTAAAACTAGGCTGTGAATCTGTCTGGTTCTGGACTTTTTTGGAATGGTAAGCTATTAATTACCGCATCAGTTTTAGAACTTATTACTGGTCTATTCAGGGATTCGACTTCTTCCTGGTTTAGACTTGGGAGGGTTTATGTGTCCAGGAATTTATCCATTTCCTCTAGACTTTCTAGTTTATTTTCATAGACGTGCTTTTAGTATTCTCTGATGGTAGTTTGTATTTCTGTGGGATCAGTGGTGATATCCCCTTTATCACTTTTTATCACATCTATTTGATTCTTCTCTCTTTCCTTTATTAGTCTGGCTAGCGGTCTATCTATTTTGTTGATCTTTTCAAAAAACCATCTCCTGGATTCATTGATTTTTTGAAGCAATATCTCTGTAGTACAATTTGCAATCAGGTAATGTGATTCCTCCAGTTTTGTTCTTTATGCTCAGGATGGCTTTGGCTATTCTGGGTCTTTTATGCTTCCATATAAATTTTAGGATTATTTTTTCTATTTCTGTCAAGAATGGCAAGTCTCTATCTTGTTCAATTCCAGTCTGATCTTAGTTATTTCTTGTGTTCCACTAGCTTTTGAATTTGTTTGCTCTTGCTTCTCTAGTTCTTTTGTTATGTTAGAGTGTTGATTTTAGATCTTCCCTGCTTTCTCTTGTGGGCATTTAGTGCTATAAATTTCCCTCTAAACATTGCTTTAAATGTGTTCCAGAGATTCTGGTACATTATGTCTTTGTTCTCATTGGTTTCAAAGAACTTATTTATTTCTGCCTTAATTTCCTTATTTACCCAGTAGTCCTTCAGGAGTAGGTTGTTCAGTTTCCATATAGTTGTAAAGTTTTGGTGAGTTTCTTAATCCTGAGTTCTAATTTGATTGCACTGGGGTCTGAGAGACTGTATGTTATTGTTTCTGTTCTTTTGCATTTGCTGGGGAGTGTTTTACTTCCAATTATGTGGCCAATTTTAGAATAAGTGTGATGTGGTGCTTAGAAGAATGTATATTCTGTTGATTTGGGGTGGAGAGTTCTGTAGATGTCTATTAGGTGCGCTTGGCCCAGAGCTGAGTTCAAGTCCTGAATATCCTTGTTAATTTTTTGTCTTGTTGATCAGTCTAATATTGACAGTGGAGCATATAAAATCTCCCACAATTAGTGTGTGGGAGTCTAAGTCTCTCTGTAGGTCTCTAAGAACTTGCCTTCCACCATGATTGTGAGGTATGACCAGCCATGTGGAACTCTAAGTCTATTACACCTCTTTCTTTTCTAAATTGCCCTGTCTCAGGTATGTCTTTATCGGCTGCATGAAAACAGACTAATACACTTGGTATATACCCAGAGGAATATAAAGCATTCTACCATAAAGACACATGCATGTGAATGTTCATTGCAGCACTATCCACAGTAGCAAAGACATGAAATCAACCTAAATAACTATCAGTGGTAGACTGGATAAAGAAAATGTGGTACATATACACCATGGAATATGATACAGCCATTAAAAAAGAATGAGATTATTTGCAGGAACATGAATGGAGCTAGAGGCCATCATCCATAGCAAACTAACACGGGAACAGAAAACCAAATACTGCATGTTATTGCTTATAAGTGGGAGCTAAATGATAGGAACACATGGACACAAAGAGGGGAACAACCGACAGCAGGTTCTACTTAAGGGTGGAGGGTAGGAGACGGGAGAGGATCATAAAAAATAATATATTTGGTCCAAGGCTTAGTAACTGGGTGATGGAATAATCTGTGACAACAAACCCCTGTGACACAAGTTTACCTATGTGACAAATCTGCACATGTACCCCTGAGCCTAAAAGTTAAAACAAAAGATTATAAAAATAACTCAGCTTTTAGAATGTGTTTGTAAGAGATAACAAAACCCTAGCAAAAAACAATAAGGAATACGGGATAGTAGTAATATTCAAAGGGTAGTTGAAGCATGTTAAAGATTTTGCTTGCTTTGGAGGATACAAAATGTCTCCAATAATGCCCTCAGATTTTGTTAGAAAAACTTACAGTTAACTATGCACCAGTTAGGTTCTATAGATTAGCTAGAATCTCCTTTACCATGATACCTAAATATCTGTGTGTAAATTCCACTTCCTGAATTCAGAAATATACTTGGATGAGGCTTTCATTGGTGAGGTTGAAGGTGACAAGTCCGGGCTGTGGTTGTGTCTGAGTGTGCTGTGCTATTCTATACCCTGCCATATTACATAGTTCATGACTCCAGATTGTCATCCACCTGTACCTTGTCAACCCACATCCACAGATCCTGACTGGCATATGAGCATATGGACCAGGAGAAGGACATTTATGCTGACTGAATTTCTGATATGTCCTTTAATTAGGTAGACATTATTATCCATACAGGTGAAGTTTTGGGGTCTTAAAGTTTGAACTGCTATCTCTTCTAGAGAATGTTGCTAATCTTTTTTCTGTAAATTCTATTTTTGATGGCTTTCTTCCCTATCCTTTAGAGCAGTAATCCCTGTTTGATTTACCCAAATGATATTTGGTCTGCCATTTCTTCCAATATGATCTTACAAATTATTATGCTATAGGTTCCAACTAGTAGAGGAAATTTATAGCCCTCAAACATGAAGAGAAAAACAATGTACATGTGTATGTGTGCATGTGCATGTATGCCTGTGGGTGTGCTTGCGGGAAGAAGTATAGAAAATGTTATCAATTCAACAGAAAGCAGGAATAAAGATGGACAAAGTATGAGATAGAAAATACCAAATCAGAGTAGAAATGAGTCCTGATATGTAGGAAATTTCTCTAAAAAGTCACTCATAAAAAAGAGATTATCACTTTGGACACAAAGAAAAAACACATTAATGTTGCTTACAAGAGACTCATTTAAAACAAAATAACACAGGAATATTGACAATAGAGTGATGAAAAGAGATGCACCAGATATCTGTTGTCCTAAAAGAAACAATACAAAAGTAATATAATAATCATGAATTTGTATGTGCTAGCAATAAAGCTTTGAAATATGGAAAGTAAACATGGATAGGATTTTAGGGAGAAATTGGCAAATGCACATTCAAATAAAAAATATTAATAAGGTTATGTAAGTGTTAAACAACTTGGTTAATAAGCTTGGTCTTAACAAGTGTTAACAAACTTGGTTTACTATAGAACTTTATCCTGCAAAATAAATATGCATTTGTTTTCCAGGTACATAGAATTAACTACTTATTTTTATCCTACAGAAACTCTGTACCATGGAGGGTTTAGCAGTGCTGTACCGCTACTACCACTCTTCCTACTAAAATTATTACCACTATTATTACTGTTACTAGTTTACTACTAATAGCCTACACTAATTTAGCATTTAAATGTACATGAAACATGCCTAATATACATTTTCTCATTTAAAAAACCAGAACAATATTTTGAATATACATGCTTTCTCATTCAAAGTGCAAAGAATATCAGTAGTGACAAAACATTTTCTGTTATTTAGGTTAAGAGTATTCTATGTAAGCTAATGCATATGCTTATTAGCTAGATTTAGTCATTTCACAGGGTATATGTACTTCATAACATCATGTTGTACAATGGTAAATACATACAATTTTATCTGTTGATGTAAAAAATTTTCTAAGAAGCATATTCCATCATTGTTAATGGATAACCTATCAGAGATAATGAGAGGAAGCTTTTAAAAACCTACCTGCCATGAAAACATCACTATAGAAAACATATCACTACTATCAGAATGGCAGAGAAATTGGATCAATTTATACAATGCTGGTGGGAATGTAAAATGGCACAGCCACTCTGGAAAACAGCTTGGCAGTCTCTTTAAAAGAAAACTAAATATGCAGTAAATATGCATTATTGGGCATTTATCATAGGGAAATGAGAACTTATGTTCATGCAAAATCCTGTTCATGAATATTCTTAGCAGCTTATTCGTAATATCAAAAACTGGAAGCAACTCAAATGTCCTTCAATGGGTGAATGGTTAAACAAACTGTGTTCCATCCATACCATTCAATATTACTTAGCAATATGAAGGAATGAACTATTGATACAAGCAACAATTTGGATGTATCTTAAGGTAATTATGCCGAATGAGAAAAGCCAATCTTAAAATGTTACATACTATCGGACGGGCGTGGTGGCTCATGCCTGTAATCCCAGCACTTTGGGAGGCCAAGGCTGGCAGATCACGAGGTCAGGAGTTCGAGACCAGCCTGGCCAAAATAGTGAAACCCCATCTCTACTAAAACTACAAAAAATTAGCTGGGTGTGGTGGAGAGCGCCTGTAATCCCAGCTACTCAGGAGGCTGAGGAAGGATAATCCCTTGAACCCAGGAGTCGGAGGTGGCAGTGAGCCAAGATCATGCCATTGCACTCCAGCCTGGGTGACAGTCCAAGACTCTGTCTAAAAAAAGAAAAAAAAAGTTACATACTATCAGATTCCGTTTATATTGTGTTCTTGAAATAAAATTGTAGAGATGGATGGAACACAAATTGGTAGTTGCCAGGTGTTAGGGATGGGAGGTTGGAGTAGAGTGGGTGTTGCCATAAAGAGGTAGTGGTGGTGGGAGCCTTGCAGTGATAAAGCAGTTCTGTATCTTCATGGTGATGGTTGCACAGATCTACAGCAGATCACACACATGCACACGCACACACACACACAGATGTACTTACAAAACTAGTGAAATCTGATAAACTCTGTGGATTGTACCAATGTAATTTTCTTGGTTTTGATATTGTACAATAGTTATGCAAAAATGTTATCATTGGGAGAAACTGGACGAACGGTAAAAGGCACCTCCCTGTACATGGTTTTGTTTTTTGTTTTGGAATTTCCTGTGAATCTACAATTATTTAAAAATTAAAAGTTAAAAAAGTGATCTATTCAATATTTGTCTATTTAACAGTTGATTATCATAATTTTTGTGTTAAAAAATGTAAAAGCCCTGAATCAATATTTAATAAGTTAAGTTTCTGTGAATGTGGAAGGTGGGCTCTTTACATTCCAGGGAACATGGTTATAAATGTTTTTCCTTTTCTTGAGAAAGGAAGAGGATTTTTTGTTTGTTTGTTTAGACAAACCCACATGTTTTTAGAAAAAAGTAATTTATTTAATTTTTTATTTTATTTATTTTATTTTTGTTGCTGTTCCAGTTATATATTTTATTATTATTATTATTATTATTATTATACTTTAAGTTCTAGGGTACATGTGCACAATGTGCAGGTTTCTTACATATGTATACATGTGCCATGTTGGTATGCTGCACCCATTAACTCGTCATTTACATTAGGTCTATCTCCTAATGATATCCCTCCCCCTTCCCCCACCCCACAACAGGCCCCAGTGTGTGATGTTCCCCTTCCTGTGTCCAAGTGTTCTCATTCTTCAATTCCGACCTGTGAGTGAGAACATGCAGTGTTTGGTTTGTTGCCCTTGCGATAGTTTGCTGAGAATGATGGTTTCTAGCTTCATTGATGTCCCTACAAAGGACATGAACTCATTATTTTTTATGGCTGCATAGTATTCCATGGTGTATATGTGCCACATTTTCTTAATCCAGTCTATCACTGATGGACATTTGGGTTGGTTCCAAGTCTTTGGCATTGTGAATAGTGCTGCAATAAACATACATGTGCATGTGACTTTACAGCAGCATGTTTTATAATCCTTTGGGTATATACCCAGTAATGGGATTGCTGGGTCAAATGGTATTTCTAGTTCTAGATTCTTGAGGAATCGCCACACTATCTTCCACAATGGTTGAACTAGTTTATAGTCCCAACAACAGTGTAAAAGTGTTCCTATTTCTCCAAATCCTCTCCAGTATCTGTTGTTTCCTGACTTTTTAATGATCACCATTCTAACTGGTGTGAGATGGTATCTCGTTTTGGTTTTGATTTGCATTTCTCTGATGGCCACTGATGATGAGCATTTTTTCATGTGTCTGTTGGCTGCATAAATGTCTTCTTTTGAGAAGTGTTTGTTCATATCCTTCGCCCACTTGTTGATGGGATTGTTTGTTTTTTTCCTGTAAGCTTGTTTGTGTTCTTTGTAGATTCTGGATATCAGCCCTTGGTCAGATGAGTAGATTGCAAAAATATTCTCCCATTCTGTAAGCTGCCTGTTCACTCTGATGGTAGTTTCTTTTGCTGTGCAGAAGCTCTTTAGTTTAATTAGATCCCATTTGTCAATTTTGGCTTTTGTTGCCATTGCTTTTGTTGTTTTAGACATGAAATCCTTGCCCATGCCTATGCCCTGAATGGTATTGCCTAGGTTTTCTTCTGGGGTTTTCATGGTTTTAGGCCTAAGATTTAAGTCTTTAATCCATCTTGAATTAATTTTCATATAAGGTGTAAGGAAGGGATCCAGTTTCAGCTTTCTACATATGGCTAGCCAGTTTTCCCAGCACCATTTACTAGATAGGGAATCCTTTCCCCATTTCTTGTTTTTCTCAGGTTTGTCAAAGATCAGATGGTTTTAGATGTGTGGTATTATTTCTGAGGGCTCTGTTGTGTTCCATTGGTCTATATCTCTGTTTTGGTACCAGTACCATGCTGTTTTGGTTACTGTAGCCTTGTAGTATAGTTTGAAGTCAGGTAGTGTGATGCCTCCAGCTTTGTTCTTTTGGCTTAGGATTGTCTTGGCAATGTGGGCTCTTTTTTGGTTCCATATGAACTTTAAAGTAGTTTTCTCCAATTCTGTGAAGAAAGTCATTGGTAGCTTGATGGGGATGGCATTGAATGTATAAATTACCTTGGGCAGTATGGGCATTTTCACAATATTGATTCTTCCTATCCATGAGCATGGAATATTCTTCCATTTGTTTGTATCCTCTTTTATTTCACTGAGCAGTGGTTTGTAGTTCTCCTTGAAGAGGTCCTTCACATCCCTTGTAAGTTGTATTCCTAGGTATTTTATTCTCTTTGAAGCAATTGTGAATGGGAGTTCACTCATGATTTGGCTCTCTGTTAGTCTTTTATTGGTGTATAAGAATGCTTGTGGTTTTTGCACATTGATTTTGTGTCCGGGGACATTGCTGAAGTTGCTTATCAGCTTAAGGACATTTTGGGCTGAGATGATGGGGTTTTATAAATATACAATCATGTCATCTGCAAACAGAGACAATTTGACTTCATCTTTTCCTAATTGAATACCGTTTATTTCCTTCTCCTGCCTGAGTGCCCTGGCCAGAACTTCCAACACTAAGTTGAATAGGAGTGGTGAGAGAGGGCATCCCTGTCTTGTGCCCGTTTTCAAAGGGAATGCTTCCAGTTTTGCCCATTCAGTACAATATTGGCTGTGGGTTTCTCATAAATAGCTATTATTATTTTGAGATACCTCCCATCAATACTTAATTTATCGAGAGTTTTTAGCATGAAGGGCTGTTGAATTTTCTCAAAGGCCTTTTCTGCATCTATTGAGATAATCACGTGGTTTTTGTCATTGGTTCTGTTTATATGATGGATTACGTGAATTGATTTGCATATGTTGAACCAGCCTTGCTTCCCAGGGATGAAGCCCACTTGATCATGGTGGTTAAGCTTTTTGATGTGCTACTGCATTTGGTTTACCAGTATTTCATTGAGGATTTTTGCATCAATGCTTATCAGGGATATTGGTCTAAAATTCTCTTTTTGTTGTGTCTCTGCCAGGCTTTGGTGTCCGGATGATGCTGGCCTCATAAAATGAGTTAGGGAGGATTCCCTCTCTTTCTATTGATTGGAATAGTTTCAGAAGGAATGGTACCAGCTCCTCCTTGTACCTCTGGTAGAATTCGGCTGTGAATCCATCTGGTCCTGGACTGTTTTTGGTTGGTAAGCTATTAATTATTTCCTCAATTTCAGAGCCTGTTATTGGTCTATTCAGGGATTCAACTTCTTCCTGGTTTAGTCTTGGGAGGGTGTATGTGTCCAGGAATTTATCCATTTCTTCTAGATTGTCTAGTTTATTTGCATAGAGGTGTTTATAGTAGTCTCTGGTGGTAGTTTGTATTTCTGTGGGATCGGTGGTGATATCCCCTTTATCATTTTTTATTGCGCCTATTTGATTCTTTTCTCTTTTCTTCTTTATTAGTCTTGCTAGTGGTCTATCAATTTTGTTGATCTTTTCAAAAAACCAGCTCCTGGATTCATTGATTTTTTGAATGGTTTTTTGTGTCTCTATCTCCTTCAGTTCTGCTCTGATCTTAGTTATTTCTTGCCTTCTGTTAGCTTTTGAATGTGTTTGCTCTTGCTTCTCTAGTTCTTTTAATTGTGATGTTAGGGTGTAGATTTTAGATCTTTCCTGACTTCTCTTGTGGGCATTTAGTGCTATAAATTTCCCTCTACACACTGCTTTAAATGTGTCCCAGAGATTCTGGTATGTCGTGCCTTTGTTCTCATTGGTTTCAAAGAACATCTTTATTTCTGCCTTCATTTTGTTATGTACCCAGTAGTCATTCAGGAGCAGGTTGTTCAGTTTCCATGTAGCTGAGGAGTTTTGAATGAGTTTCTTAATCCTGAGTTCTAGTTTGATTGCACTGTGATCTGAGAGACAGTTTGTTATCATTTCTGTTCTTTTACATTTGCTGAGGAGTGCTTTACTTCCAACTCTGTGGTCAATTTTGGAATAAGTGCGGTGTGGTGCTGAGAAGAATGTATATTCTGTTGATTTGGGGTGGAGAGTTCTGTACATGTCTATTAGGTCTGCGCGGTGCAGAGCTGAATTCAATTTCTGTATATCCTTGTTAACTTTCTGTCTTGTTGATCTGTCTAATGTTGACAGTGGGGTGTTAAAGTCTCCCATTATTATTGTGTGGGAGTCTAAGTCTCTTTGTAGGTCTCTAAGAACTTGCTTTATGAATCTGGGTGCTCCTGTGTTGGGTGCATATATAGTTAGGAGAGTTAGCTCTTCTTGTTGCATTGATCCCTTTACCATTATGTAATGGCCTTCTTTGTCTCTTTTGATCTTTGTTGGTTTAAAGTCTGTTTTATCAGAGACTAGGATTGCAACCCCTGCTTTTTTTTTTCTTTCTATTTGCTTGGTAAATATTCCTCCATCCCTTTATTTTGAGCCTATGTGTGTCTTTGCACATGAGATGGGCACACCTGAATATAGCATGTCGATGGTCTTTACTCTTTGTCCAATTTGCCAGTCTGTGTCTTTTATTTGGGGCATTTAGTCCATTTACATTTAAGGTTAATATTGTTATGTGTGAATTTGATCCTGTCATTATGATACTAGCTGGTTATTTTGCCTGTTAGTTGACGCAGTTTCTTCATAGCATCAATGATCTTTACAGTTTGGTATGTTTTTGCAGTTGCTGGTACCAGTTTTACCTTTCTATATTTAGTGCTTCCTTCAGGAGCTCTTACAAGGCTGGCCTGGTGTTGAGAAAATCTCTCAGCATTTGCTTGTCTGTAAAGGATTTTATTTCTCCTTCACTTATGAAGCTTAGCTTGGCTGGATATGAAATTCTGGGTTGAAAGTTCTTTTCTTTAAGAATGTTGAATATTGGCCTCCACTCTCTTCTGGCTTGTAGGGTTTCTGCAGAGAGATCCGCTGATTGGCTTCCCTTTGTGGGTAACCAGACCTTTCTCTCTGGCTGCACTTAACATTTTTTCCTTCATTTCAACCTTGATGAATCTGATGTTTATGTGTCTTGGGGTTGCTCTTCTCGAGGAGTACCTTTGTGGTGTTCTCTGTGTTTCCTGAATTTGAATGTTGGCCTCTCTTGCTAGGTTGGGGAAGTTCTCCTGGGTAATATCGTTAAGAGTGTTTTCCAACATGATTGCATTCTCCCTGTCACTTTCAAGTACACCAATCAAATATAGATTTGCTCTTTTCACATAGTCCCATATTTCTCGGAGGCTTTGTTTGTTCCTTTCCATTCTTTTTTCTCCAATCTTGTCTTCACACTTTATTTGATTAAGTTGATCTTTAATCTCTTATATCCTTTCTTCTGCTTGATCAATTCAGCTGTTGATACTTGCATATGCTTCATGAAGTTCTCGCGCTTTGTTTTTCAGCTCCATCAGGTCATTTATGTTCTTCTCTAAACTGGTTATTCTAGTTAGCAATTCCTCTAACTTTTTTTCAAGGTTCTTAGCTTCCTTTCATTGGGTTAGAACACACTCCCTTAGATTGGAGGAGTTTGTTATTACCCACCTTCTGAAGCCTACTTCTGTCAATTTGTGAAACTCTTTCTCCTTCCAGTTTTGTTGCCTTACTGGTGAGGAGTTGAAATCCTTTGGAGGAGAAGAGGCATTCTTGTTTTTGGAATTTTCAGCCTTTTTGTCCTGGTTTCTCCCCATCTTCATGGATTTATCTACCTTTGGTGTTTGATGTTGGTGACCTTCAGATTGGGTTTCTGTATCTGGACATCTTTTTGTTGATGTTGATGCTATTCCTGTTTGTTAGTTTTCCTTCTAATAGTCAGGCCTCTCTGCTGCAGGTCTGCTGGAGTTTGCTGGAGGTCTGTTCCTGACCCTGTTTGCCTGGGTATCACCAATGGAGGCTGCAGAACAGCAAAGATTGCTGCCTGTTCCTTCCTCTGGAACTTTCATCCCAGAGGGGCACCTGCCAGATGCCAGCCAGAACTCTCCTGTATGAGGTGTTTGTCGGCCCCTGCTTGGAGGTGTCTCCCAGTCAGGAGACACGGGGGTCAGGGACCCACTTGAGGAGGCAGTCTGTCCCCTATCAGAGCTCGAACGTTGTACTGGGAGAGCTGCTGCTTTCTTCAGAGCCATCAGGCAGGGACGTTTATGTCTGCTGAAGCTGCCCCTTCCCCTAGGTGCTCTGTCCCAGGGAGATGGGTTTTATCTATAAGGCCCTGACTGGGGCTGCTGCCTTTCTTTCAGAGATGCCCTACCCAGAGTGGAGGAAACTAGAGAGGCAGTCTGGCTACAGCGGCTTTGCTGAGCTGTGGTGGGCTCCACCCAGTTCGAACTTCCTGGTGGCTTTGTTTACACTGTGAGGGAAAAACTACCTACACAAGCCTCATTAGTGGTGGATGCCCCTCCTCCCACCAAACTCTAGCATCCCAGGTTGACTTCACACTGCTGTGATGGCAGCAAGAATTTCAAGCCAGTGGATCTTAGCTTGCTGGGTTCCATGGGGGTGGGCTCCTCTGAGCTAAACCACTTGGCCCCCTGGCTTCAGCCCCCTTTCCAGGGGAGTGAACGGTTCTGTCTCACTGCATTCCAAGCACCCCGGGGTATGAAAAAAAATAATCCTGCAGCTAGTTTGGTGTCTGCCCAAACGGCCACCCAGTTTTAGGCTTGAAACCCAGGGCTCTGGTGGCATAGGCATTGGAGGGAATCTCCTGGTCTGTGGGTTGCGAAGACCATGGGAAAAGCATAGTATCTGGGCCTGAGTGCATCATTCCTCACGGCACAGTCCCTCATGGCTTCACTTGGCTAGGGGAGGGAGTTCCCCATCCCCTTGGACTTCCCAGGTGAGGCAACACCCCACCCTGCTTCGGCTCGCCCTCCGTGAGCTACACCCACTGTCTAACTAGTCCCAGTGAGATGAATGGGGTACCTTAGTTGAAAATGCAGAAATCACCCACCTTCTGTGTTGATCTCAGTGGGAGCTACGGACCAGAGCTGTTCCTATTTGGCCGTCTTGCTAGCTATCTCTTGATTTCTTTTTCAGGTTGTTTGCTGTTGGCATATAAAAATGCTGCCGATTTTTTTTTTTTTTTTTTTTTTTTTTTTTTTTTTTTTTTTTTTTGAGACGGAGTCTTGCTTGGTCTCCCAGGCTGGAATGTAGTGGCATGATCTCGGCTCACTGCAACCTTTGCCTCCCAGGTTCAAGTGATTCTCCTGCCTCACCCTCCTGAGTAGCTGGGACTACAGTTACATTCCACCTTGCCTGGCTAATTTTGTGTGTGTGTGTGTGTGTGTGTGTGTGTGTGTAGTAAAAATAGGGTTTCACCATGTTAGCCAGGATGGTCTTGATCTCCTGACCTCTTGATCTGCTCACTTCAGCCTCCCAAGATTTTTTTGTATGTTAATTTTTTTATCCTGCAACTTTACTGCATTTGTTTATTAGTTGTAATAGTTTTTTTTGTGAAGTCTTTAGGTTTCTCCAAATATAAGATCATATTATTTGCAAACAAAGATAATTTGACTTTTTCTTTTCCAATTTGAATACTCTTTATTTCTCTCTCAAGTCTGATTACTCCAGCTGGAACTTTCAGTACTATGTTAAATAATAGAGGTAAAAGTGGGTATCCTTATTACATTCCAGAACTTACGGGAAATACTTTCAGTTTTTTCCCTATTCAGTATGCTACTAGCTGTTGATCTTTCATATATAGCTCTTATTGTTTTGAGGTATGTTCCTTCAATGCCTACTTTCTTGAGGGTTTTGACCATTAAGGGATGTTGAATTTTATCAAATGATTTTTCAGCATCATTTGAAGTGGTCAATGGTTTTTGTCCTTCATTCTGTTGGTATGATCTATCTTGCTGATTGATACATGTAAATTGAACTATCCTGGTATCTCTGGGGTAAATCTCACTTTGGTCATGATGAATGATCTTTGTAATGTATTGTTGAATTAAGTTTGCTACTATTTTGTTGAGGATTTTTGTATCAGTTTCATCAGGGATATTGGCATACAGTTTTCTTTTTTTTAATGTGTCTCTATGTGGTTTTGGTATCGGGGTAATATTGGCCTTGTAGAATGAGTTTGGAAGTATTCCTTCCACCTCTATTTTCCAGAATAATTTGGATATGATAGGCATTAGTTCTCCTTTAACTGTCTGGTAAAATTCAACAGTGAATCCATTGGGTCCCAGGCTTTTCCTTTCCTGGAGACTCTTTAACATGACTTCAATCTCATTGCTTATTATTGGTCTGTTCAGGTTTGAGATTTTCTTCATGGTTCAAGCTTGGTAAGTTGTATGTGTGTAGGAATTTATCCATTTTTTCTAGGTTTTCAAGTTTATTGGAATACACTTGCTCATAGTAGTCTCTAACGATCCCTTTAATTTTTGCAATATCAGTTGTGTCTTTTTTTCCTCTATGATTTTTTTTTTGAGTCTTCTGGTTTTCTTCTTAGTCTGCCTAAAAGTTTGTCAATTTTGTTTACCATTTCAAATAACCAACTCTTCATTTCATTGATTTTGTGTTGTTTTTTGTGTCAAATTTATTTATTTCTGCTCTGATTCTTATTTCTTTTCTTCTACTACTTTTGGATTCAGTTTGCTCTTGCTTTTCTATTTCTTTAAGATGCATCATTAGGTTGTTTATTTGAAGATTTTCTACTTTGATGTAGGTGTTTATTGCTATAAACATTGCTCTTAGTATTGCTTTTGCTGTATCCCATAGGTTTTGGTATATTGTGTTTCCACTTTCATTTGTTTCAAGAATTTTTTTTAATTTCTTTTGTAATTTCTTCATTGGCCCACTGGTCATTCAGAAGCATATTGTTTAATTTTCATATGTTTTCAAAATCCCCAAAGTTTCAAACTTCCAAAGTTCCTCTTGTCATTGATTTCTAGTTTTTTTTCATTGTGGTCAGAGAAGATACTTAATATGATTTCAATTTTATGAATGTTTTAAGACTTGATTTTGGCCTAACATATGGTCTATTCTTGAGAATGATTGATGTATTGAGGAGAAGAATGTGTATTCTGCACATTGGTTGGATGAAATGAACTGTAAATATCTCTTAAGTCCATTTGGTCTATAGTTCAGATTAAATCAGATGTTTCTTTGTCGATTTTCTGTCCAATACTGAAGGTGGGTTGTTGAAGTCTCTAGCTAGCAATAAACTAACTCTCTCTCCTCCTCTTTCTCCGTCTCTCTCTCTCTCACTTTAGTAATATTTCCTTTATATATCTGGATGATCTAGCATTGGGTACATATGTTTTTACAATTGTTATATCCTCTTGCTGAATTAACCTGTGTATTATTTCTTGTCTCTTTTTATAGTTTTTGTCTTGAAATATATTTTTTTCTGACATAAGTATAGCTACTCATTCCTGGTTTTGGTTTCCATTTGTATGGAATATCTTTTTTCATCCTTTTATTTTTGGTCTTGCATGTCTTTATTGGTGAAGTGTATTTCTTGTAGGCAACAGATCATTAAGTCTTATTATTTTTATCCATTCAGCCACTGTCTTTTGATTGGAGAGTTTAGTCCATTTACATTCAATGTTATTATGGATAAGTAAGGGCTTACTGCTGCTATTTTGTTGTGTCCTGGTTGTTTTGTGGTTTCCTTCCTTTCTTCCTTCCTTCTTATCTTCCTTTTTGTGAAGGTGATTTTCTCTGGTAGTATGTTTTAATTTCTTGCTTTTTACTTTGTGTGTGTCTCTTATAGGTGTTTGGATTTTTTTTGACTTGAGAGTACCATGCAGGTTACAATTAACATCTTATGATCAATTATGTTAGACTGATAACAGTTTAACACTGATTGTGTAAACAAACAAATCAACTAACAAACGAGCAAAGAGAAAACTAATAAAAATCTACACTTTAACTTTATCCTCCCTGCTTTTTAACTTTTTCTTATTTCTATTTATATCTTATTGTACTGTGTCTTGAAAAGTTATTGTGGTTATTATTTTTTATTGATACATCTTTTAGTCTTTCTATTTAAGAGTAATTTACACACTACAGTTATAGTGTTATAATATTCTTTGCATATGTATACTATTACCAGTGGGTTTTGTACCTTCAGATATCATATTGCTCATTAACATGTTTTTTCCTTTCAGATTGAAGAACTCTGTTTAGCATGTCTTGTAGGACAGATCTGGTGTTGATGAAGTCCCTCAGCTTTTGTTTATCTGGGTAAGGCTTCATTTCTCCTTCATGTTTGAAGGATATTTTTGCTGGATATACTTTTTCTGTTGGGGTGCTGAAGAAGTCTCGCTTCATCAGCCAGGCTGGAGTGCAGTGGTGCAATCTTGGCTCACTGCAACCTCTGCCTCCTGGGTTCAAGCAATTCTCCTGCCTCAGCCTCCTGAGTAGCTGAGATTACAGGTGTCCATCACCACACCCAGCTAGTTTTTTGTATTTTTAGTAGAGATGGGGTTTCACCATGTTGGCCAGGCTGGTCTCAAACTCCTGACCTGAGGTGATCCACACACCTCAGCCTCCCAAAGTGTTGGGATCACAGGCATGAGCCAACGTGCCTGGTCTACTAAATTAGGATAAAAGGATTGTTTTTCCTTCAGCATTTTAAATATGTTATGCCACTCTCTCCTGGCCTTTAAGGCTTCCACTGAAAAGTCTGCTGCCAGCTGTATTGGAGCTCCTTTGTATGTTATTTGTTTTTTTTCTCTGCTGCTCTTAAGATCCTTTCTTTATCTTTGATCTTAGGGAGTTTGATTATTAAATGTCTTGATGTAGTCTTACTTAGATTAAATCTGCTTTGGGTACTGTAGCCTTCTTATGCTTGAATATTGATATATTTCTCTAGATTTGGGAAGTTCTCTTATTATCCACTTGAATAAACTTTCTACCCTGATCTCTCTCCCTTTCTACCTCCTCTATATGGCCAATGACTCTTAGATTTGCCTTTTTGAGGCTATTTCCTATATCTTGTAGGTGTGCTTTATTCTTGTTTATTTTGTCTCTTCTGACTGCGTATTTTCAAATAAATGTGTCTTCAAGATCACTTATTATTTCTTATGTTTGATCAACTCTGCTTTTGGAAGACTGTGATACATTTTTAGTATGTCAATAGAATTTTTCAGCTCCAGAACATCTGCTTGATTTTTAAAAATTATTTCAATGTCTTTGTTAAATTTATCTTATAGGATTCTGTTTCTTTCTTTCTTTGATTTATTTTATTTCTTTTCATCTTTTTTTTTTTTTTTTTTTTTTTTGTCTTGCAAATCTGTGACAGGAGTCTGAATTCCTTCACTGTGCTATCTTGAATTTTGTTGAGCTTGCTCAAAAGAGCTATTTTGGATTCTCTGTCTGAAAGGTCACATATCTCTGTCACTCTGGGATTGGTCTCTGGTGCCTTATTTAATTTGGTGAGGCCATGTTTTCCTAGATGGTCTTGCTGCTTGTGGATGTTTGTTGATGTCTGGGCATTGAAGAGCTAGATACTGATTGTAGTCTTCACAGTCTGGGTTTGTTTGCGCCCATCCTCCTTGAGAAGGCCTTCCAAGTATTAAAAGTGAATTGAGTGTTCTGATCTAAGTCTTTGGTCCCTGAAGCTGTATCTGCATTAGGGGGCACCCCAAGCACAGTAATAATGTAACTCTTGCAGAACCACCTTGGTGGTCTTAATTAAGATCTGAGATAATTTTCTGGATTACCAAGCAGAGTTTCTTGTTCTCTTCCCTTACTGTCTCCCAAACAAATGTTGTCTTTCTCTCTCTGCTAAGCTGCCTGGAGGCAGGAGAGGGGTGGCACAAGCACCCCTGTGGCCACCACCTCTGGGACTCTGCTGTGTCAGAACTGAAGCCAGCTCATCACTTGGTCTCACCCAGGCCCATGTGTTAACTCAAGGCCCAAGGGCTTTTCAGTCAGCAGGCCACCAATCCAACAAGACTTGTGTCCTTCCCTTCAGTGAGCTCTCCCTGGCCTACAACAGGTCCAGAAACACCATCTGGGAGTCAGGGCCTCTAGGCAGAAACATTAGAAATCTACTAGGTGCTCTATTTCACATAACTGAGCTGGCAAGAGACAAGGACCTTCCCACTCTTCACTCTCCTTTCCTCAAGCAGTAGTTTCTCCCTGTGGCCACCATTGCCTCAGGCCCATAGCGAGTACTGTGTGGCTACTGCCAATGTTCACTCAAGGCCAAAGGGCTCATCAGTCAACTTGTGTAAATATTGCCAGGCCTGGGTCTCTCCATTCAGGGCAGTGGGCTTACCTCTGGCCCAAGGCAGTCCAGAAATTCCATCCCAGAGCCAAGGTTTGGAAGTGGGGACCCTAGAAGGCTGCTTGGTGCTCTACCTCACTATGGTGAGCTGGTAGCCAAGTAATCTCTCATGATCCACCACCCTCCCCCACCTCATCCTTCTGAGTCTCCATTGTCTATCATTTCACACTCTATGTCCATGTGTACACATTATTTAGCTCCCACTTATAGGTGAGAACATGCCATATTTGGCTTTCAGTGTTTAGCTTGTTTTATCTAATGGCCTCCAGTGCCATCCATGTTGTTGCAAAAGACATGATTTCACTTTTTTAATGCTGAATGGTATTCCATTGTGTATATATACTACATTTTCTGTATCCAGTCTTCCATTGATGGACACTTAGGTTGGTTCCATATCTTCATTATTGCAAATAGTGCTGTGATAAACAGATATCTTTTTGATGTAATGATTTCTTTCCTTTGGATAGATACCCATTAGTGGATTGCTGGGTCAATGGTAGTTCTATTTTTAGTTCTTTGAGAAATTTCCATACTGTTTTCCATGGAGGTTGTACTAAGTTACATTCCCACCAACAGTTTCTAGGAGTTCCATTTTCTCCACATCCTCCTCAATATGTTACTTTTTTGTCTTTTTAATGATATCCATTCTGACTAGTGTAAGATGATGTTTCATTGTGGTTTTAATTTGTATTTATCTGATGATTAATAATGTTGAGCATTTATTTTAAGTCAAAATCTTTCCTTGGCTCCATTTATATTACACTTCACATTTCACTCGTAAAGCAAGTTGTGGCTCGCTTTACACCCATAGCTTGTTGAGTTCAGTCTTTCCTCTTAAATTCATTTCTATAATTTTTCTGAAAAAAAAAATTTTTCATTAGAGGTCAAAATTACAAAGAGTTTGGAATATCACAGTGTACCATAGCATTCTGGTGAATAGGCACTGCTACAAAGCACAGGCTTCCTTTGATTCTCTCAACTCCTATATTCCCTCTTACTTAGAGAACTGCAAGCTGTTCAGCATTTTTTACATGTTTGTTGGCAACCTATATGTCTTCTTTTGAGAAGTATCTGTTCATGTCTTTTGCCCATTTCTTAAATGGGGTTATTTGGTTTTTGCTTGTTGAATTGCTCTCAGGTACTATGCTCACTACTAGGGTGATGAGATCATTTGTACATCAAACCCCAGTGACATATGATTTACCCATGTAACCAACTGCACGTGTACTCCCTGAACCTAAAATAAAAGTCGAAATAATTAAAGTGTCCTATATGTTCTTCATGAGCATATTTTAATCCATTTAATTTTAAGATAAAATTATAACTTTAGATACTGTTTCCTCCACTGCTTTAAAAATGTATGTTTTTATACTATTTTTTCTTTTTCAAAAAACAAACTATTAGCTGCTCCTTCTACAAAATACTTATCCATAGTTTGTATTACATGCCTGGCATATTGCAAATGCTCCATAGGTATGTGAAGTGAATTAAAAAAAAAACAAAAACAAAAACAGGTACCAAAGTCTTCCACAGAAAGAATGTATTATGAAATGTTTTACCCTAAGATGTTATACATATTAAAATAAAAGTCACTTGAAGAAAGCATAAATAATGCATAGATAATAGGCAGATGGATGGAAATTTGACAGTAGGATGGTTTTCTCAGTGAATCCTAAACACTTGGAAGTCAAAATGAAGCATCTGGGCTCCAACAGAGGTTTGTAGACTACTACCCATAGCCAAATCTACTTCAATGCCTGTTTTTGTAAATAAAGTTTTATTGAAATGTAGCCCATTAGTTTACAGATTCTCTATGGCTTCTTTTGTTCTACAAAGGGAGAGTTGAGTAATTGCCACAGAAACCACATGGCCTGAAAGTATGAAGTATTTACTATCTGGTCCTTTAAAAAAAGAAATTGCCGGCCGGGCGCAGTGGCTCACGCCTCTAATCCCAACACTTTGGAAGGCCGAGGGGGGCAGATCACGAGGTCAGGAGACCGAGACCATCCTGGCTAACACAGTGAAACCCCGTCTCTACTAAAAATACAAAAACATTAGCCGGGCGTGGTGGCAGGCCCCTGTAGTCCCAGCTACTCGGGAGGGTGAGGCAGGAGAATGGCGTGAACCCAGGAGGTGGAGCTTACAGTGAGCAGAGATCGTTCCACTGCACTCCAGCATGGGCGACAGAGCCAGACTCCGTCTCAAAAAAGAAAAGAAAAGAAATTGCCACTCCTACTCCAACAAAAAGTCCCTTATTGCCAAAGACCAAACCTGCCTGAACTATTAGTCCCATCTAATAGTCCACATTTAATGTACTTATGTTTAATTGTCATTTTGCTCCCTAAATTTTTACATTTTATCTTCACCAAATGAGAATTGTTAGAGCTATTAAGAAGGGAATTAAATAAAGAGCAATTACATCATTCAGTATAAATAGAACTAGTAAAGAGAATCTTGAGAAAACAACAAATTTTATAATGCAAATTATATGCAAATTCAAGAATGCTAATGAAGTAAGTAATCTCAGTTGTCAAAGTACAATTTAATTAAGGATTAACAGGTGACCTTAAAAAGTTTACAGGTTCATAATTAGGACTTTAGAAATTATATCATTATTATATTCTCTGCTTTCTTATTCTTATATGGGGCAATCATAAATATTAATGAGCTCTTAACATTTTTACGTAGATTTTTTACCTGATTATGAAGGTAATATTTTATTATTTTTATATCTGCTGCAGAATATTTGCTTCTACTTAAAGGGCCTGGGCTAGACTTTTATTGTCCCCTTGGCATTATCTGCAAGTCAGATTCTCCCACTAAGCAAGCTCTCAGGAGACAACATAATGTTCCAAGACTCTCTTTAGGCCTGAGTAACAGAGGAACACATCACAGCATATGATTCAATTAATCATGATCTTTTCTAAAAAATAAAGCAATTCAAGTAATATAACACATATTATTAATATGCACTGTCATATCTAAATATGAATGAGATTTACACACATCTAAGTAGATTAAATAACTGACAATCATCATAATTTAGAATAATTGATAAAAATAGGAAAGAATAACAATACCAGAAAAGTATATTGACAAGATTATATATACTACTAATAATTAGGTTAGACAACTAATCAGTATTTATGACTCACTTCAGTTCACAAAGCCATCATGAGAAGTCTCTCTTAAATCTTGTGTACATGGTAGAAGGTATCCAATATCATGTTCACCCTCTTGAGCAGTCCAAAAATGTGGAGAAATGACAAATGGAAGACTAACAAGAGTAATAAACCTCACTCTATATATTAGTGATTCTGCAGGATCTTCACATAGTATTGAACAGCAGAAAACTCCACCTGAATATTAAACAGGCCAATTTAACATGCCTTTATTAGTCAGGGTTTTCTAGAGGGACAGAACTAATATGACAGATGTATATACGAAGCGGTGTTATTAAGGAGAGTTGACTCACACGATCACAAGGTGAAGTCCCACAATAGGCCATCTGCAAGTTGAGAAGCAAGAAAGCCAGTCCAAGTTCCAAAACCTCAAAAGTAGGGAGGCCAACAGTGCAGCTTTCAGTCTGTGGCTGGCGACTGAAGGCTCGAGAGCCCCAGGCAAACTACTGGTGCAAGAGTCCAAAAGCCAAAGAACTTGGAGTCTGATGTTTGAGAGCAGGAAGCATCTAGCACGGGAGAAAGATGAAGGCCAGAAGACTAAGCAAGTCCACTTCTTCCTTTTTCTGCCTGCTTTATTCTAGCCACGCTGGCAGCTGATTAGATTGTGCTCACCCACATTGAAGGTGGGTCTGCCTCTCCCAGTCCACTGACTCAAATTTTTTGTTGTTGTTGTTTTGTTTTGTTTTTTGAGATGGAGTTTTGCTCTTGTCGCCCAGGCTGGAGTACAATGGCTTGATCTCGGCTCACTGTAACCTCTGCCTCCCAGGTTCAAGTGATTCTCCTGCTTCAGCCTCCTGAGTAGCTGGGATTACAGGCGCCTGCTGCCATGGCCAGCTAATTTTTGTATTTTTAGTAGAGACGGGGTTTTACCATGTTAGTCAGGCTGGTCTCGAACTCCTGACCTCAAGTGATCCTCCCGCCTCAGCCTCCCAAAGTGCTGGGATAACAGGCATGAGCCACGGCACTCAGCCCACTGACTCAAATGTTAATCACCTTTGGCAACACCCTCACAGACACACCCAGGCACAATACCTTGCATCCTTCAATCCAGTCAAATGGACACTCAGTATTAACCATCACAATGCCCAAAACTGATCTCCTAATTCTTCCCCTCAAACCGTTTTTCCCACATGATTGTCCATCTCAGTCAATGGCAGCTTCAATGTTCAGGCTACTCAGGCCGAACACCCTGAGTCATCCTGGACTCCATTCCCTACCCTTTAGTCAATCTAACCTGGCAGATTTCCATACAAAACATATCCAGGACTGACTGACTACTTCCTACCATCTCCACCACTGTGTCGACGAAAAGAGTCAAACTCTGAAATATTTGAAGAGATTTATTCTAAGACAAATATGAGTGACCATGGCCCTTGACACAGCCCTCAGGAAGTCCTGAGAACATGTGCCCAAGGTGGTTGGGACGCAGCTTGGTTTTATACATTTTGAGAGGCATGAGACATCAATCAAATACATTTAAGAACTACATTGGTTTGGTCCAGAAAGGCAGAACAACTCAAAGTGGGGGCTTCTAGGCTATAGGTGAATTTAAACATTTTGTGGTTGGCAATTGGTTGAGTTTGTCTAAAGACCTGGGATAGATAGAAACAATGGAATGTTCAGGTTAAGATAAAGATTGTAGAGATCAAAGTTCTTTTGAAGTCTTAGAGTGGCTGCCCTTAGAGGCTATAGGTGACAAATGTTTCCTATTCAGATCTTAGTTAATCTGTTTAGGATTAGGAGGGTCTGGAAGAAAAAGATCTAGCTATGTTAATAGAGAGTCTTTACAGATGCAAATTTTCCCCCACAAAGAATAGCTCTGCAGGGCCATTTCAAAATACGGCAAAGAAACATGTTTTGATGTAAAATATTTTGATTTTCTTCTTTGTCTCGTAATGTTATGCCAGAGTCAGTTTGGAAAGTAAGTCATGATATATAGGATTAAATAAAACACATCTGATGAGAATTTATGATTTGTAGGGCATGACCCCCAGACCACTTTTTAGATAAGAATTTGGGCAAGATAAAAAAAAAATCAGAGTTTAATCCTCAACTGGAACTCTTGCAGGTGCTACCATCACTCTCTTTTATTATTGTACTAGCCTTCTGTCTGGTCTCATTGTTTCCACTCTTCCATGTTAAAGTTCTCCCTTCACATAGACTTAACATATGCATTTCAAATAAAGTCAGAATATGTTACTCTTTTGTATAAATTCCTTCAGTGCCTTTCCATCTCATTCAGAGTAAAAATCAAAGTCTTTTACATTTGTCTGCCCTCTCCTCAACATCTCTCTGCTCATATCTCCTACTACTGTCCTCCTGTTCTACTTCAGCCAAGCTGGCGTATTCCTTGCTGCCTTGTTTCTTAAACACACTATGCATGTTCTACTATGCACAATGGAACTGTTCCTTTGCTACTCCCTCCCAGGGACTTTCTCCCATTAGATAGCCACATAGCCCACTGCTTCACTTTCTTCATGTCTTTGCTCAAATACAGTTGGCTCTTGTAATTCCTATCAGTAATGCTCTATATGTTATGTTCAATAGAGCCTATAATAGTGCCTGAAACATTGAAGGGGCTCAAAGCATAATTGTTATGAATGATATTGGTTAGAGGGAAGAAGGGACTTTTCTATTAACTGTTCAGAAGCAGAAGATGTCATCAGGGAGGACTGCACCTCAGCATAGACTGAATCAGGAAACCTAGAGAACTAGGTACTCTCTCTCATAGAGAACTCTTACAGCGGCACTAAAGGAAGAATTGCCAAGATTAATTACATCTTACGAACAAAACAATTTTTATTATCAGACAAAAATATCCAAGGGAGAAAAAAAGATTGCCATGATCTGTATCCATATATCCACATACTACCATGCAAGGCCAGAGAAAGAAAGCTGGGGCTCCCCCATAATGTAACAGCTCCTGATTTTATGCAATTTCTACAGTATATGACAGAGGGCTGGGGCAAAGTGGAAAGAGAAAGATAAAACCCCCTGTGTAAAGCACAAGACAATGAATAAGCTTATGGCTTATTTAAGGCTTCGATGAAGTTTAGGCGTCCCCAACTAGGAAAGACTTGGATTCAGGTGAAGAGATGATTATTTATTCTATTTTAAATGCATGTTTTCTCTGCATCTTAGAATCTGTGCATCTTAATGTGCACATCACAGACCCTTAAGACAATTCAAAGATGCATCTTAGAGTCTGTGATGATTAATTTCAGGTGTCAACTTATTTCTGGGTATGTCTTGGAGGGTGTTGCAGAGGAGATTGGTGTGAGTATATGGACTGAGTGGGAAATATCTGCCCTTCTATTCTATCTGGGCCCCCAGACGACTGGATGTGGGTAAGCATCATCCAATCGACTGGAGGCCCAAATAGAATAGAAAGGGAAGAGAAAAGACAATTCTTTCTCTCTGTCTCTCTCTCTCTCCCCTCCTCCCCTGCAGCTGGAATGCTCTTCTCTTTCTCTTGGACATCAGCACTCCAGGCTCTCCAGCCTTTGGAATCAAGAACTTATACCAGCTGCTCCCTGGAGTGCTCATGTCTTCAGTCTCTGATTAACAATGACACCATCAGCTCCCCTAGTTCTAAGGCCTTTGGACTTGGAATGAGCCATGCAACCAGCATCCCAGGGTCTCCAGCTTGCAAATGGCATGTCATGGGAATTCTGGGTCTCCCTAATCATGTGAGCCAATTATCCTAATAAATCCCCTCTCATCCTTCTATCTGTCTATCTATCTATCTCCTATTGGTTCTGTTTCTCTGTAGAACCCTCAATAATAGACACTAGAATCTTACCTTTATGTCATCATTTTTTCTCTTACATAGTAAACAATGCTCTGTCTTAGAACCACTGGTGTCTTAGATTCAATGAAATATGTTTAAGTCAAATTTGGAAGTATCAGCCAGGGTCAGCCAGATGAATTGTGCTAACAGAAGCATTTGTCAGATGTTCACTGAGGCCCTCACTTGGGTATCTCGTCTGCATGAAAACAGAGGCTGTTTTCTTCAGGGCAAGAGTTTTTAAGTCTATCTGTAAAAGGAGCCACCTCCTTGAGCATATGCAGGCCAAATTCCCTAAATCCTCTGCTTCCTTGCAGCCTGAGACCAGAATAAGCATTTTGGTAGCAGGTCTTGAAGAAGCCATCCTCACAGGGTTAACAAGAATTCTGGACATAAATTGAGTTATATTTAAGCATTAATCAGGCTGCACTTTGACTCACTTCCTTGAAACCGAAAGTCCCCATAGCACTAGATACAGACCATTTGCATCCCCATTGTTCCTATAGATAAAATTTCTGACATTAGTCATAAGGCTTTTGTTTAAGATAGATAGGATCTCCATATTAGAATCCCAAGATCTTTGTTTAAGAATTGCTTAAGCAGATCCTGACTTTCAAGGGCACAGCTGACACCAACCAGTTCAAAGATCCACCACAACGGAACCGAATCAGCATGAGACTACGGTTTTTTCATCTCCCTGCCCCATGACTTCACCCTGCACTCTTCAGCCAATCAGTGATCTCCACATTTAGATCCACTCTGAAACTCTTAAAAACCTTAGTCGCAAGCTCCATTGAGAAATGAATTTGAGGTTTCTTCTTGTCTCCTTGTTCAGCGGCCCCACAATTAAACCTCTTTCTCTGCTGCAACCTGGCATTTTGACATATTAACTTGCTGCACACATCTACCAAGTTTCTAATACCACCAAGAATAATAATTTCCAGACACCCACGTTTGTTAAACATTCAGCAACTAAAGCTCCTTGGCATGTGGATATCATCTTGGTTCCTTCTCATCATTCAAACTCACATATTAGAGAGATTATTTAATCATTATTTCATTGACATTTTATTTCATTTTATATTTATTTTTAGAGATGAAGTCTTGCTTTGTCACCCAGGTTGGAGTGCAGTGGCATGATCATAGCTCACTGAAACCTCAAACTCCTGTGCTCCAAGGATCCTCCAGCATCAGTCTCTCAAGTAGCTGGGATTTTATGTATAGGCAACTTTGCTCAGAGACTTTATTAACATTTTAACCGGCATTCCTTTTGAAGATACAGAAATGCATCCAGGAGGGTGCTCCAGTGACACTGTCAAGATCATGAAATAGAACCTTCCAGTGCACATCCTCTTGCAGAAACATTTAAACAACTATTCACACACTAAAATACTTACACAAGAACTAGAGAAACCAGGTGAGAGACAACAGCACCTGGGTAGAGAACAGAAATAAGAAATGCATTCAGAGTTAAGATCAGTAATACCTTCCATATCTAGTATCTTAAATATTTATCTTCTATATTTAGAATATTCTGAGCTGTTAATTTTTAGTTTTGGCTTACAATATTCCCAGATTTAGTAGAAAAGTGCTGCCTATTAAAAGCAATGGGGCTTATACAACTTTTTGCTTTTAATAAGATGCTGAGATAATATCCCACACAGACTAGTAGCATCTGTTTTCAGAAAACAACATTTTTATGAGCATTAGGACAAATAACTAATGCACGTGGGGCTTAAAACCTAGATGGTGGGTTGATAGGTGCAGCAAACCACCATGGTACATGTATACCTATGTAACAAACCTACAAGTTCTGCACTTGTATCCCAGAACTTAAAGTAAAATTGAAAAAAAAAAAAAAAAAAGGAAGAAAACCTCATTGTTACTCTGGTGTCTCTCAATATTTTCAAAACTGCTTTAAATGGAACCTCACTGGGAAAGCAGCTGCAAAAGCAACAACCCTGAGTGTTAATGAGCCTGGGCAAGCTGAAGCAGAATCCATGAGGAACTATCCTCTCCCAGACTAACGCCGCCCTCCTGTATTTTGGCAGAGTACTCAAGCACAGCAGCAATTAAGAGATCATTGAAGAGGCTGGATACAAAAGTCGAAATCCTGGGTACTAAATGTAAGTACAGCTGTCACCATTGCAGGACATGAAGTGAGGAAATAGGGAGGAAACAGGATGTCCTACAGAATATTCAGAGGGCACTTTACACTCACTCAATTTGCTCTCAAATAAAGGATAACAGCTTCATCTTCTCAACAAATGTTCTAAATGGTAACGAAGGCTACCAATTGTAAATGAATGCTGGCATTATAACTTCTTTGAGTTATCTCATGAGGCATTTTTTTTAAGCCTGGGTTGGATGACGCATCTTATCAGAGCCTCTAGAGTGAAGCAACGAAACTTATTAGGAAAAAAAAAAAAATGCCTCATGAAAAAACAAAAGACTCCAAACTGAAGAATGTATTTATTTGGTGGTTATTCTACGATGTTTTGTAAAATAGCTCATCCTCCACCATACAGCAATTTATTCCATTTAAAAATGGATATGGAGTGAGCCGAGATCGCGCCACTGCACTCCATCCTGGGAGACAGAGCGAGACTCCGTCTCACAAAAAAAAAAAAAAAAAAAAAAAAAAAAAAAAAAAAAAAAAAAAAAAAAAACAATGGATATGGATATTCACCTTTTTCAGGAGTAATCTAAAAATAAATATTGAAAGACAAAAATGAGGATCAATAATGTTTTTCCTCTTTCTTATCCCCTTCCCCAAACCTCTCTTACCCTCTTTGGAGAGACTAATGTCGTTTGTGGGTCTTTTTTTTTAATAAGAGCATTTGCCATTTATTTGATAACCCACTTCTTTCCCCCATTTCATTCCTTTTGAAATTGTTATAAGAAAGCAATTTCTTACTATTCACTTGAGGAAATTAGTTTGGGATCAAAACAGTTCTGAGGTCTGACCATGTAGTTCAGGTTTCCTATCGTGGCCTTTCTAGATAACGTCCACATAAGTCCAGACAACCAATTAGATGGCAATCTTTTTCCTCATTTTTCAGTAAAAGCCGAGACTTCTGATTCACTAGTTATGGAATTTTTCCTTGAATCTCAGTGATGCAAAAATCCTATAGTACTTAATATGACACTTCTATTAACATAGTGGTAACAAACACTGTTTCTAAACTTTCCTATTCAGGAAAATCAGATTGTCTTCTAAACAAATTCTCTCTCAAAGCCTTCAACATTCTAACCCAATTAAGACAGAATACAGCAAATTACCTCTACTAACGCCCAAGTCTGGCACTTCAATTTTTTTTCCACCTCCTTTAGCCCTCCACTGCCATTTTCAAACCTACTAATAGAATACTATCAAGTTAGGGTTCTTAGCTTGATAACATGCAGAAGGGGCTTTGGCTCCCTAGAGATCATTTGAAAACTTTATAATAAACATACACTGTATGTTCACGTCTGTGTGTGTGGTTGTGTTTTTAATATACAATATTTAAATTCTATGTTTGATAAACTATCATTTAATTTTGTTCTTTAGAAAATATAAATTAATTGGCTTTTGTGTAAGGAATTATATTTCATAAGATTTTCAAGCACCACTAATGTATTCTGCAAACTGATTAAAACCTGACCAAATCCAACCATGGTCATTGGTAATTATATATCCCGTTTAACAGTCAGAGTTTTATCGTCAGTTATGTGGCCCTCGTGCCAAGAAAACCTATTTGTAGATTTACATAACTGGGCCAACAGGAGACCTATATAAGTGTATAATTTTACAAAACTTCAGCCCCCAGAGTCACTTGTAACTGTCCATCTATAAACAAATATAGCCCTTTAAGCAATGACGTTGTAACTTTCCAGCTAGCACCTCACAGAGCTGAATAATGATATTTCATTGCTATAAGCATTTTTCAGCAAGTTAGCTTCTAAAGCCAAGCTGGGTTTTGAAAGGCTTTTTTTTTTTATGCAATGGCATTTTTGAGCTCCTAAGCATCAATAATTTTGAGTGCAATTAACTGGAGGTTGCACAAGATTTTGGGGAAAATGTGCAAATAGGAGAAAATAATGTCTTTACTTTCAAGCACAGGGACTAATTCCAGCTTAAAGGAGTAATGCAGTCCAAAATATAAAACAAAGACAAAAAAAAAAACACTAATGAATAAGACATGAAATAATGACTAGATGATTTTAATGGCTCTTTACTGAGTGACATTTGAAAAACAATTGATCAACCCTCTATTTCACTTTGGTTGAATAAATATAGCTTGTATTTTTATTAAGGAAAAGCACCATAACCACATCACTCCAAATTATAATTAAGTGATTGGTTATCTAGTTAGAAGTTCATATGTCTCCTATTTTTAATAAATCTTCAAGTCTTCATTTAATGCAGTACGCATCCTGGACCTTCGGAAAACAATCACCCAGTGTTTAAAAAAAAATGTTTAACTCTTTTCACTGTCTCTGAACAAGGAGCTGAAAATCCAAGCTTCTGTTCATGTTCTGCTACCTGCAGTCTGGATAAACTTACAGCTATTAAATTTTTATAAGCTAGTGTGTGCTGATATGTAAAATAGGGATAATTTTGCCTTTCACAGAGTTTTGGTGAATATAAAATAGAATAATGAAAATGTGTTTGAAAATAAATAGAAACTGCTATATCAAGGAAAATTATTATTTGTTATAATTATATGCATAATTTTACTTAACATAATTATTACATAATTATTATAGTTATAATTATATAATTAATTATATGTAATAAATCACATACAACTCTTTGAATATATGCCTAAGTGTCATTCAAATTCATCATTATCTAAAGCAAATGTCAAATTTTGCCTCAGCCACTAGAGTGAAATAGATACATCCTGGATCTTCCACCTAAAGTCTTGCTAGTCAAAGGAGAAGAGGAGTAGATTTAGGTACATTACTATTATGTTTTTTAAAGGTATTTGCACTTTCAAAATTAGATGACAAGATGAATAAATGTAAATTTTATGTGATGTATTTAATATCAACTAAATAATCACAGGTAGACAGAAAGACCACTTAGGAAGCACAAGTCTGTGACTTTCATATAAGGATCGACATCTTGACTGCATCGCTTTCTTCATTTCACTTATCCTTTTAGTCAATGGATATCCTAATATATACCAAATATCCTAAATATACCTTAAATATGTCTATCTCTCTTTATCCATTTGAACACTGCTACTATTCCTATTCCCATTCAGTATACTATCACACAACAAGGTAGAGATACTCAACCATTACAAAGTAAGAAAACCAACATTTCCCGAATTTTGTTACAGTCTCCCATCAGTTCTAAAAGCATGAATTAAAAATCCTGTAATTACAGAGCACTGTACTAGTTTGACTCAATTAGAGTTGTTTGGAATGATTCGTCTTCTTCAGATTATCACAAACCCATACCAAGTTGTATTTCAAGATTACACAGGATATTAAGACTTAATAATGGGTATTTAAGGACCAGCAGAGCAATCTTTATTTATAAAAAATAATACTATCACCATAACGTTGCGTATTATTTGCAGTATTGGCATTATCTTTCATAAACACTAACTCAATAAACTCTCACTAATCACCAACTAAATACAGAAGAAAATATATTTGGTTCTCTTCTCCAGATCATCCTAGCCACTCCCCATTTCCACATTCTATATTTTAAGCACATAGAAAATGTTTCAGTTTTCAAATGTGCCATTTTCTTTCTCACTGCAAAGTGTTTTTCAAACGCTGATGCCTTTCCCGGGACATTCTTTGCCCAGACTGTCTTCCTTCAATTCCCTTTAATTTAATTTAATGTTTCTTTTTTTTTTTTTTTTGTTTAACAGATGGGATCTCACTATGTTACCCAAGCTGGTCTTAAACTGCTGGGTCCAAGTGATCCTCCTGCCTCAGCCTCTCAATTTGCTGGGATTACAGGCATGATCCATGCATAGTCAATGTTTCTTAAAGTCTCTCTGGGAAGGAAGTCTCACCTGAGTATTCTAGATACAAGTGCCCTTGATAAAGGTTTACATTATATCCTCTTACTTCTCCCAACAGAGTGATTGACGGAACTGTTATAATAACTTAATTCATTTCTTCTACATTGACAGAACTGTTATAATAACTTGATTCATTTCTTCCCCGTTGTACTGTAAGCTTCATGAAAGTAGGACTGTGTCATTCTTGCTCATTGTTTTATCTTAAGCATGTAATACCATTTCTGTTATCCATTAGCAGCTCACAGTATTTGTTGAATTAATTAAGGCTGCAGAGCTCCACATCTACATCTTGTGTGAATCTTTCCTATCTTTTGAGCCCTTATCTATCTCCATCAGATCACGTTAATATGTCTACCCCCAAGTTTTTATTTTACCTGTCCTTGTTACTTGTTAATGGTATAATAGCTTCTAGCCTCTTGTATCAATCAGTATGCTTAGTTACAAGCAGTAAAAATTCTCACTCTATTAAATATTTTTAGTAACTCACAGAATCTCCAGATGAGCCCAGCAATTAGTCATAGAGACTTCCCCACCAGGGAAATGCCCAAATTTGTATCACAAAACTGGTCTTATGAAAACAACATGATGACCACCTGTGGATACAGACACCTTAAAACCTCCAATGCTGCAATGCCAGCCACTGGGTGCTCCTGCTACACCCCTTACTACTGTTGCCTGTTGCTTCTGGAAAGTGAATTCAGAAGTGGCCACCACCTTGCTTCACCAGAACGCATTTTGAGTGGTTCCTCCTTTATCTGAGGATATATACCTGCTTTTCAGAGCTAAGTCAAGGGTCATGCCTACACAGACACAAGGAAGGCTAAGAAGGGAGGTTCTCTAGTGAGAGGTAGATGCAGTCTCCCAAGTTACAAGAAGCTTCAAATATTGGGGTTAGGGTGAGGTAAAAAGGGGAAATGTCTACTATATCCCCATACAATTACTTTAAGAGTTTAGATGGATAAATGGGCAAAAATCCTCTTATTGCTGTATTATATCTGTCAAAGCACCCAGAACAATGTTCTGTATATAATAAAACATAAATGACTAATATTCTAATACAGTAGCAGAACTTCAATAAAAAATAAACAAAATCAAACAATGCCACAGAGAAGAGCTCCAAAAATCCCAGTTGTAAGCAGAGTCCAAATATTACCACAGTCCCTGTAACCTTCTTATTTGTGCTACACCATCTGTGACATTACAAAAATCTAAGCCTACTTAAATGTGGTACAAAATATGTGAAGCAAATTCTCCTTTCAGTAGCTAGCAGTTGCTTGACCGCTTAGCAACATGGAATAATGGAGTGATTAAGGGACTTCATAAAGAATATTGTAGAGCTAAACGGTATTAGGAAGAAGACATCATGTGGCATGCAGAATGCAACCCTTAATAGTAGATTCTCAGACAGCTGGTCACCAGCACCACTGTGAGGAATGACTGGCAAACAGAAGTTCTCTCTTAAATGCAGGCATTCCACCAATGCAGCAATGAAAGACAGATTGAAAACAGACTATATGATATTTGAGTAGGGAAACAGTTATCTTGTTTCCTTCTGTTAGAGCAATTATTTGAATTAGAGAATACTTAGTAGACTTTGAAACTTCATTTCACAAAGTCAGAGCTAATAAAGATACACTGACATGGTATTATTTAGGTGAACAAAAAAGATAGATTTTTATTTTGTGCTAGAAATATTGAAGCGCCCATATTTGAATGAGCTTCCTGCAGCAGGCTATAACCAGGCCAGATGAAGAACAATTATATGACTAGCTTGCTTTTTACTTCTAAGCTTGGATATAAGATTTAATCTGTGCAGAAGCAATTTCAAAAAGTACACATGAAAGAGATTACTATGGCTTTTCTTTTCACACGCAAATCTGTTCAATAAAATCCTAATATCTAGTATCTGGTAAACATTCAGAAAAAATACAAAAAGAAAAGCTCAAAAAAGAAAAAGAACCGTCTATTTAATGGTTTACCCTGTGGTGACAGGATTTCATACACAGCTTTCATAGAATAAAAGACCTGAATAGTGTTGACTAAGACCCTGGAGAAATCTTTCAGTTCTTTTCTTCACATCTTTTTGGAAATGTTTATGATTTCAAGTCATGCCCAAAAAGACAACTATCAAAAATGTTTTTCAAAATGTCTACAATAGGAAAATTCAGTGTCATTCAGTAATGTTTGCTTTGGTCCTGATCAAAATACTAGATTGGAAAAAATGTAGGGATAAATTAAACAACTGAAAGGTGTGGCTCCCCACAACTTGCACATGCCTTAACCTAAAAATATTCCTTTAAATAAAAAGAAGATACAAATAAATACTTTCAAAATCATGCTCTTTTTACAATAATGACAACATTGAATATCCTTTATGCCCGTAAATGGCAGAGACTACTAACAATCCTCTGGAATCCATTTTACTTTCATTCTTTAGGGCTCCTATTCTCACAGGCACTAATTTTTACCTAAACACGTAGCCATTGGTCATAAAAGGAGCATTTCTCAAGCTCCCTCACAGCTGGGCATGGCCACATGACTAAGTATCAGACAATGGAACAGAAGCAGAATGTTTCAGAGCAGCTTCAAGGAACCTTACTTAAACGACAGCCAGTGCAGGCCCTTTTGACCCTTTTTGACCTTGTCCCTTTCTCGTCCCACCATTTGGAATTTACATGTGCTGATCACCATTTCGAACCAAGGAGAAAAAGCCCATTCTCTAGGTGGCAAAGGGGAAATCTAGAAGGAAACTGATTCTTTGTCCTATCTGCTCTGAACTTTTACAGGGGAGAGGCCAATCTTTCTGTTTAAATGAGTGCTATTGTGGGTCTGAATTACTTAAAGGCAAACCTAAGTCTTTATACACACACACACTGATACAATGTGTGCAGCAGCTGCTACTAGCAGCCTACTCAATATCCCTTCTCCTCTTGTTTCATAATAAAAAAGAATCACAATTATTTTGCAGAAACAATTTTCCTAGAACTCTGAAAAAGATCGTAATTGGCCAACTATATTCATGTCATTTCCATCATCATTCCAATATGCCACATATTCACTTTCTCAGCCTTCTTGGCACAAATTTGCCAAAGGAGTCAGGTCTGACCAAGGGGTAGAGAAGATTGTGGAATTATTTTTCTCCTTGATGAAAGGAAGTGTCTTTTCTTCATTTAGTCATTTCCTACTACCTGCAATGCCCTTGTACAAAGATGTGGCACTTGGGGCTGTGGCAGCCATCTTATAACCACAAGACAAGAAACTTCCTGGGAAAACAGGCAACAGGTAAGAAGTAGCAGGGGGAAGGGGGCTGGGTCCTACAGCCCTCAGCCATCCCACCAACCCTGGGATCACTGATCTTCAGGCTTCTTGATTATGTGACATAAGAAAAGGTTTTAAATCATTAAGTCACCATTAGTCATATATTCAATTACAGCAGGAAGCATCTTCTAACTAATATATTTTAATACATCTGTATGAAAAAAATGTAAAGTGACCTGTAGAGATTGAGATAACAAGTGGACTAACTTTTATATGCTTTGTAATGATAGGATTTGTTCACAGCAAATATAAATTACATTGTAATAAAAATAATAATTTTATTAAAAAGAATAAAGTCACAGTACTTCTTTAAATATTTGTTTAAATATCTTTGGTATGTTGCTTGAAATACTCTGTTTAAATTATCTTTATAGTTGAATTACATATTTGGATACAATGTACACTATTCAGGCGATGGGTACACTAAAAGCCTAGACTTCACCACTATCAAATCCATCCATGAAACTAAAAGCCACTTGTACCTCTAAATCTATTGAAGTTTTTAAAAATTATCTTTATAATTGAAAATAAGCATTTTTGCATGTTTTATTCTCATAGGTACTGTATCTTAACTCACAATCATTTTGTTAATAAATATTGATTTAATACATGGGTTATTTTATTTTATATTTTAATACTTACAAGTTTTGAAATAAAATCCATGTTACAGAGAGTATATTTTATGACTACCTACTTAAAAATATATATTAGCAAAAATAAGTACAAGATTCAAGACATACAGGTAAGAAATTAGGAAATCTAAGTTAATGGTTCAAAGAGAGGAAGAAAGTGTCTGAAATACAGCCTTTCTAGGGTAAGAAATAGTACAAAAGTAAGATAAAAGTAAAATACCTACAAAAGTAGATAAAAAAATTTATCTTACCCTACAAAAGTGAGATAAAATTGTGGTACTATAGATTATATTAGGGTGAGGCAGGAAGTAGAAGGTAGCCAGGAATGGAAAAGGGAAGAGAGAACAGTCTATACTTGCTTATAAGTACCTGGTTTAAGCCAGAAGAAAGCAAACTGATCAATAGCTAACTAAAATATCGAGAAGAATGAGAGCCAAAAACAGATAAAATTGTGCATGAGGATTAAGAAGAGAAACTGGAGAGGTGGTAAGAAATAGATATGAGATAGCCTGATGTTGTTAGAGTATGCAGATAGCCAGACATGAGCAGGAGGGGGACCACTTGAGAAAGGAAAGGTCTGGAGAGTCTCAGACCCAAGGGACCACCCAAAATTTTCATAGCAATAGAATCTCTAATGCTGGAGGGGGTGGGCAAGAAGGAGAGGAAGTACCTAGGCAGAAAGAAATGCCCTGGAATTCCTTTTAAGATGCCCCAGTAATCATTCACTCTGCAGTGAAAATGTCACAATGTCAGTAGGTACATGCTGATAAGGACAGAAAGAGGGCAAAAGGGGACATTCCTAAGAGGTACACTGGTGCCACAAGTACACAGGAGAGCAAGGGAGGACATTCCTAAGAGATATTCAGGTGCAATAGATAGATATTTGACTGCCATACAACCTTCCTGGAGTGGCAGTAATGAGCAGGGATGCCATTAAGCAAGATTCATATTGATCACCAACTTGTGCATGGGTATTAACAAACATATTGAAGAATCCCACCAGCATAGGCAGGAAAAAAAGTGGAGACTTAAAGCAGAAGCAGGAAAAGTAGACAAAGGAAAAAGGTGGAGACTTACTTAAGACAGAAGTGGGAACTTGAAAGGGAGCTCTACATGTTAAAACTCACAGAACAGGACCCTCGAAGATGTTTTCCTGCAGGATCAGCCCACTCTTGTCTGGGAGAATACTTACTTTGTCCTACAACAAGCTCTTTCTCCCTATTTCCTTTCATTAAAGCTTTCTCTCATCTTTAAATCTTCTCTTGCCTGAAATCTTTCTCCCAAGTTGACAAGAACTGGGAACTTTCACTAACAACGTGAGGCAATGTTCAGAGAAGTCTAAGAGCAGAACAGGAATTAATTACACAAATATGACCCATCTAACACATTCATGTCTGTGCATCTTATTGCACCTCAAAAAACTGGGAGCACAGTTTAGTAAATTTAATTTTTAAATAACTTATACATGTGCAGTGTGTAAAATCCAAAAAGTGCAAAAGGGTAGAAAGTAAAATATAAGTCCTTATATTAGTCCATTCAAGAAATACCTGAAACTGGGCATTTTATAAAGAAAAGAGGTTTAATTGGCTCATGGTCCCACAGGCTGTACTGGAAACATGTCTGGGGAGGCCTCAGGAAACTTACAATTATGGCAGAAGAGGAAGGAGGCATCTCTTACATGGCTGAAACAGGAGGAAGAGCACGGGGGAGGTGCCACACATTTCACACTTTTAAACAACCAGATCTCATGAGAACTCACTATGACAAGAACAGCAAGGGGGAAGTCCACCCCCATGATCCAGTAACCTCCCACCAGCCCCCTCCTCCAACACTGAGGATTACAATTTGACATGAGATTTGGGTAGTTACACAGATTCAAACCATATCATTCTGCCCCTGGCCCCTATCAAATCTCATGTCCTTCTCACACAGCAAAATACAATCAACCTTTCCCAGTGATCCCCTAAGTCTTAACTCATTCCAGCATTAACTCAAAAGTTCACAGTCCAAAGTCTCATCTGAGACAAGGCAAGTCTCTTCTCCATATGAACCTATAAAATCGAAAACAAGTTAGTTACTTCCAAGATACAATGAGAGTACAGGCATTGGCTAAATACTCCTGTCCCAAAAGGGAGAAATCAGCCAAAATGAAAGGGCTACAGGCCCCATGCAAGTCCAAAACCTGGCAAGGCAGTCATTAAATCTTAAAGGTCCAAAATAATTTCCTTTGACTTCATGTCTCACATCCAGACCACACTGATGCAAGAGGTGGTCTCCCAAAACCTTGGACAGCTACACCCCTGTGGCTCTGCAGAGCACAGCCCCTACAGCTGCTTTCACAACTGGTACTGAGTGCCTGTGGCTTTTCCAGGTGCACAATGCAAGCTGTCAGGGGATCTACCATTCTGGGGTCTGGAGAACAGTGACCTTCTGCTCACAGCTCCACTAGGCAGTGCTCCACTGGGGACTCTGTGTGGGGGTTCCAATGCCACATTTCCCCTCCATGCTGCCTTAGTAGAGGTTCTCCATGAGCACTCTGCCCCTGCAGCAGACTTCTGCCTGGACATCCAGGCATTTCCATATATCTTCTGAAATTTAGGCAGAGGCTCCCAAGCCTCAACTCTTGCCCTCTGGGCACACACAAGCTTAATACCACATTGAAGCCACCAATGTTTATGGCTTACACCCTCTGAAGCAGCAGCCTGAGACATATCTGGGGCCCTTTTAGCCACAGCTGGAGCTGGCATGTCTAGGACGCAGAGATCAGTGTCCCGAGGTTGCACAGGGGAGCAGGGACCTGGGCCTGGCCCATGAAACCATTCTTTCCTCCTATGCCTCCAGGCCTGTGAATGGGAGGGGCTGCTGTGAAGTTCTCTGAAATGCCTTTGAGGCATTTTCCCCATTGTCTTGGCTATTAACATTGCACTCCTCTTTACTTATGCAAATTTCTGCCACTGGTTTGAATTCCTCTCCAGAAAATGGGTTTTTCTCTTCCACCTAAAGAAGAGGCTGCAATTTTCTAAACTTTTATGCTCTGCTTCCCTTTTAAATATAAGTTCCAGATTCAGATCATCTCTCTTCACATGCATATGACCATATGCTGTTAGAAACGGCCAGGCCAAATCTTGAACACTTTGCTGCTTAGAAATTTCTTCTGTCAGATACCCTAAATCATCACTCTCAAATTCAAAGTTTGACAGGTCCCTGGAGCAGAGGCACACTGCTGCCAGTCTCTTTGCTAAAGCATAACAAGAGTGACTTTTACTCTAGCTCCCAACAAGTTCCTCATCTCGGAGACCACATCAGCCTGGACTTCACTATCCATATCACTATCAGCATTTCAGTCACAACCATTCAAAAAGTCTCTAGAAACTTCCTTCATCTTTCTATCTTTTTCGGAGCCCTCCAAACTGTTCCAACCTCCGCCTATTACCCAGTTCCAAAGCTGTTTCCACGTTTTCAGGTATCTTTATAGTGACACCTTACTCCTGGTACCAATTTTCTTTGTTAATCCATTGTCACACTGCAGTGAAGAAAAACCTGAAACTGAGTAATTTATAAAGAAAAGTGATTTAATTGGCTCATGGTTCTGTAGGCTTTATAGGAAGCCTGGATGGGGAGGCATCAGGAAACTTATAATTATGGCAGAAGGCAAAGAGGAAGGAGGAACATGTTACATGGCTAGAGCAGGAGGAGGAAAGGGATGTGCCACACACTTTCAAACTTTTAAGTGAGATTTCATGAGAACTCAATATTATGAGAACAGCAAGGGGGAAGTCCACCTCCATAATTCAGTCACCTCCCACCAGGCCCCTCCTCCACTGAGGATTATAATTCAACATGAGGTTTGGGTGGGGACGCAAATTCAAACTACGTTAGTCCTCTTCCCTTCCTGTCTCAAAGCCACCTAGGTGTTTTCCTAGCAGCAACAACCAGTACTAGTTTCTTGTGTCTATCAAGAAATACTCTTAAGGACACAACTGGGGGCAGTGGGGGAGGGGAACAGAAATTTTTAGAATTGGAATTTGGAGTAAGATTTAAACAAATTAACAATTATTTGTAGTTCATGAATTGGAAGACTTAATATTAAGATGATGATACTCCCAAATTGATGTATTGATCTACAAGTTCAATACAATCCGAGTCAAAAATCTCAGCTGCTTTTTTTTTTTTTTTTTTTTTGCAAAAATTGACAAGCTGATCCTAAAATTCACATGGAATTGCAAAGGGACACAAAATAGCCAAAACAGTCTTGAAATGAAGAACAAAGTTGGAGACCTCACACTGATTTCAAAGCTTACTACAAAGCTATTGTAATTAAAACCAGAGCTATTGTAATTAAAATGTGGCATTTGTCTAAAGGTAGACATATCAATGAACTATAATCAGGAATTCAGAAATAAATCCTTACATTTACATTCAAGGGATTTTCTAAAACGATGCCAAGGCAAGTAAAATAGACATGAGGATCCTTTTGGAGAAACGAAAATATTCTAAAATTGCGAGGATAGTTGCATAGCTCTGTGGCATTACTAAAATTCATTGAATTGTACACTTGTAATTGTTAAATATTTTGGTATGTATGTTGTACCTCAAATAAAGGTGTTTAAAAATAAAAACATAATTTGTTTTATTTAAGTATTAGACATTAAATTACATTTTAATCTTATGTTTAAAATTTTAAAGAGTGCATGTTTAATGATATTGTTGACACCTGTGAAAATAATAAGGGTCTATTATTTTAGAGACAGAAAGTGAGAAAAGATGATCAGTTATGACATTGAAGCCATTTAGGTAATGGGATTAGTGCCTTATAAAAAAGGCCTTAGGGAGCTTATTAGCACTTTCCCTCTTCTGCCATGTGAGGATGCAGAAAGAAGGTGATATCTATAAGGAACAGGTCCATACAGGACACCACATCTGCTGGTGCCTTGATCTTGGACTTCCCAGTCTCCAGAACTGTAAGCAATAAATTCTGATTATAAATTACCAGTCAAAGGTATGTTGTTATAGCAGCCTAAATGGACTAAGGCACTCATTAAATATTAAATATATTACTCATTAAAGTAATATATTCATTTCTGCTTTTCTCAGCTAGTGTGATGTGCAGAATTTGTGAATATCTAGAGAGAACAATCAAGATGTTACTAGAATTGGAAAATGATTTATCATTGGAAGCATGATTGCATCTTGCTTCAAGCAAAATTAGTGGTCTATATCCCAGAGTCAATTTAGGCATATTTTGTGAAGGAATTTTTTTTATTCATTTAAATTGTGATTTTATTTCAAAAACTGATTTATCCTGTAAGGAATTATCTACAGTAATTTTTCTGTGTGTATCCACTCTATGATAAGAAAATATTGATGGTATGAAATCAGGAAATATCTACTTAATTTCAATTTTAAAACTCAGATGTACAAAAGGATACTCATTTTTTTTGTTAGGTTGGCTATTTTTATTTCATATGTTTCTGCTTACTTGTTGCAATGCTTGGGGAATCTTTCTGGAAGGCTGATTATGGTACTATGAGCCTAGATGTACCATACACACAAAACCTTTCCAGGCTTTTGCCATGTTTCTTAGAGAACCACTGCAGAGATTGGAGAGAAAACGTTGCCTCCCTACTCCCTGCTACAGCCAGGAGAACTCTATTTTTATATTTGATATTAGTTGTAGAGGTTAAGCATGTGTTTTTTATCATTGCTAAAACAAAGTACCAAACCTTAGTAGATTAAAACAACTCAGATTTATTATTTATAGTTCTGGTGGTTGGAAGTCGATAATGGGTCTCATTGGGCTAAAAGTTTGGCAGGGATGTGTTCATACTAGGAGTCCTAGGGAAGAATCCTTTTTCTTGCCTTTCCCAGCTTCTAGAAGCTGCTGTTTTATGGCGAAGCATGTTGTCTATCTCCATAAATTTTCTATGTGCACTTGAAAATACCTCTGTATTTTTGGAGGGCAGGGTCCTGCTGTGGATTGAACCTGTCCCCCAAAGTTCATGTGTTGGGAACTCAGTCCCCAATGCAATAGTGTTGAGAGGTGGGATCTTTAAGAGGTGATTAGGCCATGAGGGCATGATTATAATGATTAATATCACTTTTGAGGGAATGGGTTTGTTATTGTAAGGGTGAGTTTGGCCCTCTCTTGCTCTCTTGCTTTCTCTCCCTCTGTGATCCTTTCATTTTCTTCCATGGGATGATGAAGTAGAAAGGCCCTCACCTGAGGCCAGCAGCTTGATATTGCACTTTTCAGCCTCCAAACCTGTGAGAAATAAATTTCTTTTCTTTATGAATTCTGGTGTTCTGTTACATCACCACAAAATGGGCTAAAACAAGTCAGTGTGGTTGATGGTGGTGTTCAGATCTTCTATATCCCTTCTTATTTTTTGTCTAGTTATTCTATGAGTTACTGTCAGAAAATATTAAAAACTACAACTACGACTGTGGATATTTACATTTTCCCGATTTAGTTCAGTCATTTTTGTTTCCCATATTTTCTAATTGTTATTAGTTGTTTACATGTTTAAGACTGTTTTGTTGTCTTGATGAGTAGGTTCTTTTAAATTATGAAAGGTTCTTCCTTACTTCTGATAATAATTCTTGTCTTGAAGTCTATCTCTTCAGCTATTTATATCCTCATTTTAGTTTTTTATGCTTGTATAACTTATATGCATGATCTATCATTTTTCATCCTTTTACTTTATTGGTTTCTTTATATTTAAAGAGCATCTCTTATAGACTGCATATAGTTGGATTTTGCTCTTTTACCCAGTTTGGCAATCTCTGCCTTTCAATTGGTATGTGTAGTCTGTGAAAATTTAATACAATTATTGATATGCTTATTTAAATATAAGTCTATCAATTTCCTATTCGTTTTGTATTTATCTCATATGTTTTAACCTCTATTCCTTCTTTCCTGATGTCTTTTGGCTTAGTCAAATATTTTTTGATTTCCTTTTATTTTGTTGACTTTTTAACCTATGGTTTCTTTGCATTTTTTAAAGGTTGCTCTAGAGATTGCAATATACATACCCTGTCACATCTATTTAGAATTAACGTTTACTATTTTGTGTTAAATGTAAAAACTTTGCAACAATAAAGTTCTGTTTGCCTATCTGTTGGGCTATTATATTAATCTACATCCCATCTATACATGTTGTACATCCTGAAGTACAGTATCATAATTACTGTTTTAAGCAGTCATATGTATTTAAAGATATTAACAGAAGTAAAAATAACTACATAATCCTTATATTTACCCACAGACTTACTATTTCCATTAGTATTTGTTTTTTCCTCTAAATTTAAGTTTCTCTCTTGGGAGATTTCTCTTCAGGATAAATAATTTTATTTTACATGTTGAGTAGTGTAGTTCTGCTAGAAATTCTGAGTTTTAATTTACATCTTCATTTCATTTTTATTTTATGAAGGCTATTTTCCTTGGACGTAGAATTCTGGGTTGACTCTTTTTTTTCTTTCCTTACCTTAAAGTGTTGGCTCATTGTCTTCTGGTCCCTGTTGTTTCTAGTTAGAAGTCAGTGATCATTTAAATCATATATACATGTGACTATCCTCTGTCAAAGTGTTCTCTTAATGTCTGATTTTCAACAGTTTGACTATGATAGCTAGACATTGTTTTCTTTGTACTTATTCTGCTTAAGGTTAGCTGATATGTTGGCTTCTATTTATGTTATTTATAAAATTTTGAAATTTTTTTGGCCATTATTTCTTTAAAATTATTATTTTTTGTTCCATTCCCTCCTCTTCCTCCTCTTTCTTTGGCTTTAAACAACAACTATCATTTGTTTTGCTCAAGAATCTGAAATTTTGGCAGGGCTCAAGCAGGAGCTGCCAGTCTCTACTCACACCACATCTGTTGATGTGGCTTGACTAGGACTGGAGGATTGATTTTCAAGATGGCTCACTCACATAGATAGATGGCAAGTTTGTACTGGCTGTTGGTTGCTCTCCACATGGACCTTTCCGCATCTTTTCTTCTGAAAATTTAATTCTGTTAGAGAGCTTGATATTGATTAAATAGTCACGGATGGTCTGTTCCTTTTTTTTTTTTTCTATCTGTTCTTTAGATTGGATGCTTTTTGTTGATCTGTCTTCAAATTTTCTGTTCCTTTTATATGCTATGTTAAATCTTCTTTTAAACCCATCCTGTGAAATTTTAATTTCAGATATTGTACTCTTGGTTCTAAAATTTTCATTCAGTTCTTTTTTATGAATTGCTTTTATTTGCTAAGAATATTTATCTGCTTTCAGCATGACCATAGTTTCCTTTAGGTATCAGAATATATTTGCAATAGGTGCTTTAATTTATTTTACCAGTAATTTCAATATTTGGGTCATATTTGTGCCTTTCTTTTTTGTTTCTTTATTTGTATAAATTTAAGGGGTATGTCTTTACTGTCTGGCAGTTTTTCTTATGCACTAGGTTTATCCTTTTTGGTGTATCTAGTAATTCCTGATTGTACAATGTTCACTGTACATGATACATTGCTATGAGTATGAATTATGCATTCTCTTTTAAGGGTATTTACCTTATTTCTGGTGGTTAGTTAAATTTTCACTTATTCCGGGTCTTGTCAAGCTTGGTATTTTTTCTTTGTTAGGGCGAGAGGGTGCTTTTTTTATTTCATCTTAACACATGACTCTTATGCCAGGGCATAATTCTGACTTCCACACAGTGGCCTTTTTGTTATCTCAACTAAATGCCCAAGGCACTTGGTGTGGTCTCTCCATACTAGCTGGGCTGATGCTCCAACATCTCCCAGCATGGTACAACTTTAATCATTTATCTTTTAGCCTGGGAGCATGCAATTTCTGTTAGACATGGCAGAGTTAGATCCTGGGCATGCACAGGATATTGGTCACTTTTTGATAGAAGGGGATTGTGACTGGGATGGAGGACATGGAGTGACTTCTGAGTGGCAAGAACTAAAGACCTTCTGTTTCTTCACCTGGGTCATAGTTATGCAAGAGTCTTTGCCCGATGATAATTTATTAAGTTCTACCTTCATTTCATGTAGGTTCTCTTGTGTACCTATATTTTAGTTTTAAACAAAAAGGTGTACAAATGCAATACAAAGAACCTCTGAGACACAACTTAAAATGAGCACTATGTGTACCACTCAGAGAAAAAAATGTTAACAAATATATGAAAAAAATATAAAAACTAAACATTAATATCTATGCAAACATTGCAAGTTAAAACAATGAAATGTCATTTTCACATAACAGTTTGGGAAACATCTTAAGAAAAATAATATGCTAATTAGGTTTCTCTTAAATACTCATAAACTGCTGGTAAAAAACGGGAAATTAAATCAACATAGTGAAGAGACAGCCTACAGAATGGGAGAAAATTTTTGCAAACTATAGATTCAACAAGAGATTAATAACCAGAATATATAAGGAACTGTAATATCTCAAAAGCGAAACAAATAATCTGATTTTTAAAAGGACAAAAGATCCGAATAAATATTTGTATGTCTTCTTTCAAAAGAAACACATTTTTTCATATACCTGTTGATTCCAGTATATGAAAACTGCTCATATAACTGCTGGTTTATGAAAAACTGTTCATCCTCACTAATCATCAGGGAAATGGAAATCAAAACCACAATAAGATATCATCTCACCCCAGTTAAAATGGCTATTACAAAAAAGACAGAAAATAACACAGAGAAATGAGAAGTGCTTGATGTGGTGGATACCCCAGTTACCCTGATGTGATTATTACACTTTGCATGCCTGTATCAAATCATTACATGTACCTCCTAAATATATACACATAATAATTAAAAATTAAAAGTTTTAAAAGACAGAAAATAGATACTGGCAAGGGGGCAGAGAAAGAGAAACGCTCATAGGTTGTTTGTGGGAATGTAAATTAGCCCAGCCACTATGGAAAACAGTATGGAGGTTCCTCAAAACCTACAAAAGGAACTACCATATGATCCAACAATCCCACCACTGGATATATATCTAAAAGAAAGGAAATTAATAAGTCGAAGAGATGTCTTCTCTCCAATGGTTATTGCAGCACTATTCACAATAGCCAAAATGTGGAATCAAACTAAGTGCCCGTGCCCATTAATGGATGAAAGAAAATGTGGTACGTACACATAATGAAATATTATTCAGCCATTTAAAAAATGAAATCATGTCATTTGCAGCAATATGGATAAACCTGGAGGACCTTATGTCAAGTAAAACAGACACAGAAAGACAAATATCAAACATCCTCACTCATGTGGGAGCTAAAAAAGTTGACATACTGGAGGCAAAAAGTCGAATGATGGTTACCAGAGGCTGGGAAGGGAAAGCAGAGGGGGAGATAAGGAGAGGCTGGTTAATGGGTACAAAAATACAGTTAGAAGGAGTAAGTTCTAGTGTTTGATAATACAGTAGGGCAACTATAATTAACAAGAATTTATAGTATTTTTCCAAATAACTAGAAGACAAGGTTTGAGATTTTCCCAGCACAAAGAAATAATAAATGTTTGAGGTAATAGATATCTCAATTACCCTGACTTGATCATTACATGTTACATACATATTGTATGTACTCCATAAATATGTACAACCATTATGTATCAATATAAAATTGAGCAATGAATGAACTGCTAAGGAAAAAATACTTATCAATATATAAACACTCATTTATATAATCATCAACCTAATAATTCATTTCTATAAAGAAAATTATAGCAATATGGTGGAAATTTATATCAAATGTAATTGTTGCAGTGTTATTTATATACAAATCATCAAAACAATGTTCTTGTTCAACAATTAGTAAATTACGATAAACTCAAGTGATAAAGTATTACATAGCCTCTGAAGTCATTCTTAAAATAATTTAAAGACATGAGAAAAATTATAAAATTAGTAAATAATATTCTGTTAAGTTAGGATTCTATGAAACATTTTGCAAAAGACTTAGAAGTAAATTTGCCTTAAGGTTAATAGCAGGTAACTTTTTTTTGGTGGTTGTGGATGATTTCATTTGCTTTTTCAGTGTTTCTTTAATAATCTCAAAATGAACTATTTTGAAAATTTAAATGAGTTTTTAAAGTTTACATAATAATTTTTAATTAAAATGAAAATATATTTTTAAAAAGGAAAAAGTCCACATTGAAAGTGCTGCTACATGAGTCAAGGTAACTAAGCTTTATTCTAGATTTAGAGGCTTGTAAATATTTTGAAACTCTGAAGCAAAAAAAAAAAAAAATTGAAAATAGAACATTTCCTGTTTTTTTCAAAACCTAAACGTTATTTCTGATTTTCTAATATAGATCACCCTGAAGTTATTTTTTGTAATTATTTCTTGTTTCCTCTGAGTCATCCAGTTCTAGTTCTAAGCTGGGAAGGAATAAGTACTTATCTTTGGGAGAGAGATGCAAGGGTGGAAATGAAACTTTAATTATTTTTGATATTAAGAGATTGGATACAAGATGTAGTTGGTAATTACATATCCTCTTTACAATTCTAAGTCAATTGCTCTGTATTTTGAAAATCTACTTTGTATAACTCAACTATACTAACAATAATTGTAGAGCACCTTGCCAGTTCATAACTCATTCTCTGACAATTATACCCCATATGCATAAACCCTGGATATCATCCATTGAACAAATACTTGTCAAATGTGCATTTTATGCCTGGCATAATCCAAGGCATTTGATATACAGTGATACAAGGTAAGCAAAATTTGTGTTTTATGGAAATTACTTTCTGGCAGCAAATGAATACAATAAATAAACATGATAGTTTCAAATAGTGATGACTGCAATGAAGGCAGTGAACCAGAATAATGGCATAAAGATTGCCTGGGGGAAAGAAGGTTATTTAGGAAATATTTACTACAATAAGTTGGGCTAGAGATGACACGTGGTATATGCAGCCATGTAGTCCCCAAGAATTTCAAATGATAGACAGAATTTAGAAGTTAGGAGTATGTTTATGTTCCAGGAGAACTACACTTTTTCAATATTCCCTCTTTTCCACATTGTGATATTATAAATAAGAGCAGACATAGCAGAAGCAGAGGAAATATGCAATAGGTTTCTGCATTAAGTCTGTGTAGTTGGAGCAGAAAGTTTCTGTACTTGTACTTGCAGTTTATTATTGAGCAACACTGTCTTAGGCTGCTCTTGTATTGCCTTGTAAAGAAATACCTGAGACTGGGTGGTTTATAGACAAAAGAGGTTTAATTGGCTCACAGTTCCACAGGCTTTATAGGAAGCATGGTGCTGGGATCTGCTTGAAATCTAGGGAGGCCTAAGGAAGCTTTCACTCACAGCAGAAGGTGAAGGGAGACGAGGCACGTCACATGATGAAAGCAGGAGCAAGCAAGAGAGAGTGTGGGGGGAGGTGCCACACAGTTTTAAATGACCAGATCTCACGAGAACTCACTATTACGAAGATAGCACCAAGCCATAAGGGATCTGCCCCCATGATTCAAACACGTCCTACCAGGCCCCAGATCCAGCATTGGGGATTATAATTCAACATGAGATTTGGTGGATAAATATCCAAATTATATTAAACATGAAACAATCAGATAAAGGATTTCTTGTAAGTATGATATCAGCTGTGACACACAATTTACCAGCTTTATGTGGACAAGTGTAACCTTGCCCATGGAACGGAAGCTGCATGTTGAAGACGACTGAGCAAAAAGATGAGAAAAGCTTAAATCCCTGGTACCATGGAGCCGTCATAACAGCCTTGATCTGTTTTACCCAGATGGTTACATGATTGAGAAATAAACTTTAATCCTGTGTAAACCACTGTGGTTTTGGTCTCTGTTTCAGAGGTTAAACCATATCCTAACTAAAATAAGATTTCTCATGCCTAGTATTCCCTTTCCTCATTTTTGTTCTTGCTAAGAGTTTCTCTCAGGCCTCAGCTTAAATACCAATTCCTTAGGAAAGTATTTTCTGACTCCACAACTAGCAGAGTTTTTTCTAGAACATGCTACTGCTTTGTAGACCTTATCACACGTACAGGTTTTGGGGGCGGGGGTTGCTGGGGGCTAAACAATTTACAAAGCAAATGAGAAGGAACATAAGTGGAGAAGAAAATGAAATTGACCCATAATAAAGAGTTGAGATAGGTACACCAGCAGCTGGAAGCAAAGACTCCCAGCCAAAATAGGCCCAGATCAGCTGACTTTTAGCTTATCTGTAAATGTGTTCATGAGAATTAATAATTTTTGTTTTAAGCCACTGAGTCTTGAAATGATTTATTTTGCAGTAGTGTCTAACTTATATAAATTGGTATCCTGAATTTCTCATGAAATTTTGAGATGAAGAGCATAGGGAATTGGGCCATGGGGTATGGAGCAGCAGCAGGTATTTCTAATACTGCTAGTTTGTCAGTGAGAGATTATTTGGGGTATATAGTGCGGCAGCTCCATTGCTTTAAGGAGATGATTGAGAATCCTTACAGATAACTGAGTTATGGATCTAACAACAGAAAAGAACTAAGATAGGGTAAGTACTGGAGTCTGACCACCATTGACACTCTAGCACTCAAGACACTCAAAGGCAATTCTGCTGCATTTGCTGCTGTCTAAATTTTATCACTGGATACCCAGTTATGCAGCATTATAATTTAACTCTTGGTTTTATATTTAGAAGTTTTGAATTACCAAGATTTATTGAATACCAGTTATGTATTAGGCACTCTCCCAAGCACTGGGCACATGAAAATAAATGTCATAATTGCTTTCTTTCAGGCATTCTCAGGAGGAAAGGAAAGACATGTAGACAGATTGCTCCAATATGATGTCATAAATATTACAAAAGAGTATAGCGAGATCACACACAAAAAGAGCAAGGGAGTTGGGGATGTTTGTAGGAGGTTGGAAAAGACTTCACTTAGTAGATAACATGGGAGTTAGGAAAGGGAGGACTTTCCAGGCCCAGGGAAAAGTGAGTGTGGCTAGGAGGCTGTGGTAGTGGCAGTGGGGTGCTGTTGTCCCATTTTGTGGCTCCTACATACGTAGGTGACTGTTTAAAGGGATCACAGCTGCTACCTAGCCCACAGCCAATGACTGGCTCCCTTACCTCAAGTTGGCAGCAGCTCTGTTGTGAAATTCACGCCCTTGAGCTTCCAATGGAATCAGACTGAAGCTCGTCTCCAGCCAAGACCATCTCCTAGCTTAGCTTTTCTGCCTGCTAGGGACTCCCATAAGTCCCCTTTTGACCTCCAACAATAAATTATTTTTACAAGAATACTGTTTGAGGTTCTGCTTTTAAACTTGTCTTAAGACTTGCTGTTCTTTTAATCCAGTAAAGACAAAATTGGAATTTTGAGGTTATTATCACAAAGTAACACAGGTTAAAAAGAAGGGAATATTCCCCTTTATGGATAGCTTTCTTTCTGGGTTAAGAATAATTCATGTGGTTTCTTCCCTGAATGTATTTTAGGCATCCATTTTGCAATAGGTACAATTTTTATAGGGCATAGGGAGAGAAATATTTATTTCTGTTTGCTTTTATTCCTTTCATAGTTGTTATTGTGAAATTATGCCTAGAAGTACTAGCAATAAATGATCATCTTTATCTTGCCATGCCACTAGCATAAACCACTAGCATAGAGAAGCCAGGGACTGTTCTCAAGCTGCATTTATACAGACTAAGTGAATTAGAAAATTGAAGCAACTTTGTGACATAGTTCAGACTCCTACATCTAAAATAGTTCAAATTAATAGAACATGTAGTTTTCATATAAAGCAGCTCTATGTTTTGTGATCCCCTTGGGGAATAGATGGACTTAATAGTTTATTTAATTTTTATTTTTATAAATAAAAATTGTGTATGTATCAAGTGTACAATGTGATGTTTTGGTATACGTAAACATGGAGTAATGATTACTATAGTCAAGCTAATTAACGTATCTATCTCCTTACTTGGTTACCTTTTTGTATGTGTGGTAAGAATACTAAAGATCTGCTCTCTTAGCAAACTTCAAGTATATCACATGGTATTATTAACTATAGTCAACCATGCTGTACATTAGATCTCTTGAACGTACTCATCTCACATAACAAAACTTTGTGACCGTTAACCAACATCTCATTTCCTCCACTCCCAGCCCTGGTAACTACCATTCTACTCTCCACTTCTATGAATTTGACATTCTTAGTTGCTGCAAATAATTGAGATCTTGCAGTATTTATCTTTCTGTGTCTGGCTTATCCTACTTAGCATAATGTGCTCCAGGCCTGGACTTTAAAACTCCCTAAACAACAGCCCCAACCAATACTTTTTATTGGTGATGGCTAAGCTTTCCTGAGAGATCTTCAAGGTCTTTCACTCTGCCTTAGCTTGTGTCATTGCTTTCAAAGTCTACCTTATCAGTTCTATAATTTTGAGGCAATAATATTTTCTTACTGCTTATGTACATTAAAAATTACATTAGCCAAGGGGAAAATTGAAATTGAAAACTGAATTGATGCCAAAAATCAACTTCCACATTCACCAGAAGTAAATTGCAGGTGTATCAGAGTTAAATGCTAAAAAGGGAATGCAAATCAAAACCATAGCAAGATACCGCATCACCCAAATTAGAATGCTTGTTATCAAAAAGACAAAAAATAACAAATACTGGCAAGGATATGGAGAAAAGAGAACTCTTATATATTACTGGTAAAAATGTACATTACTCCAGCCATTATGAAAAATAGCATGGAAGGTCCTCAAAAAATTAAAAATAGAACTACCATATGATCCAGCAATTTCAGTACTGGATATATGTCCAAAGGAAAAGAAATCATATGACCAAGAGATATCTACACTCTGTTTATTGCAGTGCTATTCACAATAGCCAAGATATGAAATCAACTTAAATGACAATCTACAGATAAAGAAATGTTTTATACATATATATATGTGTGTGTGTGTGTGTGTGTGTGTGTGTTGTGTGTGCATAACATTTCATTATCCATTTATCTGTAGATGTATATATACACACAAAATCAAATACTATTCATCCATAAAACAGAATGAAATCCTCTCATTTGTGGCAACATGGTTGAACCTGGAAGACACTATGTTAAGTGAAATAAGCCAGGCACAGAAAGACAAACATCACATGATCTCAGTCATGTTGAATCTAAAAAGTTGATTTCATAGAAGAACAGAATAGAATGGTGGTTACCAGAGACTAGGGAAGATAGAGAGGAAGGCGGACTGGGAGAGGTTGGTCATTGAGTATAAAGGAGTACAAAGTCACAACTAAACAGGAAGAATAAGTTCTGGTGTTCTATTACACAGTAGGGTGACTACAGCAAATAACAGTGTAGTATTTATTTCAAAATAGCTAAAAGATTGTGAATGTTGTTACCAGGAATAAATGATAAATGTTTAAAATTATAGATATGGTAATTACCCTGATTTTATCATTATACAATGTATGCATGCATTGAAACATCCCACTATACCCCATAAATATGTACAATTATTTTGTGTCAATTTTAAGTAAAAATTAATTAAAAATAAAAAAACGATTTTTTAAATTCTACATAATATATAAGTAATACTTATTTCCAAATGGAAAAAGATTTGCTAAAGCAAATGAAAAAAATCACAAAGATAAAAATTCATAGGCTTGGCCACACAGTAGTTAACAATTTCTTCATATTAAAAGCCCCATAAACCCAATTAAAATGGAAATTAGAAACTCAGCCATATTTGCAACAAAAGATGACAAAATAAATAGCTCTCAAAGAACCCCACCACCTGCAAGGTCCAGCCTAAAAGATGGGTATCAAATATACAGCTCATAGATCAAACACATATATAACCCTTAAATATATTAAAAACCCCCAAAAGCCTAATCTCATTACCAACATAAAATATGTAAATTAAGACAATGGGATATTATTTTTTACCCATCTAATTAGGAACTATTTACAAAAGTAATAGTGATGAAGTCATAATGAAAAATTCACTTTATATACTTTTTATTTGGGTATAAACTGATAAAACCTTTAAAAATGAAATGTATTATTCATTAAACCCAACAATTCCAGCAAACAATTAGGAACATTGTTTTATACAGATTTATATCCAAAGATGAATGATTATTAGAGTATGAATTTCAATAAAAGCACTGAAACTGCATCAGTGTCCAATAATCAAGAAACAGATTAATAAGTTAAAGCATATTAAAAAGATAGGTTCCTATGTGCACCTCAAAGATATCCTCAGAATCTTTTAAGATATGAGAAAATGCTTTAAAAAAATCTGTATACAAAAATATACATGAGGCATGATTTTACTTATGTAAAAAAAGCATGCCTTCTAACCTAAATAGGTTAGAAGAAAATATACCAAAATACTGGTTATTTCTATGTTGAGGAATCATGGATAATTTTCTTCAAAATATAACCAAACTTGGATGTTATTTATGATTCTTTCAATCTGATCACCTGGAAGATCTTTCTGTAATTATTGTTTTCTTAGAATTACCCATCTTTAGTTCTAAAAGTCAAGCAGCACCTACAGCACATTTTTAGTAGAGAGGCATGAGCCAGGGTATGGAATTCTCTATGCTGATTCTTGATCTTATGTAATGGGATGTTAAAATGTGGGTGATAATTAGTCTATTTACAACTCTAAATCCATTGCCCTGAATTATGGATAGCCAGTGTAACTCAAATGGAGTAATATGTAGATAGCAATTTTCAATATATTCTCCTAGGCCACAACTCCTTCTCCGAAAATTTTCCTAATCAGGTGGATTAGGTGGCGTCAGGAGGCCAGGTAAGAATAATGATATCCAGGGATGCCAGATGCAAAATTGGGTTATAACCGGTGATTTATCAATAAAGTGAAGCTTAACTGCCAGATTGGGGTAGAGGCAGGACATTTATCATGGGGAAGGTAACTGGGATTCGAGCCTGGACTTCAGGACTGGAAGATAATTGAAATTTCAAACCAGAAAACTTAACAAGTTAGAAATCAAGAGTTGGAATCAGTTCCGTGAGATTCTGTTGTCTGTTGCTGCTTGCTCTATTGTCATCACACCTGTGACTGATCCCTTACTGGATTTTTCTCAGTTCCTATGATTCACCATATTCTTTCTTTTGTCAGAGACTTTTCACATTCTGTTGGTTGTCCCTCTCTGCTTCTTCCTTTATTAAATAGAACTCTAGAGCTTTACCTGGGCACCTGGCCTCCCAGCTAAATACTTTATTTCCCAGTATCTTTTGTATGGGAACTACAAAAGGCCTTGTGACTAGGTTCTAGACAATAGGATGTAAGTAGAAGTGAGGTGTGCAATTTCCAGGTGGTAGTCATAAAAGGGGAGGAGTATGACCTCCACTTCTCTCCTCACCTCCAGCTTGAAACAAGATGTAGGGGCTGCAAGAGTCATCATAGACAATGAGATAAAAGCTACTTCTTGAACACAGCACAGCAACAAGCAAAAAGAAGCCTGTGTTCCTAGTTTCATGAAGCCAACAGATCAGTCTTGGATTGCTTATGCTTAGTTTGCTATGTGACCGAGAAGTAAACTTTTGTCTAAGATGCTGATATTTTGGCCTCTGTTATAGTCTGGTAAATCACCACTTATCTCTCAGAACTCACCTTAAATACCAATTACTTAGGAAGTATTCTCTGACTTCAAAAACTAATTTGGTTTCTTCTAGGACAGTGTAGTATTTTGCATCACACATTTAAAATATGTTGATCTTAATTTTAAAGCATGCATCAACAGATGGTTGGTATAGAGGTTGAGGTCATAGAAGCTGGATGTGGAGGACATTCAGAATATTGGGTAAATGCATATATAGAGATATTTGAACCTTGCAAAGTGATAGTGGAGAGTTCATTGTGAATGGAATGCAAAGTGCTCGATGAGTAGTGAGGGGGATAGAATTGAAAAAGTAAATAGTGCGGATTTTGAAAAGCTATGGAATTTGGCAACATGGATTGGTTCCTCAAGGAGGGTGGTTACAGATGAGATTAATATATTTGTAAACATCTTAACTGATTAGAAAACTGCTAATGAGTCAAATCCCTTATAAGAAACACCTGGAAAGCAAAGATGGCATAAATCAACACAAATCTTTCACAAATGTTGAAAAATTATCTTAAATAGTCCTGTCTCCTGAGGTTGGATTAGCAACATTTTTTTGTGTGTATAAAAATTAATGTAGCTCAAGTGTTGCACACATTATTCGTTTTCATCAGGGTGGCTGCTTTGCAAAAATAGGAAATAAACTATTTTTAGAAGTTAAATGGAATAATGACTTGGAAATTACTAGTGCCATTTACTTTAGTTCAGGAATTCTCAGCCTTAGGTGCAAATTAGAATCAAAGAGCTTTAAAACGATACTGATGCGAAACTCCATCCTTAGAGATTCTGACTTAATTGGTCTCAGGTGATGCCTATGTAGTAGATTAAAGACGTTGCAAATTCTTTGCTACTCCTTTTGTGCCATAGAGTGTAATTGTCCTCCCCTTGAATCTGGGCCAGCCTTAGTGACTTATTTAATTGTGGCAGAGTAATCTTCTGGGACTTCTGTGGCTATGTCACAGAAAGTCTTCTACTACTTTCTAGGACTTTTGAAACACTAGCATTTGGAGCCCTGAACCTCCATTTAAGAGGCTTTAATTAGCCTGCTGGAGAGACACTATAGAAAGGTTTGAGAATACATACTGAGGGAAAGGGGCCTTGATGAATTCAGTTTTCCAGATATCCACAAGGTACCAGGCATATGAGAGGAGCTGTCCCTGAGCTTCGGCCAAGCCTAGCCAGGTGTAGCAGAAGAATCACCTAGCCAATTCTTGCTTGATTCTGTACCTGTAAAATTGTAAGATACAAATCGGCATTGTTTTAAACCACTAAGTGTTGGAATAATTTTTAATACAAAAAAAGATAATTAAAATTTTGGTTATCAGTATAGCTTCCAAAATGTTTCAGGCAATTCTAATGTGTAACAGGTTGGAGATCCGTGACTTTAGTTCTCCTTTAGAATGCTTAACTGTGAGCCAGCAACTCACATCTTAGACATCATTACATTTTTGGTTAACAATTTTATAATTACAGAGGCTTATATATCAAAGCTATATTACCTAGAAAATCAGCTATAAAGTAAACAGGAAACATATCAACATTGTTAAATTTAAGACAGTAAAATAGTGTTTCTCAAGTTTTGGCATAGGTCATGGTGGGGAATCTATTTATGACCCAATGTTTTAATTATATTGAGAATCCAACGAATTTTTCCCATTATATATATCAATTCAATATCCATTATTGGAAAAATGTATAATATTACTAACTACGAATAGTCTCCTAACTTACACAGCAGGGAGCATTTTTGGTTATGAAACATTGCCATATTATACTCAAATATTTACATAGATTATTTTTCAGGAAGCACTGCCACATCAATTTATAGATTCTAGATTTATTTCCCATAAGCAATCATTAACCAGAGACTTCTTGTTAAATCATTCCATAGATTCCATAGATAAACCATACATCTCTTATCAACATGTTTGCCAAGAGATTAGATCTTATTTATTTATTTCTTTCCTTCCTGGTAATGACAGATAAGTTGATCACAGACCAGCTGCTAAACATTTTCTTTCCCAAACTTAGAAACCGCTAATCCATATCATGGTAAGAACAAATCTACCAACTTGAGTACAATAGTTGTTACTCTCACCTGAAGACACAGAATCAAAATACTGCATATAGAAGTTGTTTAGGTTATTTCTTCCCATCATCCCAAAACTTTGGTGTTATATTATTCATTCGAAATACAGTTACGTTCATTTTTTTCTGTTTGTAACCCATTTTTCCTCCCTATCCTTGGTGACTTTTTTGTTTTATATATATATATATATGTTTTCTTGCTGTTTAGTTGTATGCATTTATTATATATTTTGGATATTAATCCTTTATCAGATATACGGCTCGCAAATATTTTCTCCCATTTCATAGGTTGTCACTTTACTCTATTGATTGCTTCCTCTTCTGTGCAGAAGCTTTTTAGTTTGTTGTAATTCTGTTCGTTTATTTTTGCTTTTGTTACTTGTGCTTGGTGTCATATTAAAAAAAAAAAATCATTGCCCAGACCAATCTCATGAAACTTCTCTCCTGTGTTTTCTTCTAATAGTACAATTTCAGGTCTTATATTTAAGTCTTTAATCCATTTTGAGTTGATTTATGATATGGTGTGGCAAAAGGGTCTAATTTTATTCTTATATACATGGATATCCAGTTTTCCCAGCATCACTGATTGAAGAGACTTTCCTTTCCTCCTTTTATGTTCTTGGCATCTATGTCGAAAATCAATTGACCATAAATGTGCATATTCATTTTTGGGTTCTCCATTCTGTTACATTTGTCTATCTGTCTGCTTTTAATGACAGTACCATGATGTTTTGATAACAACAGCTTTGTAGTATATTCAGAAATAGGTAGTGTGTTGCCTCTAGTTTTGTTGTGTTTGCTCAAGATTGCTTTGGATATTTGAGATATTTGATTATTCTTTTTATTTTTTATTTTTGCTCTCTGGTCTCTGCTTGATTACATTGCTCCCTTTCCTTCTAGCTAAAAAATGGAAAATAGTGGAAACTTACAGGATTGACTGACTCTTCTGCCATTTATTTCCTAGTGGCAGAGGGAGACTGCACACTAACCTTTCTGTTTATCTTCTCTATGGACTTCCTATTGCATTGCAGGCTGACATACAGAATGGAATTAGGTCAAGTAGATACATGCTGCTTCTAGAACAGGTGCTCACCAACACATATGCTTCAAATTTCAGTTTGGAAAAAAGTTGTTATTTGCTGTTTTTTGAAAATTGGATTATGTAAGGAAGATCAAAATCTGGTTTATTTTATTTTAAGTTTTAAATGTAAGATTTGTTTCTATAAACAACAGTACAATTCTTAAGAGCCGAAGTCAAATGTCTCCAATTTAGCAAATGATAGCTGCACCCACAAACAAAATGATGCCACCACTGCAATTTTCTTTTAGTCTGAGATATGCTTGGGGAATGATATGTTTGTAATCACTTCCTTGTCTCCTTAAGACCTAGCTACTCACACCCTCTATGGTGTAGTATCCTTGAGAGAGGACCCAGAATTGTGTCTTCCCACTGAATTTTCCTGTGCTTGTCGCTTCCTGTAGTACCAGCTCACAGGGCTCCCTTGGCCACCAGCACTACCACCCAACTTGCCTTGACTGTGTTCCTGGAGAATGGGAGGGCAGCTGAAAGGGAGGAGGGGCAGTCACTGTCTTCCCATTAGCGCTCTAACCTAAGCATAGAACTTTCTGTCAAGGTCTCCCTAGAGAATAGGAGAAGCAAGACTATTATTTTAAATAAGATTTTTACTGCAGAATCAAAAAGGTAAGTAAGCCAACATGGCTGGCTACAATCAGAACCTATAGGTGGAACCAGTCTCACTAAATCTCTGACAGGATATCTTCCTTACATGTTGCTGCCTGGAGTAGCTTCTGGCCGATCTCTCTGGCAAACTCGTAGCTTATCTCTATGAATGCCCTTGATTAGAAGTACAGTAGAAAATGTCTACACATCCAATGCAATGAAAGTGGAAAGTTGATTCTTATTGAAGTCTGTTAGCTCACCTATAGAATCCCATTTTTGCCTTTATTATTTTCTACTGCTGTATAACTTTGGGTTTCCTACCTAACTTTAATAAAGTTTTTACAAATTAAGGAAACTAATCCTGGGTACTAATAGTTGTTTTAATTTTGTAGTAAAAATAACTAAGCTCACCTCTCAAGGCCATGCCTCTTAATAGTATTACATTGAAGACTAAGTTTCAACATGAATTTTGGAAGGATATGAACATTCAGATGACAGCAATGAGCATCTAATTAGTACTGAGTACAATAAAATAAGTTTATTTCATAGTTTCTACATACCATGTATTTTGACCTATTTTAGTGTATAAAACACCAAATAGAAAATATGTAAGTCTGAGTTAAAATCTCATTTATCAATTTTGTTAATCAGATATATTTAAACATTTTACCTACTCCATTGTACACCTCAAAGAAAAATAGGATAACGGCACAAATAGTATATGGCACAAATAAATATAACCCAAGTTTTCCAACCTTGACTGGCCTAGAGGTACAAGCAAAAGCAAATTAACAGTAGCAATTTAGAATGTATTTGCTCACTTCTCCCAAATCCATTATATAGAATTTTGGTCCCCACTTCCTTTAAATTCTCAGTGTCTCAAATATGTTTATGAACTGACTTCTCATATTCCACTCTGCCTATGGCATGTTGTCCTCTACCTCAAAGCCCCTGAATGGTAGGGAGTAGGATGTGGGGTGACTCTACAGCTAAACATTTTGTTGAGTTGGGTGGACATATAAACATGCTAGTTGAGTTTAAGATTCATGACAACCAATGTTGCACGTGGCATATCGACACCAGGAATGGGTCATGTTTTACCACATTCTCTTCCTCCATATAACAAAATTATGTTCCGTAATATTATGACTGAGAATTAATCTATTTTATGGATGAACTAAAAGTTGAATTCTTCAACAAAACTAAAACAACTTGCAATTTGAACTCTGTTCCACTGTTGTAAATTTTAAACACTACTAAAAACTCCAAGGGGTCACAGAGAGAGACGGAATTGAAATAACTCAAGTTCTGTTGTCTTTACAATCACTGGGCTATTGTTTACTTCAAATCTACTAAACACAGGAATACATATAGATGTGAACTTGCCTGAAGCAAGCTTGAATGATACCATTTTAGAATACTAAAGGAACCAGTGAAGCTAAGTCTGCCTGTGTTAGAGCGCAGGGGCCAATTTTTAAAATACAAGTTTTCCAAAATAGCTTCCATATAAACTACAATATTTATTAAATATTAAATACATCTAGCAATTCAGCACATTTTCATGTGCTAAAATGAACTTAAATATGTACTGTTAAAACTCAAAAGTAATCATAGCGATTGTTTATATTAGGATTTAGATGAATAAAAGATTCTTTTCAGGGAGGAGTGCTTTATCATTGACATTGTTTAGAATGCTTAAACACAGTGATAGTAAAAAACAACCAAGTTTTAATTGGTTTATTATTTTTAAATTTTTACGTACAGTTTATGCCTAATTTTCTGTATCTAGAATGATACAGGTTCCACAACCTCAACTTTTTCCACAGATAGAACTACTAACTTCAAGTGAGCTCTGCCTCAAAATTACAATTTTACAGTTTCCCAAACCTCATTCACCCCCTCTTCTTAACTTTTAGAAGACTGCGGTACATTGTAATGCCCTCAGAAAACAGAAATAATCAAGAGAACTTCCTCATCTTCCTACTACAAAATCAGCCAACCCTCCATTGTCTGTACCCATAGTCCCCGAATTCTTTCTTGTTGAAGTAAATGAATGCTCAATCCCTCAACATGTATACTATATCCTTTATCTCCCAGTGACTCAAGGATTTTGCTCTGGCAATTACCCTTTTCTCTCTCTTGTAATCAACCTTTTCCCTCTCAATTATTTTTTTCAACAACAAATGAATTTGTCATATCTGACATTAAAAGAAAAACAAAAAACCTTACCTTCACATGTTTTTTTTTTACTATTGCCCTACTTCCTTTCTCCAACTTATTACAAAATTCCCTGAAAAACTTATTTCCATATACTCACTGCCATATTTTCTACTCTTACTTGAATTCACCTCAGCTAGACTTTATCCCCATAACCCTTATGCATCCACTGTTGTCAAGGCAATCAACGACTTCCATTTTATCAAATCCAATAGTTAATTTTCAGTTTCCAACTTATGTGACCAACTTTTATGTGACCATTAAACAGTATTTGACATGATACTTCCTCCTTTTTGAAAGTCTTTTTTTCCCCACTTAGCTTCTAGGAGTTTACCCTCTCCTACTTTCCTTCTACCTCATAGACTATTTATCCTGAATCATCTTGCAGATTCACCTCTTCCCAACCTTTAAATGTTGGAGTGCTGGATTATTTCAGGATCCCCTCAACTAGCCTCGTTGTGTCCTTTAGTTGTAGTAACAGCAGCCAGGCTGGACTCCATTCTTGGTGGTTTGAACATTATCTGAGGAATTTCTTCCCCAAAACCCTATTTCCCCCTTTTTCTTCTCTCATTCCTATCTGTTGGCAACTTCTTCTTGCAGTGATCACCTATAGAGTACCTTGATGCTCCCATTTTGTTCTTTCAGCCTTTAACACTTGTACAACCAGTTGCCTAAATTAAATATCCTCTGCTGAGTACCCTGTTTCTGTTTTTCTGACTAGATGCCTACTGTAGTGATACCATCAAGTTTCATCACATTAAATACTATCTCTTCATTATAACTCCCAAATTTATATCTCCAATTTCTTCATCACCCCTGAGCTTCAGACTCATATATCCAACTGACTACTTTAATATCTATTACATATCCATAACCTAACAGCTTCCAAACATTACTTTGATTTTTCTCCTAAGGCTTGCTTCTCTCTTAATGTTCCCCCACCTTAGTAAATGACACCACAATTCACTCAGTACCTCAGAACAAAAATTAAAAGTTGCCTTTGCTATTATGTTTACCTCATAACACACATCCTATCCATCATTAAGGGTGGTGGGTCTACCATCAAAATACATTCCAAATCCCAGTTATTACCGTACTCATGGCTCCCATCTAGTAAAATCGGCAATTATGTCTTGTCTAAAATTACTTTAATAGCCTTCTAACTAGTCTTATTACTTCCAATTTTGCTGCCATTGCTTTGTTCTCTACAAAAGACTGAATGATTTTTCTAAAATATGACTCACACTGAGCCCTTTTTCTATGCAAAATGCTAATGATTTCTGATGATAATTGGAACCAAATCCAAATTCTTAACATTTCTTATAATTTCTATATCACCTGGACTTTATTATATCTTCACATTATTCTCCAACTACTTTTCAATTTGCTCTCTTCACTGGCCCCTTTGTTGTTCTTCAAACACACCAATAAAACTTCACCCTCAGGACCTTAGCACTGACTAGTCTCTGTTTAATAACACCCTCTGGCCTGACTTCTTCCCTCCCTTTATGAGGGTTCTCCTCAAAGATTAGCTAAGTGACATTTACTGATTATTCCAGTCTTATATATCTACACTGCTCTGCCCCATCACCCTCTATTCCTTTATTCTGCTTCACTTCTTACTGGCATTTATACTTATAAGACTTTCTTTTACACATCCATTTGGATTTTTTATATTATTTCTTGTCCTCTCTCATTGTAAGCTTAGTGAGATCAAGGACTTTAAGTTATTTACTTCTTTATCTTTAACATTTAGAAGAGTGTCTCACATATATTATTCCTTCAGTGTTGATGATTAAGTCAGAAGAAAAGGAAGGAAGCCCGGAAGGCAGGAAGGCAGGGAGGAGGAAGGGAGGGAGGGAAGGAAGGAGGGAGGAAAGAAGGAAGGAAGGAAGGAAGGAACAAAGGAAGGAAGGAAAATGCTATTCAAATTGCTTCTATCTGCAGCAGTCCAATTACAGAAGGTGCTATGGACTGAATTGTGTCCCCCATGACCCTCACAAATTCATATGTTGAAGCTCTAACTCCCAATGTGACTGTATTTGGAGAAGGGGCCTTCAAAGAGGTCATTAAGATTAAATGAGGTAATAGGGTAGGGCCCCAATGCAATAGAACTGATATCCTTAGAAGCAGAGGAGGAGACACTAGAGATCTCTCTCGCTCACTCACTCTTTCTTTCCACACACACACAAAGAAAAGGTCATGTGAGACTGTGTACAGTGGCTCACGACTGTAATCCCCACACTTTGAGAGGCCAAGGTGGGCAGATCACTTGAGTCAGGAGTTTGAGACCAGCCTGGTCAACATGGTGAAACCCTGTCTCTTCTAATAATACCAAAAAATTAGCCGGATGTGGTGGCACGTGCCTGTAGTCCCAGCTACTCAGGAGGCTGAGGCAGGAGAATCACTTGAATGTAGGAAGCGGAAGTTACAGTGAGCTGAGATGGTGCTACTGCACTCCAGCCTAAGCAACAGAGTGAGACTTCATCTCGAAAAAGAAAAAAAAAGAAAGAAGGAAGGAAGGAAGGAGGGAGGGAAGGAAGGAGAAAGAAAGAGAAAGAAAGAAAGAAAGAAAGAAAGAAAGAAAGAAAGAAAGAAAGAAAGAAAGAAAGAAAGAAAGAAAAGAAAGAGAGAGAGAGAGAGAGAGAAAGAAAGAGAGAGAAAGAAAGAAAGAAAAAAGGTCATGCGAGCATACAGTGAGATGGCAGTACCCTACAAGCCAAGAGAAGAGGCTTCAGAATGAAATCTACCTTGCTATCACCTTGATCTTAAACTTCCCAGCCTCCAGAACCATAATAAACAAATTTCTGTTGTTGAAGCCACGCAGTCTTTGATCTTTTGTTATAGCAGCCAGTGCTGAATAATACAGACAGGAATGAGACACCCTGGCATGTTTTCTTCATTGTCCCTGACTCTCAGAGACTCATTAAGATTTTCTTGCTAGATCAAGCTTATCATGTCTGCTTCCTCCTTCCTTCAGGATGAACTTTGCAACATCCTTCTCAATCTTCATGTGAATGCAATGATAATTGGCCCACCATGCTAACTGGCCTAATATGGCCACACATCTGAATCACATTCTGGCTAAGGCATGTACTACATTTAGTAATGAATGTAAAAGCACACTGAGATCTTTGATGAAGCAGAACTGCACATATGATAGTTAGTGGTATTATCTCTCTTTTATCCTACCATGTACTTGTTATGTGAGTGATAAACCCGTGTGTGACAGAAAAAGGTAAAAGTAGATATATTTAATATAAATTTTTATAGCTTTTCTGAGGTATGATTATTACACAATAAAACTTCTTATAAAGTGTACACTTTAACAAATTTTGATGTTGACATACCTATTAAGCCATCTGCACAATCAAGATAATGAATACATATAATACATATATCAACCCCAAAAGTTTCTTCTTGTCCCATTGTAATTCAGCCCTTTCTCTGAACTCCAAATCCTCAAACACTAATCTGCTTCTTGTCATTTTAGATTAGTTTACATTTTATAGAATTTTATATAAATAGGATCATAAAGTATGCATCCCATTTAGCCTATATGAGGCAGAAACAAATTTTGAGATTCATCCATTTTATTGCATTTATCAATAATTTATTGCTTTTTATTACTGTTGTTTGAAACATATTGATACTTATACTGTAGTAGTATTCAATTTCATTATATGGACGCATCACAAAATTTGTTTCTTCCTTTACCTGTTGATAGTTGTATGGGTTGTTTCTAGTTTTCAGTTATCTTGAATAAAAATATTATAAATAATAATTTAAAAGTCTTATTTCTTTTCTATTGAGTAAACACCCAGTAATAGAATGAATGGTTTATATATATGGTAAGTGATGGGTAATTTAACAAAATGACTGCCAAACTGTTTACCAAAGTTATCGTACTATTTTATATTTCCAATAGCAGCATTTGAGAGTTTTGTTTCTGTCCTTTATATTTACCCACATATTCACCATTTCAGTAGCTCTTCGTTTATTTGTGTCAATTCAGTTACTTCTGGTACTTTTTTCCTCTTGCCTGTGAAGCAACATTTTAACATTTCATGTAGTGTAAATCTGACGATGTTAAATTTTTTCAGCTTTTATACATCTAAAAATGTATCTATTTTTATCTTGTTTTTAAAATATTTTTTGCTGGGTTATATATTTAAGTTGACAGGTTTTTAAAATTTTTTTCTTTCAGTACTTTAAATATGTCACTCCCTACACTCATTGTCTTCTACTCTGCATTGTTTCTGAAAAAAAAGTCACTATTATTTTTTACTTCATTTCTCTATACATAATGTATTCTGTCCCACCCAGCTATTTTTCCTATTTTTATTTTATCACTACTATTAGGCATTTTGATTATGATGTGCCTGGGGTAAATATTCTTCATATTTCTTACATGTAGAACTTGTTAAGCTTCTTGGATCTGTAGGTTAGCTTTTATCAATTTTGAAGAAGTGTTCAGCCATTATTTCTACAAATATTTTTTTCCATCCTAGTCCCTCTCACCTCTCTTTTGAGGATTCTAATTTCCCATGTATTAGGCCACCTGAAGTTTTTCTAAGGCTTACTGATACTCTTTTCATTTTTTCCCCACTCTTTCTCACTGTGTTTCATTTCGCATTGTTTCTATTGCAATTTCTTCAAACTCATAAGTCTTTTGTTCTGCAGTATCTAATCTACTGTTAATTCAATGCATACATTTCAAACCTCGTATTTTTCATCTCTAGAATTTTATTCGGGTCTTTTTTCACATCTTTTAATTTCCTTACCATCATACTCATGCTTTCCTCTACTTTCTTGAGCATATGGAGTAGAGTTGTAACAGGGTTTTAATGTCCTTGTCTACTACTTCCATCATCTGTGCCATTTACAGATCTCTTTCAATTGATTATTTTTCTCTTTGTGATGAGTCCTATTTTTTCTGATTCTTTGCAAGTCAGACATTATGAATTTTACCTTTTGGGTGCTGGATATTTTCATATTACTGAGTTTTTTTTCTGTAACATTGTTAAATTGGTTGGAATGTTTCATCCCTTTGAGGTTTTCTTTTAGGCTTCATTAGGCAAGACTGTGGCCATTGGTGCAGAGCTAATTTTGCCCCATTACTGAAGCATTACCCTTCTGAGTATTCTGACTAATATCCATGTATTTTTCTTCTGTGGCTGGTAAGATACAACCTATTCCCAACTCTGTAACCATCAGGGATTCTTCTACTAGCTCCTTGCCTGTGATTCTTTTCCAGTGTTGGGTAATTTCATCATATATAAGCACTGTTCAGTACTCATCTGAACACTCAAGGAGGAATCTTTGGCAGATTGCTAGAATTATACCTCTGTGCAACTCCCTCATCCCCAGTACCCTATTGCATGGCTTTTAGCTGCCTTGATATCTTGAAACTTCTTAACTCTGTTTTCTCAACTCAAAAACCTCTCCAGGCTCAGTATGAGCTTGCTTTTCCTGCTCTGCAGCCTGTAAACTCTCTCCAGGCAGTAAACTGGAGAATCAAAAGCTCATCTTATTTATTTCCTTTTTATTACCTACTGCCAAGGTGAAAATGTTTCTTCCATTTTTGGCTACTTTTAAAATTGTTTTAGGCAGGAGAGTAAATCTGGTCCCCATTACTCCATCATGACTGTAAACTGGAAGTAGAGATACTGGTGTTTTACAGAGACATGGCTTTGAGATTTTTCTGAAGAAAACCCTTTGCCTTTGGAGATCTTTGTCTGAAAACACAGCAGGCCTAGAAAATACAAGGTGGAGCCTCTGTACCAGCCAAGGCCATCTGTGCCTGCATACTGCTGCATAGGCTCAAACTTTAATATGGTTTTATTAGCCCATTTTACTACACTTGTGTCCTGAAGTCTTAACATTTAATCTGAAAATAATATTTTATTGTAGGAATGCAAGTGCTTTTACTCTCAACGTTTGTTAAACAGAGAATATCAGCCATGACACAAAAAGAATATTTTAAATAACATAGAAATCTTTTACAAATTTTGAAATGATCATTTCCTCCAGCTCACACTACACACCAACAAAGCAGTATTATCCAATGGTTCCTTGAAACTGTTCACTAACTCTTGATCAATAAAGTCATATGTATTTTTATCATTGAAAATAAAGACATACATGCGGCCAACAATCATATGAAATAAAGCTCAACATCACTGATCATTAGAGAAATGCAAATCAAAACCACAATGAGATATCATCTTATACCAGTCCAAATGGCTATTACTAAAAAGTTAAAAAATAACAGATGCTGGCAAGACTGTAGAGAAAAAGAAACATTTATACCCTGTTGGTGGAAGTGTAAATTAGTTCAGCCATTGTAGAAGACAGTGTGGTGATTCCTCAAAGACCTAAAGACAGAAATACCATTCGACCCAACAATCCCATTACTGAGTATATACAAAGGACTATACATTGTTCTATTATAAAGACATGCACATGTATGTTTATTGCAACACTATGCACAATAACGAAGACCTGGAATCAACCTAAATGCCCATCCATGATAAACTGGCTAAAGAAAATGTGGTACATATACACCATGGAATACTATGCAGCCATAAAAAATGAGATCACGTTCTTCACTGGGACATGGATGGAGATGGAGGCCATTATCATTAGCAAACTAACTCAGGCACAGAAAACCAAATACCACATATTCTCACTTATAAGTGGGAGCTAAATGATGAGAACACACAGACACACGGAGGGGAACAACACAAAGTAGGCCTGTCAGATAGTGAAGGATGGGAGGAGGGAGAGGATCACAAAAAATAACTAGTGGGTACTAGGCTTAATAACTGGGTAATGAAATAATCTGCACAACAAACCCCCATGACATAAATTTACTTATGCAACAAAAGTGCACATACACCCTTGAACTTTAAAGTTTTAAAAAAAGAAAATAATAGCCTTTGTTTTTTATTAAAAACATGTCTAGATACATAATATAAAATTATATGAGATTTATTTCATATTCAGCTCTTTGACAAGTTGCAATAAACCTAATTTTTTAAAGTAAGGAATTTTGCTAAGCTATGAGTAGCAGGATTATGGAAGATATAAATGGATCCACTTACAGAAATTTTTTTGATTCTAAATTTTAAGAGCTTGGAAAAAACTGCTTTTTATCAAAATAGCTAAATAGGGACCATAAGTCTTTTGTGGAAAAAGGCAAAAATATAAGTAATTAAGTAGAAAACATAATTAAAATTTTCCTTGAATTTATATACTAACAAATCTTATTATCAAACAAAGCCCATATATCCTATATTTACTTTCCTTACTACTTTTATTATTAATTAGTAAATGTCTGTTACTTGAAAATTGAGCTCCCATACACCAGAATCCTAAAAGCCAAATAGGAAGTGAGACATTGCCTGATAGTTCTGAATTTGCTTTCATGGTATGCTTCTAAACCAGCATTCTGCTTTTAAAAGAGTCAGGAAGGGTATAGGTCATTTAGCTAGTAGCAATTATTTTCTATAAGACATACATGGCAGCATATCAAATATACTATAGGATGTGTTTTGAAAACTCTGGCAATTCTTTCACCCTAGTTTCTCTTTATGGTATCTTTAAATTAAATCTCCTCACCGTCACACTCTCAAATTCAAAACCATAAATATTACATTGTGCGTTTTCATGTATTTCTTCCAGAGAACCAAGTGTGTCTTTCCCCCTTGGATGTTGTCCCTCTGGGCTTATACATGTCTTATGAGATAAATTTCATTCAACTTAATCAATTCTCTTGAGTGCCTACTTTTTCACAGGGTGCTTGACAAAAAAATAATATAAGGTGCCTTATTACCCTAGAAGATAATAATAACAAAAGTTTCTTGAGCATACACAATGTGCCACGCACTGTTAAGTGCTTTATTTACATTAATTCATTTAATTTTCACAACTACCTCTGTTTTACAGATAAAAAAGTAAAGCGTTTTTTAAAAGTAAACAATTGATGAAAGTTATACAGTAGATGAAAGGTGGACCTGAGCCTTAAATCCCGGCTGACTGACCACTGTGATACATTGCACTGCCCCAATGCAAGTAGAGCCATACGTACAAATAATGGTATTTTAAGGATATTTACTTATTCAAAACACAGTAAAGTACCATGAAAGCATCAGTGACTACTTGATATATTTCATCTAGGAAGATTGAGAATAGCTTTGCAACAGGGATAGCATTTGAGCTGAATAACAAAGGATGGGAGTATCAGCAGAGCTGAAAGCAAAAGACATTCTGAGACAGAGGCTCATCTTGAGGGCATGTCTTTGCTCTGTGAAATGTGTGGTTCTTATCACAGTTGAGGTACTTCACAACCATGCAGATTCCTTGACATACACTTAATCACTTAGTCTGAAAATCTGCATTTTTAGTAAGCAGTCAAAATGATCCAAATGCAGGTGGTTTTAGTACTATACTGAAAAACACAAACCTAATTCATTTTCAGTCTCTGCATCTAACTTCACACTTCCTCCTTTCTGCAAGCACAAACCTCTCACCACCATCCTCACCCCAAGCAGGAAATTCTAAAATCAAATCCAACAGGTAGAATTTAAGAAACACCAACCCAATACTCAAGATTCAGTATCCATCACCCTCACTCTGGTCCAGCCCCAATCTTACATTTGAAGTTTTGAATTACTAGAGTATTCCCTTGTTTCCTTTTTTGCCCCGTAACTGCTTCCTAACAGTATTTTCACTGGAATTAGATACTGAAAAGATTTACCTTGTTTGGAAGGTCTGCATAGTAAGTGAATGGGAATCCCTGATTCCAAAAATACCCAGAACGACAGCATCTTCAAAACTGGAACCCTGAAACTTATTCTTTCCTGGGCCTTACTCACATATAAGAGTTCTGATCCTGACCTCTAGCCCAGGAATTAGAATCAATGGTATCAAATTATTTCTTGACACCAAATATCTCCAAGCCTGTATGTTCAAGTGTCACCCACTTCCAGATTGCCAAGCTGTACTCCACCCGTCAGCTAAGATGTGATCATTCACTCATTCATTCTGTACATAGCTGTAACTCAGCTGGCCCCGTTGCCCATCATCTCCCCTAACAATGGGGAAATTTGATGTGGTGCTATTAACTAGAGGGAAAAGTATTGTTTTTTGGCATGTTTTTAACTGAGGAAGGTACTACACGAAAAGACAAAGGTAACCATATACAGAAACAAATCAAGGGTTACACACCTTTTAGAATTTTCAGTAAATCAGGCAATATTTGCCTCCAATAAGAAAAGCCATTTTCATACATAGATAGTAAGATATTTTATGTTATAGAAGTGATATATTGTCTCCAAAATGGAAAAGTGTATACAAGTTCAATGGAAACACCCCAACCACACTATCTTACCACAGTCACTGCCAGTATTTTAAGGCATATCCTTCACTTTTGTATTGTTTGCTAAAGTTGAATTTCAATCCAGACCAAAACCTGACTGATCTTGCCTACCAGAAGGAAAAGACAGATTCAAATGTATATTTACCAAACCGAAAAAAGTGAGGAGAGAAGATTGACAACTTCTTCCAAAGCTCTTAGAATTCTCAACTGCATCAGGAATACAAAATGAAAACCAAGTTGGAGAGGAAGAATAGATTTGAGGAGATAGCCATGCACACAAACTATGCTTATGTCAACTTACAGTGCATATAAATATTATATACCTATATATGAATATATACGACATATTTGTATTACATATCTCTTAAAGAAATGGTTGATAATTTATGTAACTTTTAGAATAGTTTTTTCTATATAGGAATATTCTGGTAACATTTTTTTCACTTGTCAGTAGATACCACTGTATAATCTTGCTGCTCCGCTTGTACTGAGAACAGCAGCAGCACCAGTATAATCTAAGAGCTTCTTAGATATAAAAATTCTTGGGTTCCATGTCAAATCTAGTGAATCAGAATATCAATTTAAAATCAAATACCACATGTTCTCACTCATAAGTGGGAGCTGAACTATGGGTACACATGGACATAAAGATCAAAATAGTAGACACAAAGATCTCAAAAAGGGGAGAAGCTGGTGAGGAATGAAGATTGAAAACTTACCTATTGGGAACAATCTTCACTATCTGGGTGTTGGGTACACTAGAAGCCAAAATCTCACCATTATACAATATATCCATGTATCAAACCTGCACATGTACCCCCTGAATCTGAAATAAAATACAGCAAAAAAAAAACTTGAGCATATTTATATGTGTGCATTTTTCTTGAAGAAGTTCCATGAATTTCATCATATTCACATAATGGTCTAATTTTATGTATGTATTTAATCTATTTTTATTTTTATTCTTATTTATTTATTTTTTGAGCCAGGGTCTCACTCTGTCACCCAGGCTGGAGTGCAGTGGCGTCATCATGACTCAGTGCAGCCTTGACTTCCCTGGTTCCAGCGTCCCTCCTATCTCAGCCTCCCGAGCAGCTGGGACCATAAGCACACACTACCATGCCCGGCTAATTTTTGTATTTTTGGCAGAGATAGGGTTTCACCATGTTGCCCAGGCTGGTTTTGAACTCTGAGCTCAAGCAATCCACCTTCCTCAGCCTCCCAAAGTATCAGGATTACAGGCATGAGCCACCACCCCGGGCCCATTTTAATTCTAGTTGGACATTCAGGTAGTGAACTCACATGGAGCCCATTTTATAGATAAGGAAATGTAAAAGAGGCCTAAAAGATATCTCTGTAAATTCAATAATTGAGTTCCTATAATAGAGGCCAATTGCAAGTTTTTACCTTTACAAATGAGTCTATTGCATTACAATCAATCATTTGCTTAAAGGCAATTGTCACCCTGTCATCTAGATGGCCAGCTCTTAAAACCTCTGTGCAGTGGTCACTCTTCCACTATAACATATTTATCTGGTTAAAAATGCCTTTGATGGTGGAAGTTCTACCTTTTTAAAAAAATCTGATTTGGCATAACAAAAATATATGGAGTTAAATAAACCAAAGACTCTTAATAGACTACACTGGGAGATGTTTCAGTATGTATTTATTCACTCAATTTATAACAGTAGCATGTGTTTTGTTCGAGTGCCCTATGGTTCATGTTTAATTTCCCTTTCTGCTCTGAGAAGATATAACATTTAGCATACGCTAACAGTTTAAGTCAGAGGATATGGAATAACAATGAATTTAGAAGTCAGCTCAGACTATGAAAAAGGGGTTATTATGGACTCAAAGATACCCACAAAATACCATCCCTTGAGCTATGGAAGAAAACAATTCAGTTTAATAAATAAATCACACAGGGGGATTTGCAATAGTACACAAGTCTATCTAGCAAGCCTTGAAGAAGGACAGCACACAAGCGAGATTCACTAATCAATAATGGCATTCAATTATTCCCACAGCATTCAAATAAGGCAATTTTATGCTTTATAATTAACCCAAGGATTGAACTATGCATTGGGAGGAATAAATGTAGCTATTTGTACTTTATTGGTTATTCATATTTTCAGTAAATAAATTGAATTAAACTTCAGCAGGCTTTCATCCTGCATTAAGGCAAAACATAAAGTATCTGACAAAGCAAAGAGATAAAATTAGGCCTAGAGTTTGTTAAGAAATAACAGAATTTGCATTTTAACAAGATTTCCAGGGGATTTGTATACACTTTGAAGTTTGAGAAGTACTGCTTTCAGGGCTGATGAAGCAACAAAATAGGGGTACTTGCATCCCTGGACCACCCTGTAGATCAGAGCCTCCCACCAAGAAGTAAAACACATGTGGGGCTAAGCTTCTAAATGTTGCACTAATAGGACTCTAATCTGGAGACTTTTATTATAAATATTATTCCTTAACTTCCCTTTTAAAGCAAACATTGGGCCACAGGATGTGTGGGGAGATCTCACGCAATGGAAGTACAACATTAGTGTTCACTTATCATTTTTACCCTACAAATATTTGGCCAGCACAGGTATTGATTCATCACTTCAATAAATATTTATAGATACCTACTCTGTGTATACATAAGTATTACAAGTATCTCTGACACAGCCTGGGTATAGAATGAAAACTGTTAAGGTAAACTGATGGGAAAGATGACTTTATTTCAATTAACTAGCAGTTTCTGAAATCAAGTTTGAAAATATCTAAGTTATCCAAATTGTTATATAATTGATTCTGAAAGGAGTAATAAGACCATACCCCCAAAATTCTACATATTTTTGTTATGCCAAGACTGTTTCCTTGCAGTCACTATTATATTTTACAGGGCATTAAAATATAAATTATTTAATTATTTGAGAATATTTTGCACTGAAAGATAATAAACTTAGTTGCAAGTTTTTTATGAGAGACAATTTCTAAATAAGCTGAAGTCTTTGTAAAACCATAAACAAAGTAACTAGGCTCTACCATTTATGTGAATTAGAAAATAATAGTATTCATTGTATTTTATAATATATATGTCAGATGTATTTTTACATTAGTACTCAGGAAATTCCAAACAATGAATGCATTCAATGAATCTAAAGTACCACCTCTTGCTGAGAAGGTACAACAATATAGTAAATGATATAGACAGTACAGGTTATCTTCTATAGGTCTAATTCTCTTTGCAATATTAAATGTAAATATTTTCTAAAGCCAGTCATTCCTTCAGATTATTAGGAGTTGCATTTTTTGCATTTTTGTGCTACAATGTGGATAATCTTGATAGAAGATTCTATTTATTGGCATAGCTTATATTATTGTACTTTGATTTATTATGCTTTACAGACTGTGGGGGTTTTTTAAAGAAATTAAAGGTTTGTGGGAACCCTGAGTTGAACAAGTCTATTGGCACAATTTCTCCAACTGCATATGTTCACTCTGTGTATCTGTGTCACATTTTGGTAATTCTTAAAATGTTCCAAACGTTTTCATTATTGTTATATGTGTTATGATGATCTGTGATTAGTGATCTTTGATGTTACTATTATAATTGTTCTGGGGGACCACAAACCATGCCCATATAAGATGGTGAACTTAACTGATAAATATTGTATGCGTTTGGACTGCTCCACTCACTGGCCATTCTCTCACACCTCCCCTTCTCTGTGAGTCCCCATATTCCCTGAGACACAACAATATTGAAATTAGGCCAATTAAAAGTGCTACAATGGCCTCTAAGTGTTCAAGTGAAAGAGTCATACATATCTCACTTTTAATCAAAAGCTAGAAATTATTAAGCTTAGAGGGGAAGGTATGTTGAAAGTCAAGATAAGCCAAAAATCCAGGCCTCTTGCAGCAAACAGCCAAGTTTTGAATACAAAGGAAGATGAAGGAAATTAAAAGTGCTACTCCAGTGAAAATGCAGATGATAAGAAAGCAAAACAAACTTGTTGCTGATATGGACGAAGTTTGAGTGGTCTGGATAGATGACCCAACCAACCATAACATTCCCTTCAGCCAAAGCCTAATCCAGAGCAAGGCCCTAACTTTCTTTAATTCTGCAAAGGCTGAGAGAAGTAAGGAAACTGCAGAACAAAAGTTGGAAGCTAACAGAGGTGGGTACATGAGGTTTAATGAACGAAACCATTTCCAAAAATAAAAGTGCAAGATAAAACAGCAAATGTTGATGGATAAGCTTCAGCAAGGTATCCAGAAGATCTATCTAAGATCATTGATGAAGATGGCTACACTAAACAAGAGATTTTCAATGTAGATGAAACAGCCTTCTGTTAGAAGAAGATGCCATCTAGGACTTACATAGCTACAGATGAGAAGTCAATGCCTGGCTTCAAAGCTTCAAAGGACAGACTATCTTATTAGTAGCTAATGCAGATGATAACTTTAAGTTGAAGCCAACACTCATTTACCAGTCTGAAAATCCTAAGGCCTTTAAAAAATTATGCAAAATCTACTCTGCCTGTGCTCGAGAAATGGAACAAAGCCTAGATGATAACACATCTGTTTACAGCATGGTTGACTGAATATTTTAAGCCCACTGTTTAAGCCACTGTCTAGAAAAAAGATTATTTTCAAAATATTACTGCTCATTGGCAATGTATTTGGTCACCCAAGAGCTCTGATGAAGGTATACAAAGAGATCAGTGTTTCCTACCTGCTAACAACATCTATTCTGCATCTCAGAATAATTACTCAGAGTAACTTTGACTTTCAAGTCTTATTATTCAAGAAATACATTTTGGAAGGTTATAGCTGCCATAGATAGTGATTCCTCTGGTGGATCTAGGAAAAGTAAGTTGAAAACCTTCTGGAAAGTGTTCACCATTCTGGATAGCATTAAGAACAGTCATTATTCAGGGGAGGGGATCAAAATATCAACATTAAAAAGAGTTTGAAGGTTGATTCCAACCACCATGGATGACTTTGAGGAGTTCAAGACTTCAGTGGAGGAAGTAACTGCAGATGTGTTGGGAAAAAACAAGAGAATTCGAATTTTAAAATGAAGCCTGAAGATGTGACTGAATTGCTGCAGTCTCATGATGAAACTTGAACAGACGAGGAGTTGCTTCAACAAAACGAACAAAGTGGTTTCTTGAGATGGAATCTACTCCTGGTGAAGATTCTGTAAACATTGTTAAAATGACAACAAAGGAGTTAGAATATTACATAAACTTAGTTGATAAAGCAATGGCAGGGTTTGGGAGGATTTGCTCCAATTTGGAAAGAAGTTCTACCTTGGGTAAAATGCTATCAAACCACATTACATGCTACAGAGAAATAATTCTTGAAAGGAAGAGTCAGACAATGTGATAAACTTCGTTGTCTTATTTTAAGAAATTCCCACACAAAGCCACCTCAACCTTCAGCAACCACCATTCTGATCAGTTAGCAGCCATCAACATTGAGGTAAGACCTTCCACCAGCAAAAAGATTATGACTCATTGAAGGCTCAGGGGATTGTTGGCATTTTTTAGCAAAAAGGCATTTTTAAATTAAGTACATTGTATTTTAGTGTAAATACAATTTACACTTTGTGTAATTTACAAATTGTGGCCTTAATAGGCCACAATATAGTGTAAACATAAATTTTACATGCACTGGGAAACCAAAAACTTTGGGTGACTTGCTTTATTGTGATATTCATTTTATTATAGTAGCCTGAAACTGAACCCACAATATCTCTGGAGTATGCTTGTGTTTCCACAGAGGAATTATACACCTGCAAAAGATTAGCTGTTTCTATACATGTGAATTATAGCTTTTGTGCTGACAGTGTTTTTCAGTCTCTCCCATTGATAGGTTTGATTGTGAGGAAAAAAAGTGAGAGGACTTTATTAATTTTTAAGTGAAGTTTATAAATGAAGAGAGAAATAAAAGGGGTATCTTTTTGAAATGTGGATTTTAAAAGTATATTTAGACATAACAGGCACAAGAGGCTTCAGATGTGTGTATAAAGTAGACCCATGCCAGCAGACTAAGAGTCAGGCAGTATGTTGGGATAGAATGCGGAGCAAATCACAAGATAATCTCTCTGCACCAAAACACTTTTTGCTGGCTGCTATTGTTCTGCCTTCTCTCACCCCATGTCCTCTTATTCCCAAAGATGGAATGAAATCCTCTTTTTTATGTATAGCATTATACACAAAAAATTTTTGTAATCTGTAAATATTATCTGGTAATGGTAGGCATTCCACACACTTTTACTTATCAGTATTTATTGTCTAACTACCATGAATTATTTAGTTTTGATACCTTCGAATTAGGAAACAAGAAAGAATAAAAATGAAGGTTGAAAATATGAGATATACTACTTCATAATTTGTTATTGTTATCTCATGTTCTATGCCACAGAATAGAAAATCCCCAGATTTTTCAACACTAAACTTTTTGTACTCTTAAAATATATATGTAGTAAAATAATGTTTACCTATGTCAAATAATTTATTTCTCAGTCCCATTTATTCATTTTATCCCATGTTTCTCCGCTGCCTCAAGCAGAATGCCTATTACTTCAAGAAAGGGATTAAATCACAGATAATAAGAAAAGGAAAATAATTCATAGCTTTTGGGTTTTAACATAACTTTCTAAAATTCATGGCAGAGAAAACACTTTTGAGAGAAAAGTCTTCTGAGTTTCGAAATTGAAACTTTCAAATATCAAAATCTAAATTCCAACAGATTCAGGGCATAATATTCATGAAATAAATTTTTAAAAAACTTGGAAAAAATAGAGATAGTTAAAACACCCCATGCCAAACTACATAAAGTCTTTGGATAGAGGGAATACAGAAATCAGAAATCATCTAAAAAATAATCTTTAGTTATTTGTCCCTTGTAAAACAGTGTTTATCTTAGAAAGGGCCTTGTACCCCAACCCCACATAAGGATGATTTTAGACTTGTAAAGAGTAACAGCAAACCCTTAAATAGAACTAAGGTTCTGAAGGCAGAAAAACATATGTGCATTACTTCGATGTAGAACCTGGGAAAGGATGAGATTTATAGAGCATCCCCACTGTGAGACAAACAGGGCCATACAAGAGTGTATTTGAAATGGCTACGTGAAGCTTCTAGGAAGGCAGATTGAGGAAACCTCAAAGAATCCCCATAAGCTATGGCTTAGAAAGCAAGAACATGTGTTCTTTTACGACTGAGGACAGTTTGAACATGCCATGGAGAGCCAACTGACCTGAGGGATGCAGCCACAGGCTATGAGAAGAATTGGAGGATGATAAAGAGCACAGAAATTTTCAAAAAACCAGGGATAAAGGGGTAAAGACCATGAAATGACAGAAATCAGCCAGAATTTTCTTTCAGAAATTTTCTATTTAAACTTTTAGATTAAATTTCTTGAGATGGAAAAAATTCAATCAATAAAATCAAAAGATTTGCCAAAGAGGAGATTCACTTCCAGCATAAACAGAAGAGCTCAACAACCCGGTCCTCAAAAAACAGCTTTAAAGCTGGACAAAACTGTCACAAACAACCATTTTAGCCCACTGGAAATCCAACAAAGGCACCCAACAAACGAAGAAGTGTTTATTCCTAAAAATTACTGAATCTCAAAAATATTATGCTAAGTGAAAGGAGCCAGACACAAAGATGACATGTTATATTATTCCATATATGAAATATCCAGAAAAAGCAAATTTAAAGAGACAGAAAATAGATCAATAGTTGCCTGGGAGTAAAGAGAGTGGAACTGGGATTAATTGCCTGTGAGATCGAGGGATATTTGGGGAGTATGAGAAAAGTTTTAAAATTGGATTATGATGACAGCTACACAACTCTATACATTTACTAAAAATTGTCAAAATACAGTCATCTTTTTGTTGCACTAAATTCTAATCCTTAGCAAGCTTTTTCACAATGCATTGCCTACCATTCTGCTGCTTCTCTAATAAAGTCCCTCTTGCACCCTAGGCAAAAGCCTTCATATGATATGATATTGTTTGTTATAAAGTGTTCCTGACATTTGGTGTGCTATTTACAATAACGAGAACTTTAAAGGCATGAGATACAAGCCAAAGCATAAAGATTTCCTTGCACAGAAGTTATAAACCTAGAAGCTACAGACCAAATACAACCCAGAGACTTGATTTTTTTTTTTTGGAGGGGGGAGGCTATGTCATGCTTTATTTTTAATCATTTTAATAGGATGCATCATAAAGTCTACATTTCTGGCTGCTGTTGAATAAATGAAAGCTGTAGCAAAAATGGGCTTGCACTCTAACATGGCAATTGTCATACAGTCCACTCAGTCCTCAACACCTTCTATTACTCCTCTACTAGCAATCCCTGGCCTAGCTTTTTTAGACCCATGCTACTCCCAATCCTAATGCCAATTACTGAAGGCAGCCAAAAAGTGAAGGTATCTTTTTCTTATTTTCTTATTTCCCAGTAGTTGTTGATACCAAAACAAAAATGATTCTTAGAAAACAAAAAGCCTCATTTCAAAAGGATAGGATAAATTGTGAGAATCTACATTTCTTTCCGATGGTGATTTTGAGAGGAAAGCAACCCCAGTTTGAAGCAATTGATAGTGATCAAAAAAGGGATGCAAACCAACTAACATTTCCAGAGGACCAGCCATGTGCAAACCTTGGTGCCAAATGCTGCAAAGGGCCAAGCATAAGTCTGCAGCTAAATAAGCTCATGGTCTAGTTCCATGATTCCCAAGTCATGAGTATCAAATCCCTGAGGTATATATACCAAGCATTATCAGCCTACTAAGTCATATTAGTAACAATTAGTCAATTAAGTCATAATTAGCCAACAAAGTCATCTTATACATACATGCACAAAAAAATAAATATAGGATGATACTGTTATAACTAAAATTGAAAAGTTTTTAAATGCAGTGGTGTCATTATGTATTATATTAAGCAACAAGGACTGTAACTACAATTACATAATATATGCAACCATGAAGTTCTTTGTATTAAAAAGGGGTACTCCAAAAATATTCTATCACTGGGTATAAACTAAATTAGGGGACAATTGGGAAATATCTGTTAATTTTTAATTAGGATACATGATGTTCACTGCATGTTGTTTGTAATGATGTAATTCAATAAAAACAAGATTTAAACCTACCAGAGGATAAGAGAGGACAGTAGACTAGAGAGTTTCTCCCAGATAACAGAATCATGGTCTACCAGATAACCTAATCAAGAATTTTCACCTTTAGCTAAGGCAGTAAGTCCTTGATGTTCCTGTCCAACACTGTTCAAGCATCATTATGGGCAATGTCCACTATGCCATTTCTAATTTTCCCCTTTAATAAGTGGTTTTACTGTGATTATCTTGGTTTTTTTCTCCATTCATATAATGGGGATGGGGGGAATGTGGTGCTTGGGACAGATAGCTTGTCTTTTGGTTTATAAGCTACTGAACCACAGAAGCCATATTAGGATCCAATGAAGAGGACATTACATTAATCAGAATCTTGCACCACTACATTTAAAATTTTTTAAGTTTCAGTTATCACAACTGTATCATCCTATATTTAATTTTTTGTGCATGTATGTATGACTTTTTGGGCTAATTATAGCATAATTGATTATTAGTTGATTAATATAACTTAGTAGACTGATAATGCTTGGTATATATACCTCAGGGATTTGGTACTCATGACTTGAGAATCACGGCAGTATACCATGGCTTATGAAGTGACTAAATGAGACTAAATTAGCTGATGAAGTGAATATATGAGACCTTGGAGTTGTCTCTCTTAAAGAGAGAGAGTATTCCACATATGGCAGGAAGAATGAATATGGATGTATATTGAGTAGCAAAGGAAGTCTAGACTACCAGATGTAAATTCTTAACTTTTCTATTACTATCAAACCCAGATTTTGAAAAATTACTTTATGCAGCCTCCCTTGCAGATAGGTATCATGTGGCAGTATCCTGGGAAATGAGATATAAGCAAAAGTTGTAGGGTAGGGCTTTGTAAAAGGATCCTTAAAAGAAGTGCATATCAGGACTCATGTCAGTAAGATGGCAAAATAGGAAGCCACAAATCTCAGTCCCCAAAACAGACATAGTTAACAATATACAGTCTAAAAATCTTTAGAGAACTTCAGAAACAAGAAATTACAGTACGACAGGCAAGAGTGCAAAGCCAAAAACATCCACATAATAGCCCTTCCCCCAAGCTAGCACAGCTCAGCTCAATCAGGAGAAAGTGCCCAACTTATGGCTTGTTTCTAAAGAGGAAAAGAGAAGAGTAGAACATACATCCAATGTTTTAGCTTTCCCAGGGGCTACCTGAGGGACTGTTTTCTGTCTTGCTTAACTTGAAGCACTAGCAGGAACCAGCATAGCTTGAATGCCTTGACACCGCTGAGAGCAAGAGAGCCAGGCAGTTCTTTGCTGTGCCGGAGAACCTGCGGTACTGAAGACAGACACCAGAGGAAGCAAGAAATTACAAACTCCTGAAAACCTCTCAAAATTTTCTCCTCTGTGTCTTCAGAGAACATAATATCTCTTAATAATTTACTGCTCATGTTTAAGATCAGAAAGCATTCACAAGTTTTACATAATAAAAGAGCCGATGATTTTACAGTAAGCTTACCTGCTATTGAAAAGAATAAGGAGAAGGAGGAGGAGCAGGGGAAGGCACAGAAATCAATACCTGTCTTGGATGCCAGGCTTCACAATTGAGCTCATGGAAGAAGTGTTACCCTTGAACAAGGCAATCTGAGCATAATTTGAACTAATTTCCTCTCCACATGCCATATTTGTGGCCTCAAGTGTAGCACATGAGAAGTCCTTTAAATTGCCAAGCTTCCTTCTTACATGATATGGATTAGGTTTTTTTATATTTTATGTCCTGTAATTTCATTTTCAGTCTCATAAACGATATAGTACCAAACCAAGGCTGTTTCATATATAAAGAGACTTTTCAACACCTTAAAAGAAAGAAAAGATACATGCAAGCTCAAAGAAGACATATACCCAGAAAAGGTTTGAAAGAAAGGCCCCCAGAACCTCTAGTCAGACTGATCAGTGAAGGTCTTTCCCTGTACAAAGCCAGTCCTTAAAGATTTGCAGAGATGGCTTCCTTCTCAAACGAAAAAAAAAATTCCAGCAATCTATCAATTAATCACTAAAATAACAAGACAGACAAAGAAACAAGTAATCATGGCCCAATCAAAGGAACAAAGTACATTTCCAAAAACTGACCTGATACAGACTGAATTTTGTCCTTCCCAAACTTCGTATGTTGAAGCCCTAATACCTAGTCTGATGGTACTCAGATCCTATATCTGAGTAATTTCCTATAAAAAGGAAATTAAAGTTAAATGAGTCCAAAAGGATGGGACCCCATTCCTACAGGACTAGTGTTCTTATAAGAAGAAACACCAGAGAGTCTGTCTTTCTTTCTTTCTCCCTCTCTACCATGTAAGGACACAGCAAGAAGGTGGACATCTGCAAGCCAGGAAGAGGACCTCAATAGAAACCAAATTGGCTGGCACCTTAATATTAAATATCTCAGCCTCCAGAATGTGAGGGAATAAATTTTTGTTGTTTTAGCCACCCAGTCTGCGGCATTTAGTTATGGCATCCCAACTGCTTGGGATGCATGACTCTAAAAGAAACAGAGATGTATCAATCACCTGAAAAAGAATTCAAAATAGTCATCTTAAAGAAGCTCAATGAATTACAAGAAACACAGAGAAGCAACCAAAGGGATCACAAAAACGATGTGTGAACAAAATGACAATACGAAGAAAGAAATTGAAACAATAAGAAAGAACTAGATAGAAATTCTGGACTTGAACACAATAACTGAATTTTTAAAAAAATCATTAGCGAGGTTCAATGATAAACTAGAGAAAACAGAAAAAAAATCAGTGAATTTTAAAAGTCATTTTAAAAGAAAAGAAGAAAAGTGAGGGGAAAGCCTAAGAGTCTTATGAAACATGATAATATGAATCAACATACACATTATGGAAATTACAGAAGGAGAAAAGAAAGAGAAATGGTTAGAGCTTATTTGAAAAAATAGTCACTGAAAACTTCCCAAATATGAGGAAGGAAGTGAACATCCAAATTCAGAAAGCTCAGAAGACTCCAACTATGATGACTCCAAAGAGGACAGTACAGAGGTATGTTATAATCAAATTGTCAAAAGACAAAGAAAAAGAAAAAATCTTGAAAACAGCAAGAAAAAAGCAGCTTGAAACATACAGGGAAGGTTTCATAAGATTATCAACAGATTTCCCAGCAGAAACATTGCAAGACAGAAGGGAAGGAGATTATATATTCAAAGTACTGAGGAGAAAAAAAAAAAACTGTCAACCACAAATACTATAACCAGCAAAATTATTCTTAAAAAAAATGAAAGAGAAACAAAGACCTTCTCCAAAAAGCAAAAGTTAACAGAGGTTGGCACCACTATATCTACGTTAAAAGAAATGCTAAATGGAGTTTTTCAAGATGAAAAAAAAGAATGTGATACCAGACAGCAACATGAAAGCATATGAAAATATAGAGCTCTCTAGTAAAGGTAAATATATAGACAAATATAGCATCCTGTAATTTTGTAATGGTGGCATATAAATCACTTTAAATTCTGGTATAGAATTCAAAACATAAAAGCATTTTTAAAAATCTATATAAAACTGCATGTATTAGGGCTTTCCAGAGAAACAGAACTAGCAGGATTGATTGATTGATTGATTGATTGAATGGTTTTAGGAATCATATCACATGATTATTCAGGCTGGCAATCTGCTGTCCACAAATTGGAGAGCCAAAAAGGGTGGTGGTGTAATTTGGAGCAAGTCCAAATTCCCTTCTACTACTTAAAGACACAATAAGAAGACAGCAGTCTATGAACCTGGAAGTGGCCCATCACCAGACACAGAATCTGCCAGGCCTTGATCTCAGACTTCCCAGACTCCAAAATTGTGAGAAATATGTTTTTGTTGTTTATAAGCCACTCAATCTATGGTATTTTATTATAGTAGCCCAAATGGACTAGGACACCATGTTAATGAATACAAAAAATAAAAAGGTGTAATTTATGACATCAATGACACAAAGTGGGTGGTGGTGGGATGTGAAAGAGTACAGCTTTGTATGTAATTGAAGTTAAATTGTTATCACTTTAAAATGGATTGATATAATTAAGATGTTTTATATAATATCCATGGTAACCACAAAGAAAATATGCATGGAAGATACATAAAAGAAAATGAGAAACGTATCAAAGTATGTCACTGACAAAATCAATGAAACACAAAAGGAAGGCAGGAATGGAGTAAAAAGAGACAAAATAACTATAATATATACACAAAACAACAAAATGATCATAGTAAGTCCTGCCTTATTAGTAATTATTTAAATGTAAATGGATTAAATTCCCCAATAAAAAGACACAGAGTGGCTGGATAAATTTTTTTTAAAAAAAAGATCAAACAATATGCTGCTTACAAGAGGCTCACTTTAGATTTAAGGACACACAAAAACTGAAAGTAAAAGAGTCAAAAAATAAAGACAAGGTCTCACTCTGTCACCCAGACTCTAGTGCAGTGGTGTGATTATAGCTCACTGCAGCCTCAACCTCCTGCAAATCAAAACCACAATAAGATACCATCTCACACCAGTCAGAATGGCCATTATTATAAAGTCAAGAAACAACAGATGCTTGCGAGGCTGTGGGGAAATAGGAACACTTTTACGCTGTTGATGGGAATGTAAATTAGTTCAAACACTATGGAAGACAGTGTGACAATTCTTCAAGGATCTTGAACCAGAAATACCATTTGACCCAGCAATCCTATTACTGGGTATATATCCAAAGGAATATAAATCGTTCTACTATAAAGGTACATGCACACATATATTTAATGCAGCACTATTCACAATAGCAAAGACATGGAATCAACCCAAATGCCCATCAATGATAGACTGGATAAAGAAAATGTGGCACATATCACCATGGAATACTACGTAGCCATAAAAAGGAATGAAATAATATACTTTGCAGGAACGTGGATGAAGCTGAAAGCCATCATCCCCAGCAAACTAACACAGGAACAGAAAACCAAACACCACATGTTCTCACTCATAAGCAGGAGCTGAACAATGAGAACACATGGACACAGGGAGGGAAACAACACACACTGGGTCTTATTGGGGGTGTGGGGGGAGGGAGAGCATCAGGACAAATAGCTAATGCATGCAGGGCTTAATACCTAGTTGATAGGTTGACAGGTGCAGCAAACCACCATGGCACATGTTTACCTATGTAACAAACCTGCACGTTCTGCACATGTATCCTGGAACCTAAAATTAAATTAAATTGAATTAAATTTAAAAAATTAAAAACCCGGGCCAGGCACAGTGGCTCACGCCTGTAATCCAGCACTTTGGGAGGCTGAGGTGGGTGGATCACCTGAGATCAGGAGTTCAAGACCAGCCTGACTAACATGGTGAGACTCCATCTCTACTAAAAATACAAAAAATTAGCCAGGTGTGGTGGCAGGTGCCTGTAATCCCAGCTACTCAGGAGGCTGAGGCAGGAGAATTGCTTTAACCCAGGAGGCAGAGGTTGCAGTGAGCTGAGATTGCACCACTGGATGCCAGCTTCAGTGACAAGAGTGAAACTCCTTCAAAAAAAAAAAAAAAAAAAACCGAAGTTCCCGTGTAACACATTTGGAATGCAGAGGAATTGAGAAAATGGCAGGAGTAGAGAGCAAAACAGTGATTTGGGATTGATCAAACACACACACACACATATACTCCTATGTAAACCAAAGTACTGCAGGACCACAGTTAGAGGCTGTGCTTGGAGTATTCCCCCCACTTCCATCCTGATGGAGGCTCATACTTTTCATTTGCTTTCCATATGTAAGCTATAGGTGAAATATCTTCCTTTGGCCTCCCAAAGTGCTGGAATTACAGGTGTGACCCACCATATCTGGCAGAATTGCCATTATTTTTTAAAAAGCAGAAAATAACAAGTGTTGGTAAGAATAGGGAAGAATTGGAACTTTGTGCTTTGTTGGAGGGAACGTAAAATGATGCAGTTGCTGTGGCAAACAGTATAAAGTTTTCTAAAAACTAAAAATAGAATTACCATATGATTCGGAAATTCCATTTCTAGGTATATATTCAAAAGAATGAAGGCCACGTGTGGTGGCTCACACCTATAGTCCCAGCAGTTTGGGAGCCCAAGGCAGGTGGATCACCTAAGGTCAGGAGTTTGAGACCAGCCTGGCCAACATGGTGAAACCCCATCTCTACTAAAAATACAAAAAATTAGTTGAGCATGGTGGTGCATGCCTGTAATCTCAGCTACTTGGCAGGCCGAGGCAGGAGAATCACTTGAACCTGGGAGGCAGAGGTTGCAGTGAGCTGAAATTGTGCCACTGCACTCCAGCCTGGGTGACAAAGCAAGACTCCATCTCAAAAAACAAAAAAAAAAAAAAAGAACTGAAAGCAGGATCTTCAAGAGATATTTGCACACTCATGTTCATAGCAGCATTATTCAAAATAGCTAAGTGGGGACCTAAATGTTTATGGACAACTCTATTCAACATAGTACTGGAAGTTCTAGCAAGGGCAATCCCATCACACAATTATGTACAATAATGCACAAGAAATCATTTACCAGAGCAGGGTTTTGGAGAGTTGGAGGTTTGAGGACTTTTTTTTTTTTTTACCACTACATCCTACCAGTACCTGCATCCTTACATCTGCCTTTCTCTTGTTAACATAGATGAACGATCTGTGCTCCCTCCATCAGCGATCCTACTACTTGTGCACTAGATCCATCCTTTCCCGCTATTTAAATATAGAAATTTTCCTTTCTTTCTCTTATATCATTAATGTTTCTGTCTGTCCTGGATCATTCTTATCATCATATAAACATACTGTTATTTCTTCTACCTTAAAAACAAACTTTTTAAAAAACTTTTATGTTTGGAGGTACATGTGAAGTTTTGTTACATAGGTAAACGTGTCATGGGGGTTTGTTGTATATATTATTTTTTCACCCAGGTATTAAGCCCAGTACCCAATAGTTATCTTTTCAGTTCCTCTCCCTTCCCCCACATCCCCCCCCGCAGTTAGAACCCAGTGTCTGTTGTTTCCTTCTTTTTGTTCATAAGTTCTTATCATTTAGCTCCACTTATAAGTCAGAACATGTGGTACTGAGTTTTCTGTTCCTGTGTTAGTTTGCTAAGGATGATAGCTCCAGCTCCATCCATGTTCCTGCCAAAGACATGATCTCATTCTTTTTATGGCTGCATAATATTCCATGGTGTATATGTAGCACATTTTCTTTATCCTGTCTGTCATTGATGGGCATTTAGGCTGATTCCATGTCTTTGCTATTTTGAATAGCACTGAAATCAACATTCACGTGCTGTGTCTTCATGGTAGAATGCTTTCTATTCCTCCGAGTATATACCCAGTAATAAGGTTGCTGGGTTTTATGATAGTTTTGCTTTTAACTCTTTGAGGACTTGCCATACTGCTTTCCACAATAGTTGAATTAATTTACACTCCTATCAACAGTGTATAACTGTTCCTTTTTCTCCCCAACCTCACCAGCATCTGTTATTTTTTGACCTTTTAATATTGCCATTCTAACTGTTGTGAGATAATGTCTCATTGTGGTTTTGATTTGCATTTCTCTAATGATCAGTGATACTGTTTTTTTCATTTTTGTTGGCTATATGGATGTCTTCTTTTGAGAAGTGTCTGTTCATGTCCTTTGCCCACTTTTTAATGGGGTTGTTTGTTTTTCACTTGTAAATTTAAGTTCCTTATAAATGCTGTATATTAGACCTTTGTCAGATGCATAGTTTGCAAATATTTTCTCCCATTCTGTAGGTTGTCTGTTTACTCTGCTGATAGTTTCTCTTGTGCAGAAGTTCTTAAGTTTAATTAGATCCCATTTGTCAATTTTTGCTTTTGTTGTGATTGCTTAAAAAACAAACTCTTAAAAAAAAAAGTTCCTTTGTGCCCTTTTCTCCTTTTAGCAACTGTACACTTCTTTATATTCCTTTACAGCAAATTCCTCAGTGTTGACTAAACCCAGTGTTTCCAATTCATCTTTTCCTATGCTCTATGAAATCCACTTCCATCAAGCTATCACACCACCAAAACTGTTTGTTTCCATATGCCTCCACCAAAACTGCTTTTGTCAAGTTATAGATGACCTCCACATTATTAAGTCCAGTGGCCAATGTTCAATCCTTCTGCAACCTGACCTGTCAGCAGTATAGGTCTTAAGCCACTTTATCCTCCTGAAAACACTTTTTTCACTTGATTTTTTGAGACAGCACCTCCCCTGGCTTTCCTTTTCTCTCATTGACCAATCCTTCTCAATCTCCTTTGCTTGTTACTTCTCTTCAATCTCTTCAATTCACTCTTAAAGACTGTAATTTGCAATCTACTCATCTGACAAAGGGCTAATATCCAGAATCTACAATGAACTCAAACAAATTTACAAGAAAAAAACCAACAACCCCATCAAAAAGTGGGCAAAAGATATGAACAGACACTTCTTGAAAGAAGACATTTATGCAGCCAAAAGACACATGAAAAAATGTCATCATCACTGGCCATCAGAGAAATGCAAATCAAAACCACAATGAGATACCATCTCACACCAGTTAGAATGGCGATCATTAAAAAGTCAGGAAACTACAGGTGCTGGAGAGGATGTGGAGAAATAGGAACACTTTGACACTGTTGGTGGGACTGTAAACTAGTTCAACCATTGTGGAAGTCAGTGTGGCGATTCCTCAGGGATCTAGAACTAGAATTACCATTTGACCCAGCCATACCATTACTGGGTATATACCCAAAGGATTATAAACCATGCTGCTATAAACACACATGCACACGTATGTTTATTGCAGTACTATTCACAATAGCAAAGACTTGGAACCAACCCAAATGTCCAACAATGATAGACTGGATTAAGAAAATGTGGCACATATACACCATGGAATACTATGCAGCCATAAAAAAGGGTGAGTTCATGTCCTTTGTAGGGACATGGATGAAGCTGGAAACCATCATTCTCAGCAAACTATCGCAAGGACAAAAAAACAAACACTGCATGTTCTCACTCATAGGTGGGAATTGAACAACAAGAACACATGGTCACAGGAAGGGGAACATCACAGACCGGGGCCTGTTGTGGGGTGGGGGAAGTGGGAAGGGATAGCATTAGGAGATATACTTAATGTTAAATGACGAGTTAATGGGGGTAGCACACCAACATGGCACATGTATACATATGTAAGAAACCTGCACGTTGTGCACATGTACCCTAAAACTTGAAGTATAATAAATTAATTAATTAATTAAAATAAAATAAAACAAAATTGGAGAAGTTTCTCAACAACAACAAAAAAAAGACTGTAATTCCTAGAGCTCAGTCATTGGTCCTAATCTCTTCTCAATGTACACTTATTCTCTAGATGAGCTTACCCAGTGTCATGGCTTTAAACAAATGCCAACTTTCTATCTCTGGCCTGGGACTACTTTCAACCAATACTCACTTAGTCTATGTGGATGATGAACTGGCATCTCAAGCTGAAACTCTTGATCTTTCCCCTAAAACCTATTTGACTTGAATCATCCCAATTTCAGTCAATGTCAGCTCCATCCTTCCAGCTGCTCAGGCCAAAGAGATTAGAGTCATACTTGACTCCTCACTCTCAAACCCCACATATAACCTATCCAGAAATCTTGTTGGCTGTCATTTCAAAACACTGGCATGTTCAAAACCCAGAAACTCCACACCACCTTCATTGTTACCCCCTGATCCTGGCTGCCAGCATCTTTCTCCTGGACTTTAACAGTAGCCTTCTTGCTATTCATTCTGCTTCCACACATGCCCCGTACACTCTATTCTTAACATAAACAACCAGAATACTCCTTTAAAAAGATGTCAGAACAAGTCATTTACCTGCTCAAACCCTCCAATGCCTCCAAATTTCTCTCCAAGTAAAAAGTCTTAGACTTCATAACAAACTCCCCCAAGTTTGTCCACCAACTTCCTTTCTCATCCCTGATTTCACTCCTCTAGTTTACTTTCTACTACTTCTCCCATTCAGCCCTCTTGAGCCATATTGACCTCCTCATGGTTCCTGCTACACCATCATCTGCCACCTCAGGTATTTTGCACTGGCTGTTATCTATTCTCTTTTCCCTGATAGCCTCATAACTCATCTTCCCATTTCCTTTAAAGTTTTGCTGAAATATCACTTTATAGATGGGGTAATATCTGACCACCTCATTTAAGTTGTAATCTCCCCGACTGCCTTTGTATTCCCAGTCCCTCTTAGCTTGCTCTATTTTTCCCCATTGGATTTATCACTCCAAACATCTTATATAATTTATTACTATTTTATTATTATCTGTCTTCTCCCATTACAATGTAAGCTTCACAAAGATAAGAATTTTTGTTGGATATATTTTCTGATGTATTCACAGGACCAGAACAGTGCCTGAGATACAATAGGCACTCAACAAATAATTGCTAAGTAAATGAATGAACACTTTAAATTTATGTACAGGTTGACTTTTTACAACATGTAATATTTTTTTAATGATATGTTTTGAAAAACTCATTTTCATACTAAAATAATTAGAAGCAACTATCAGAAGGTGGTTACAGCCCCAATTCCCTGTAAAGTGGGAACTGTAATTCTTACTGTGTGCACTCTCCCAGCTAGAAAGAGCATAAGAAAAGAAATAGCTTTGTGTAATACACACTAGAAAGTTAGCTCAAAGACTGTTGTATTCTGACCTGGGAATAGGTTTACCACACCGTGGGTTTATGAGTCAAATATCTATTAAGTTTTGTGTGAATCCTGAGGCACTCTTTTATCACTTTGCCACCTTCAGCTCCTCTAAACTAATAGCAAAAAATAGCAGCAAAAGAAAATCTTTCTCTGTTTTCTCAACAGTATTTTTCTCTGAAAAATAAAATCATCTTATAGTCAATTAGAAAACAATTAGACACTTGAAGTATATCAACTTGACACCCAAAAATTCAAATTGATTTCTGTATCTCATTCAGTTTTAACATCTAAATGTATAATAGCTGGTCTTATTTTCAAAGCATGTTCTCAATCCCCAGAGTCAGCTTTCTCAAGCTCACAATTTTCATATTTTTATTGGTGACTGTATTATCTCATCCTGATCTTTATATTACCTTCACTATAAAAACTGTTACTGCCAAAATGTCAAAAAATATCTGTAAAGTTGTGATTCAAGGGAATCTGAGAAACCATTTTTCAGGTTAGTCCTCAAAAGTAAATTCAACAGTGTAAGCAAGAATCAGCCATGTAGATTCTAACACCTAACCCAAGCCCTATGCCCTAACTCCTAACCTATTCTATATAACCTGCACTGCTCAACAGGGAGCTCCAGTATCCTGCGCTGGAGATGGTGCCTGGCAGGACGTGCTGATCCCACCTTCACAGGCCTGTGCAGTGCACATGCGTGTTCTGCAACTTCCAGGGTGGAAGTGAGAAATGAGGCAAGAGGCAGGGGTCTGTGCTGCTGCTGAAGAGGAGCTTGGCTGCGAAGCTCCCCGTTTCCCATAAATAGTGAGAAAAAAACTTCATCCTCTGGAACTGTTCCAAGGCATCTTTTTTTTTTTTTTTTTTTTTTTTTAATGTGTCAGTGTTGGCAGGGGGCAGACATGGAGATAACCAGAGAACAGAGAAGATTCCGGCCAAGATAAATGACTAGGAGCAACTAGTGTGGGCCGCTCTCACAGAGAGAAGAGTGTTGAGTAAATACTAGCTCTTCAACTGGATCTTCCAGGAGGACGCACTGGGAATCATCAAGGAAGCAACACGACCTATGTAGAACAGAGAAGAGTGAGACACGACAGCCACCCACCCAGGAGTGGCGCAGAGCCATGGGAGACTCCCACTGCGAAGAAACAGTGAGCTAGTGAGAGTTCCTAGGGACCCACATTTCTGCCACGGAACTTTGCAACCCTGAAATCAAGAGATTCCCCCATGACTCTCCCCCAGCCGGGGCCTCCAGACTGAAAAAGACAGCCATGTGGAGTCTGGGCACAGTCACAGTTCAGGCACATGAGAAGTACGGGACTCTTTGATCCCTGGGCATCCCAGCACCAGCAGCTGCAGCTCCTGCAACATCGGAGGCCAGGATCCCTAGCATGCCCCCAGGATAGGGGCCGAATCCGTGGACTGAGCAGTGGATGAACAGCAGGCCTCACCTCTACTGCACCTCTCTGGACACGGCCCACTGGCCTGGGACCGTAATGCAGCCACCCCAACCACTCCTGAGCTCTCCATCGGGGAACAGCTCTGCACTTCCCTGAGACGCAGCTACCAGAGGCAGCAGACAGGCTCTCATGTTTGCTGCTACACAGTCCTCTCTCCTGTTACCCTCGGACTCCAGAGGAAAAGCAGTGATTAGAATCTAACATGGACCCTCAGCATAGTTCCGTTGCCTTACAGAAAAGCGGCCAGTCTGTTTCGATGCAGGTCCGTGCCTCAGCTGCTCCTCACCGTGGAGGGCCTCTCCACCTGGGCCCCCAGCACAACCACTCTGCCCCAGCCTGAATACTTCAGTCAGTGGCAGCTTTGCATTTCTCCAGGGAGGAAACTCCAGAGACAACCCAAAGTCCCTCTGCCATTGCAGCTTCAGTGGTACTGCCCTTGCTGCTCTCGGTCTGGGAGAGGAAGAAAGGGTGTGGTCGCTATGCTGGCACCCCAGCACATGGCAGCCATCATGCAGAAAGGAGCCCAGACTTTCTTCCCTGTGAACCGCCACCCCGGACTCTTTACCAGGCAGGGCCCCAAGCTCATGACTGCAGAGCAGCTGCCCCACCCCCAGCTGAACATTCCCACTGGCAGCGGCTCTGTTTCTCTGGGGTGGAGCTTCCAGAGGCAAACAACAGCCGCTCTGTCACTGCCACTGAAGTGATTCTGACCTTGCTGCCACCCGACTAAGAGCCTAGGAACTTTACTTGCAATTCCAGCACACCAATGTTGATACAGGAGTAGATAAAAATGATTTAGACAGATAGTGAGGGCAAATAGTCCCAGACAGAACTTCGCTTCTCACAAAAAGCAGCCCAAGAAATCACTTCTTTTCTAACAAACAGCAACTGGAAGATTGGGCTGCAAACATAGATAAGGAAGCTGGAAGCTTGCATGAGGGGATGCTGGCCGTTGCACAGATAGAAAGGGCTACAAAGGACCAGGCACGTCCACCATGGGGGTTCCACCTCCCCTTTTTAGCAGATGCACAGTAAGAAAGAAATAAGCAACATGGAATAGCTCAAGCTGAGGAACTGCCTGCATAATAAAACATTGGGGTGGGGGGCTACCAGAGATTTGTACCCTAAGTAGATAGCACACCTGGTCCTAACTGGTTTTTCATGCTCTATGCTGATCAGATACCACCTCCCCACTAGCTCGTCTATAAAAACCCCTGCATTTCACTGCAGTACAGCAACCCTTTTTCTGGGATCCCTCTCTGTAGCAGAGAGCTGTTCTCTTTCTTTTTCCTATTAAATTTCTATTCTCAACCTCATCCTTGGTGTGTCACATCCTTGATTTCCTTGGCCATGAGACCAAAAGCTCTGGGTGTCACCCCAAACAATGAGGCCACTTCACTGTTGTCATATGGAAAGGAGCCCAGTCTCTCCTCTCTGTGATCCTTCCACCCCCCCCCCCCCCCCCCGCCACTCTTCGCCAATCAGGGCCCCCCAGCTCAAGCCAGCAGTGCAGCCACTCCTGCACTGCTGAACATTTCCAGTGGCTGGACATGGAAATGGCTGAACATTTCCATTAACAGTGGCTCTGCATTTCTCTGAGATAGAGCTCCCAGAGGCAACTGAAAGTCCCTCTGCACCTGCCACTGCAGTGGTACTGCCCTTAGAATGGGGAAGGAACAAAGATCCTGAAGGCTTTACCCACAACTCCAGCAAGCTGCAGTCTCCCTAAGGAAAAGAGACCACTCTATCTCCCTTGTGAGCTCCCCACCCCCAATTCATCACCAGGCAGGGCCCCACAGCTTGGGCTCACAACACAGCTGCCCCACCCCAGGCCAGTCACACCAATTGGCAGCGGCTCTGCTTTTCTTTTGAGTGGAGCCCCAAGAAACAAATGAAAGCCCCTCTGCCTCTGCCACAGCCACTTCCAAGGCCCCTTGCCCTGCTGCCTCCAAGTTGGGGAAGGAACATAAAGCCTGAGCTCACTCCAGGGCTGTGGTATACCAAGCCAAGATCTACAGCCAGCACTGAAGGAGGAGAGGAGCCCACAACTTCAAAGCACTGAGTGGGAGCACAGCCGCAATCATGAGGAAACACAGAGGAGCCACGTGGCCAAGCAAGAGCCTAGCTATTGGCCATTATGCTTAAACACCATCTACTGGATCAAAGCCCAAAATTCAACACCAAAAATACTTTGCTAATATGCCCTCCTGTGAAACCAAGGACAAGAAGTCAGCTACAAATAAAGACCCTACACAAAGCCTTGGCCCTCTGAAAACATCCAGAAAAGAAATCAAATAAAAGTGTACTCAAATTACATCACAGTTAAAGGAACATTAGCCCACATAGTGAGAAAGAACCAGCTCAAGAACTCTGGCAACTCAAAAAGCCAGAGTATCTTAGTAAGGCTGAAATAGCTAAGATGACAGACATACAATTCACAATTTTTTGAATAGGAATGAAGATCATCAAGATTCCAGGGAAAGTTGAAGTCCGAGGAATCTAAGTATTACAATGAAATGATGCAGAAGCTGAAACAATAAATGGCCATTAAAAGAAGGAACAAAACTGATCTGATACAGCTAAAAAACATACTACAAGAATTTCATAATGCAATCACAAGTAGACCACAGCAGAATAGACCAAGCTAAGGAAAGAATCTCAAAGCTCAAGACTGGTTATCCAAACTAATTCAGTGAGAAAGAAATAAAGAAAAAAGTATAAAACAGAATGAACAAAACCTCCGAGAAATATGAAATTATGTAAAGAGACCAAATCTATGATTCATTGGTATCCTTGAAATACAGGGAGAGAAAACAAGCAACTTGGAAGACATATTTGTGGATAATGTTCACAAAAGTTTCCCCAGCCTTGCTAGAGAGGCCAACATTCAAATTCAGGAGATGCAGAAAACTCCTACAAGATCCTATACAAGATAACTATCCCCAAGACACATAGTCTTCAGATTCTCCAAGGTCAATGTGCAAGAAAACATAGTAAAGGCAACTAGAGAGAAGGGGCAGGTCACCTACAAAAGGAACCTCATCAGGTTAACATGAGCCTTTCAGTAGGAAACCTACAAGGCAGAAGAGATTCAGGGCCTATATTCAGCATTCTTAAAGAAAAGAATACCAACAACAATCAAAAAAGATAAAGAAGGCCATTACATAATGGTAAAGTATTCAATTCAACAAGAAGATCAACCATACTAAATGTATATGCATTCAAGACTGGGGCACTCAGATCCAAAAACCAAGTTCTTAGAGAACTATGAAGACACCTAGATAACCACATAATAGTAGTGAGAGACTTCAACACCCCACTGACTGTAGTAGACAGATCATTGAGGCAGAAAACTAACAAAGATATGATATGCACGACCCAACTCAACACAACCAAATGGGCCTAAAGACATCTACAGAACACTCCAGCCAAAAGCAACAGAATACACATCATTCTCATTTGCACATGGTACATACTCTAAAATTGACCACACAATTGGCCATGAAACAATCCTCAGCAAACTTTTAAAAAATTGAAATTATACCAAACACACTCTTAGACCACAGTGCAATAAAAATATAAATACTTTAAAATCATTTAAAACTATACAGTTATGTGGAAAGTAAAGAACCTGCTCCTGAACAACTTTTGGGTAAACAGTGAAATTAAGGCAGAAATCAAGAAATTTTTTGAAACTAATAACAAAGATACCACATACCAGAATCTCTGGGATACATCTAAAGCAGTATTAAGAAGGAATTTATAACACTATATGTCCACATCAAAAACTTAGAAAGATATCAAATTAACAACCTAGTAGCACACCTAAAGGAACTAGAGAAACAAGAAAAACCGACTTCACAGCTAGCAGAAGACAAGAAATAACCAAAATCAGAACTGAACTAAAGGAAATTGAGATGCAAAAAAAAAACATACAAAAGATCTAATGTAGGACGTGGTTCTTTCTAAGGATAAATAAGATTAACACCATTAGCTAGAATAATAAAGAAAAAAAGGAGAGAAAATCCAAATAAACACAATTGGAAATGACAAAGGGGACATTACCACTGACCACAAGAAATAGAAAAACCCACAGAGAATAATCCAAACACCTCTATGTACACAGAATAGAAAACCTAGAAGAAATGGATAAGTTCCTGAAAACATACAACCTCTCAAGTTTAAAACAAGAAGAAATTGAAACCCTGAACAGTGGCATTTCCTGAAGGATTTCCCTGCTTGCTCCTGCTAGCCCTGCCTTTTTTCTTTCCCTAGGTATACTTCCAACAAATTTCTTACACTTTTAACTTTGTCTTAGCATCTGCTACCTGGAGTACCTGGACTGATGCAGCCACAGTCAAAAAATGCTAAAGTTATGATTCACCAAAGGTTATCTGACCCCAGAGATCTGCATATGTAAACAATGCTTCCTTTCCCAGGTGTAAATTCTGGATTACTTCCTGCCCCCATTCCTGGCCTTACAGTCAAAAGTCTTAACATGTCTCTAAGGTACTGGGAGCTGGAACTTCAATATAACTTTAGGGAGGACACAATTCAGCTCATAACAACACCCAAAGAAGAGGCTTCTTTCACCTGGATTTAAGGGTGGTCCTAGTAGTTACTGTGTGACCTGGAGAATTTCAGATAATACATGATCAACTTGCATCACTGGCCTCATGTGAGACTGCCAAATACACTATACATGGAGAGTCACCCCCACATAGTATCCTTAAACTTCCACAAAATAATGAAACCATAGGAAGTTGAGAGTTTGGGTGGGTAGAAGAAGTTTCATGAATCATCTAAACCCAACCTGAGTATTCAGAGTAAGCATTTCTACCCCTAAGCACTAATGCCTGCCCTTAGGAAAATACAAATTGCAGCCAACTTAGAAGAGCCCTCTATATGATCATGTTCAATACATGTGTGTCGTTTGGTTTAATTATAGAAAATGTGATGTACGTAAAGTAAACTTGCAACTGAATCGTTAAAAACAGCTAATCATAAAACTGTAGTATTAACCAAGATCTTAAAATACTGTTTGCTATACAATCACCCTCTAATATCCTCCTTGAATTCCCAGAGAGACTCTAATTGTTTTGTTTTTTTGTTTTGTTTTTTGAGACGGAGTCTCCCTCTGTATGCCAGGCTGGAATGCAGTGGCATGATCTCAGCTCACTGCAACCTCCACTTCCCAGGTTCAAGTGATTCTCCTGCCTCAGCCTCCTGAGTAGCTGGGACTACAGGTGTGCGCCACCACACCCGGCTAATTTTTGTATTTTTAGTAGAGAAGGGGTTTCACTGTATTAGGCAGGATGGTCTCGATCTCCTGACCTCATGATCCGCCCACCTCGGCCTCCCAAAGTGCTAGGATTACAGGTGTGAGCCACCACACCTAGCCAAGAGAGACTCTAATTTAAATTTTCTTTAACCTACCATCTTATGAAAGCCCATCTGAAAATCATAGAATATAATTTTCTACCCCAAATATGAACTCTCAGTGGCCTCATTTCTACCTTCTTTCTTCCCACCTCACTTCCCAAAAAGGAGACAGAATTCTCTTCTAATATTTTATTCTCATTATTAAGAAATTTTTCTCAAAATTTATTTCAATCCTTTATGTGCAGTTCAATATCAGTTTGTTTTGTCTCTCTTCAGCAAAAAGTGAACAATAAATATACGCCATTCTTCACCTAAAAGATTTTCTTATAGTTAAAACATTATTAAATTGTCTATAGTTGGATAAGAAAAATGTACCTTATAACAATTGTATATATCACAAGGCAGAATCCTTAAGGAGTACCAAGTTCTGTTTAGCAACTGTGTTTTAGTATCTTGAATTAAAGCACACCTCTACTGGCTTAAAATATCAAGGAATTACTCACAAAAATCAACTAATCAGATCAAAGATCCATACTTAGAACAGACATACACCACAGCAACACAAATGAAAGAGCATAATAAAAACTTTATATGCACACATTTTTCCCGTGTGCTAAATACCTTAGGTGTTCTAGTGAACAGTCTTTATAAATAAGACTTGGAATTTTGTTGTGTTGAACAGAGAGGAGAACAACAGAGTCAAAAGCTGAGGGGTAAAGTTTTAAAAGAAGTAGCTAATACTGTGATGAGTAAGAGATTCTGTGGTGAGATTATCAAATCAAACTGATATTGGGCAAATAGACTCAGGAGAACACCTGTCTGTGAATTCTTGCTATTATCTCTACAGTTCTGGGCACTTCTGGCAATTATTGTTTCATTCCTAACCCATAAAAAAATGTGGTAGTATAATGAAAAGTTATCTAAATACATTTAAAAGCTGCAAAAATACTTAAAAAGCAAAGTAAACTCTACAAGAATAGCTGAACACCATGGAAACCTCAGAAGGCAGGTTAGAAGCAGTCCTCTTCTCTGGGCTTTCAGCACCCGAGACCAGACCTTCCAATTAAAAGAGGTTATTTTAGTCAGGTTTTGGTTTTTGGTTTTAATTTTGGCTTGGTTTATTGTGTTTTTTATTTGTTTGTTCGTTAATTTGTTTGTTTCTGGGGAAAGGGTAATAAACAATATAGTCAGAACAAAACGAAGAAGCAAGAAGCCCACTACTAGGGACCACGACAAATTTTATCGCTAATACTAAAAGGATTTTCAAGCATAATGAAGGACAAATATCAGTATTTAAGACATTGTAGTGAATAAAGGAGTTGGCAGAAGACTGAAGATTAGCAGACACATGTTTCATTTTTCAAATATATATTCTAGAAACTACAGACTTTCAAATCATATTTCAATCACTGGCAAAAATTTTGAACAAATCATTAACAGAGTGCATGAACATTTATAAGTACTAACCACTAGCAGCCAACCTTGCATTATAAAGAATAAATTATGCAAAAACCTAATATCATTTTCTCTTTCTTGAGATGGAGTCTCGCTGTGTCACCCAGGCTGAAGTGCAGTGGCATAATCTTGGCTCACTGCAACCTCCGCCTCCTGAGTTCAAGTCATTTTCCTGCCTCAGCCTCCTGAGTAGCTGGGATTACAGGCATGGGCCACCATGCCCAGCTAATTTTTGCATTTTTAGCAGAGATGGGGTTTCACCATGTTGGCCAGGCTGGTCTCGAACTCCTGACCTCAGATGAGCCACCTGTCTCGGTCTCCCAAAGTGCTGGGATTACAAGCATGAGCCACCACGTCCAGCCCTAATATTGTTTTCTGATAGCCAGGTTGACATAAAGATTATATTTGGGTTGTAGCAAAGCATTTGAAGTTTTTAATGATGTAGTTATTAATTAGAGAAATATGATCTGGATAATTTACAACTGAGTGAATTAATGCCTACCTGAAATGAGAGTGTTGCTTAATGTATCAAATTTAATCATAAGAAATTGTTATGTTAATGTTTTCACCAATATTTTGCATGAAAAAAATTTACTCTATGCCTTAAAAAGTGCAGATGAATAGAACTTGGAGAAATCATTCAGATGTTTGAGAGAAAAATCAAGATCCAATATGTAATTGCCTATACTAATAAACCCAAGTTAGAAAGGCAAACATTTTTTAAGGAAAACCTTGAACACTATCTGTAGACCCCAAAATACCACAATGCCAAATTGAGAAACAAGCTTTATGCAGTTTTTTTTCCAGTTCTGCTGAGATCTGCCCCCACAACCTCAGGGCAACATCAACTTCCTAATAACCCAGGGAGGTAAAAAGAAAGAGCTGCACACCAAAAATCTTGTCCACCATGATCAAGTAGGCTTCATCCCCAGGATGCAAGATTGGTTCAATATACACAAATCAATAAATGTGTTTCATCACATAACAGCCAACTAAAGACAGAAACCACATGATGATCTCAATAGATGCAGAAAAGGCTTCCAAGAAAATTCAACATCCCTTCATGTTAAAAATGCTCGATAAACTAGGTATTGAAGGAACGTACGTCAAAATAATAAGAGCCATCTATGACAAACTCACAGCCACCAACATACTGAATGGGCAAAAGCTGGAAGTATTCCCCTTGAAAACCAGCACAAGATAAGGATGCCATCTCTCACCACTCCTGTTCAACACAATATTGCAAGTTCTTGCCAGGGCAATCGGGCAAGAGAAAGAAATAAAGGACATTCAAATAAGAAGAAAGGAAGTCAAACTATCCCTGTTTGCAGATGACATGACCCTATATGTAGAAAACCCCATTGTCTCAGCTCGAAAGCTTCTTAAGCTGATAAGCAACTTCAGCAAAGTCTCAGCATACAAAATCAGTGGGCAAAAGTTGCTAGTATTCCTATACACCAACAACAGTCAAGCCGAGAGCCAAATTATGTATGAACTCCCATTCACAATTGCCACAAAAGAATAAAATACCTAGGATCATATCTAAACAAGGGAAGTGAAATATCTTTACAGGGAGAACTACAAACCACTGCTCAAAGAAATGAGAGAGGACACAAACAAATAGAAAAACATTGCATGCTCATGGATAGGAAGAATCGTGAAAATGGCCCTATTGCCCAAATCAATTTACAGATTCAATGCAATTCCTACAAAACTACCAATGACATTCTTCAAAGAACTAGAGAAAACTATTTTAAAATTCATATGGAACCAAAAAAGAGCCTCAATGGCCACAGCAATCATAAGCAAAAATAACAAAGCTGGAGGCATCACACTACCCGATTTCAAACTCCACTATAGGGCTACAGTGACCAAAACAGCATGGTATTGGTACAAAAACAGACACATAGACCAATGGAACAGAATAGAGAACCCAGAAATAAGACCACAAACCTACAACTATCTGATCTTTGACAAACTTGACAAAAACAAGCAATGGGGAAAGGATTCCCTATTTAATAAATGGTGCTGTGATCACTGGCTAGCAATATGCAGAAGATTGGAACTGGACCCCTTCTTTATACTGTATACAAAAATTAACTCAAGTGGATTAAACAATTAAATGTAAAACCCAAAAACTATAAAAACCCTGGAGGACAACCTAGGCAATACCATTAAGGACATAGGCACATGCAAAGATTTCATGATGAAGACACAAAAAGCTATTGCAATGAAAGCAAAAATTGACAAATGGGATCTAATTAAACTAAAGAGCTTCTGCACAGCAAGACACTATCAACAGAATAAACAGACAACCTACAGAATGGGAAAAAAATTTTGCAAACTATGCATCTGACAAAGGTCTAATATCCAACATCTATAAGGAACTTAAATAAATTTACAAGAAAAAAATAATCAACCCGATAAAGGGGCAAAGGACATGAACATATACTTCTCAAAAGAGGACATACATGCAGCCAATAATCCTATGGAAAAAAGCTCAACATCACTGATCATCAGAGAAATGCAAATCAAAACCACAATGAGACACCATCTCACGCCAGTCAGAATAGCTATTATTAAAACAAAAAAATAACAGAAGCCAGCGAGGTTGTAGAGAAAAAGGAACACTTATACACTGTCAGTAGGAGTGTAAATTAGTTCAACTATTGTGCAAGACAGTGTGGCGATTCCTCAAAGATCTAAAGACAGAAATACCATTTGACCAGCAATACCATTACTGGGCATACACCCAGAGGAATATAAATCATTCTATTATAAAGACACACTGCAGCACTATTCACAATAGCAAAGACATGGAATCAACCTAAATGCCCATCAATGATAGACTGGATAAAGAAAATGTGGTGCGAGGCTGGGCACGGTGGCTCACACCTGTAATCCCAGCACTTTGGGAGGCCGAGGCAGGCGGATCACGAGGTCAGAAGATCAAGACCATCCTGGCTAACACGGTGAAACCCCGTCTCTACTAAAAATATAAAAAATTAGCCAGGCATGGTGGCAGGCACCTGTAGTCTCAGCTTCTTGGGAGGCTGAGGCAGGAGAATGGCATGAACCCAGGAGGCGGAGCTTGCAGTGAGATGAGATTGTGTGCCACTGCACTCCAGCTTGGGTGACAGAGTGAGACTCCATCTCAAAAAAACAAAAGGAAAAGAAAAAGAAAATGTGGTGCATATACACCATGGAATACCATGCAGCCATAAAAAAGAATGAGATTATGTCCTTTACAGGGACATAGATGGAGTTGGAGGCCATTAACCTTAGCAAACTAATGCAGGAACATAAAACCAAATAGCTCATGTTCTCACTTATAAGTGGGAGCTAAATGATGAGAATACGTAGACACATAAAGGGGAACAACACACACTGGATGGAGGGTGGGAGGAGGGAGAGGATCAGGGAAAATAACTAATGGGTACTAGGCTTAATACCTCTGTGACAAAATAATCTGTACAACAAACCCCCATGGCACATGTTTACCTATGTAACAAACCTGCATATGTACCCCTGAACTTAAAAGTTTTTTTTTTTGTTTTTTGGTTTTTGGGTTTTTCTTTTTCCTATTTTATTTTATTTTTATTTTTATTTTTGTTATACTTACAAGTTCTAGGGCACACGTGCACAATGTGCAGGTTTGATACATAGGTATACATGTGCCATGTTTGTTCGCTACATCCATTAACTCGTCATTTACATTAGATATTTCTCCTAGTGCCATCCCTCCCCCTGTGCCCCACCCCATGACAGGCCCCGGTCTGTGATGTTCCCCACCCTGTGTCCAAGTGTTCTCATTGTTCATTTCCCACCTATGAGTGAAAACATGTGGTGTTTATTTTCTGTCCTTGTGATAGTTTGCTCAGAATGATGGTCTCCAGCTGCATCCATGTCCCTGCAAAGGACATGAACTCATCCTTTTTTATGGCTGCATAGTATTCCATGGTCTATATGTGCCACATTTTCTTAATCCAGTCTATCATTGATGGACATTTTGGTTGGTTCCAAGTTTTTGCTATTGTGAATAGTGCCGCAATAAACATACATTTGCATGTGTCTTTATAGTAGCATGGTTTATAATCCTTTGGGTATATACCCAGTAATGGGATGGCTGGGTCAAATGGTATTTCTAGTTCTAGATCCTTGAGGAATCGCCACACTGTCTTCCACAATGGTTGAACTAGTTTACAGTCCCACCAACAGTGTAAAAGCATTCCTATTTCTCCACATCCCCTCCAGCATCTGTTGTTTCCTGGCTTTTTAATGGTCGCCATTCTAACTGGTGTGAGATGGTATCTCATTGTGGTTTTGATTTGCATTTCTCTGATGGCCAGTGATGATGAGCATTTTTTGCTGTGTCTGTTGGCTGCGTAAATGTCTTCTTTCGAGAAGTGTCTGTTCA